>NC_000001.11:177730041-178033071 GCF_000001405.40 Homo sapiens | reverse complement strand
GGGACAGTATTGGAGACAGGCACAGATGTCAGGACAGTTAAAGAGGTAAATTAATTGAAGTCTAGGGAATCAATGTATATGTAGCTATGAAAAATATGCTAACTTCATTTGTAGCCAAAGGGTCTTGCTTCTACTGGCTTTTGCCTGCAGACACCAAAGGGAAACCTAACTAGAAAGGTAAGAAACAAAATTCTTTCTGGGGAAAGGAAGTAATTGGAAGTTCCTGGCTTCATTAAACTTTTCATTATGAATAAAAGGCGGCACCTCAGTCTTTAACCAAGAGGACAGAGAATTTGATTCTCTTGTGAAATTAAGAGTGGGCTTCTAATTCAAATCAACCTTTCCCTTACTCTCTCTCTTCGTCTCAAATGTGCTCACTCAAATTGGCTTCACAGCCTGGTGGTGGTATTGAGAGAGTTATTATTTTATTTACTAAACAGTAACTCTGAATAATTAAGACCAACCTGTGTCTTATGGAGTCAGAGATGTGCATTTTTTTTTCTTTTTTGATTAATTCAGGAAAAGGAATGCAAGGTCATACATTTGCACATATCCTTAATGGTATGTTTCCTTTAGGGAGATAGAGTTATTGGCACAAGAAACTTTAATTGTATGGCTGAAGAATGCGTCACTGACCAGAAGGTATCTGTACCACTCAAGATTAATGGTTGAAGATGTTTTTTCTCCTTTGTTTTTCTTTAATTTCCACCTATCCCTCATTCCTGTCTTCCCCTCTCCCTCTTTTTCTTTGTATTTATTTGGTCATGTCTTGTTTCTCAGCTAAGCACTTCATTTTTTCAAATGTTAAACTCCTTCTCTTCATTAATGTGACAACACTTTGCACAGAGCTTTGTTTGCATTGAGTGTTTTAATGAAGAACAACATTTTGTTTTCTGAGTCCTTGAGCTGGCTGTTCATTTGGACTAGGTAGTTTTAGTAGAAAAGCTGGTTTTGGGCATTGAGCTGGATGTAATGGGCTTCTCCCAGACACAAAGCTTATGAAAGAGATAGCCCTGGGAATGGAGCCAGCCAGGGTAGTCTAGCATGGTTGTGCAGGGTGTGAATGGTGCCCCCTGGTGGTGGACAGTACACAATTGTCCCCACCAGCTTTACTGAGGTAAAACTGACATACCAGACCATTCACCCATCACAGTACAGTGATCTGTGTTCCATTCTCTACCTGTTGGCTCCTTTCTGAGCCAGATGCTAGCCTTGGGGTTTTGAAGTCTGATGCATTCAAGTTCTGAAATCTGCTACAGCTTGCTTAGTTTTGACTTCCACTGGGCTTGGTTATGGGCAAGTGATTCCCTTTACAAATCAGTCACTGAATCAAATCCTAATATTTACTGAGCAGCCTTTACGACTTAGGTACATACACTCAATCTGTAAGTCACTGTTATCTCTTTTTTAGGACCTGTGGCAGATTCCAGAAAAGGTCTCCCTATAAGAAGCTGCTGTCCTCCCTATAACTTATGGCACTGCGATTTTTGCTCTTGAGCATTGGGCCCGTACCCAGCCTGGGTAAGGACTGTGTAGATGACAGAAGGCTAGAAAGTACCCTTCTCTTGATATCAGAAGTGTCCGACAAGGCCATGCCCCACCTCTTCCCTTCCCTTCCCTTCCTTTTGGCTGAGGAAAGGCCAAAGGGAGGTAGCCACTTGAGATTGGGGTTTTTTGACTGTGAGGACATCCTTCTGTCTGAGAGGAGATGATAGGCTGTGAACTTGGCCATTGTGAATTGGAGAAATACCTCTCTCAAATGTGACCGCCCTGGAGATCTCATAAAAGTATTAAAGTGTAGATAGTTGGTTTATTTAAACCCATTTCACTCTGAGTTTATTAGAGGCCTATGGTATTTGTTTCTGTGAGGCCTTGTTGAGTGTGTCAGATGGGACATTTCAGGAGAAAAGGTGCTGAAGTTTGACTCTTTACCTGGAGCATACGTACTACTTCTTGATCTTTTCAGAGAGGTGAGACTCAGAATTGCTTCAGAGAGGTGGGTTTAGTTGAGCAGTGGCCATTACATGCTCATCACCTTGTAACATTGGGCAGTATCTAATATGAGAAGGATTTTAAGATAGAATTTCTGAAGAATAAATTGGAGTGGTAGCTCAAAGGAAGGGTTGCCACTGATATGAGGGAGAGGCTACCTAGAGAGATTCAGGAATATTTTTCCTGGGAGGTCTTCAAAACTGAACCCAATTAGCACTAATCTAGAAGTCACATCCGTAAGCTTACAGGGTGGAGAACAGATGTATATGAAGGTTTGAATGAAACGACCTCTAACATTCTTGCTTTAAAATGTTCTGTTTCTAAAATATTTGTGAAATCATATTACTGGTTGACTTCTGAAGGTTTCTGAAGTAGCATTCATCTTTCTTTGGCACAGAGTTGTTTTAGTGACGGCAGCAGCTGGAGCCACAGGCCTTGCAGTGATGTAGCAACAAATGTTCTTCAGGCCAAGGTTATTTGTATGTTAGAGTCACCACTTACAAAAATCATAACTCCAGTTTTCAAACATATATTTATTCAAACAATATATTCATTCATTGATTAAAAATCATGTGCAAGGCACTGGGGATATAAAGTAACCCAGAGCAGGGTCTTGCCATCTATTCGCTTACAGACTAGGGAGGGGGCCTAGAAGCAAATCACTCATCCTTCCAGCTACTAGACCCTGGCAAGGTCTGACCCACTTCATGCCTTCTGCACATGCTATTTTCTCTACCTGTAATTCTCAGAGCTGTCGTTCAGATTTAAACTCAAATGTCATTTTTTCAGAGAAGTATTCTCTGTCCCTCAGTCTAGGTGAGGCCCCTCTCCCTCCTCTGTATATATGATTTCATAGCACCTTCTACTTCTCTTTCATAATACATAGCTCAGAGTGTGGTTACTTGTGTCCTTATCGGGTTATTGTCTCCCTCTTACTGGATTGTAATCCCCATAAAGGCAGTGACAGTGTCTCTTTGGTTCATCCCTGTAGTCCTGCACCTAGCATGGTACCTAGAACATAGTAGGCCCTCAAGAACTATTTCTTAAATGAATGAATGAATAAAATAATGAAAAAAGACTTAGGTCTCTTCAGAAGTATCTTTCTGAGGCTGTGAGTGTTGGAAAAGGGGGATTTCTTGGAGAAGGTGGACATTTAAACTGACTTTTAAAGAATTGGTAGCAGTTGAATAGAGGAAGAAGGGAAGTGAAGGCCATTTCAGTGGTGGGAGGACTTATTAGAAGATAGAGAACTAGGAACTAGCATGATGCATTCAGAGAATTGCAAATAGTATCTCTGGAGCCAGGGACCTGGGGGGAAATGGTGGAAGGTGGCTCTAGAGAGGAGGGCAGAGATAAGATCACGAGGCCCTTGTGTGGGGCTGAAGAATTTGAACATTTATTGGAAGCTATTGAGAGGAGTTGAGGATTTAAAGTAGGGAAGTGACATGATATTTTTGCATTTGGAAAAGTTCACTCTGGTAGCTGTGGGGATGAGGGATAGGGGAAAGGTCAAGGGTAGTCTGGAAGCAATAGGACAGGCTCTTGGAGCAATCTGAGCCAGGATTAGGATAGGCTACCTGAACCAAGGCAGTGGAAACAATGCATTGAGAGATACTGAAGTGGAAAAAAAATAGATAATTTGGTACCTGGAGAGCATCCTGCTCTAGTCGAAAGAACAAGGACTTTAAAGTTAGCCTGACGTAGGTTCAAATTCCAGCTCTGCCTCCAGCTTAATATCGTCAGTTTTCTCACTTGTAAAAGAATGCTCTCTCCATGGAGTTGTTGTGGGAATACTGAGATTACACGTGCAGTGCCTATTAGAGGGCGGGGCATGTCAGTAAGAATCTCTTTAAAAAGAATCCTGTTATTATTAGACATTGAGTGGGAAGGAGCAAACTAAGTTAACTCGTGGAGTTGCCATCTAATTGAGATTGAGAACACAGGCAGGAATAGTGAGTTGGGTTTTGGCTGTGTTGAATGTGAGATTCCTGTGGAGCGTGCAATTGGATAGCCAGAGGGCAGCTGGGTATATAGGTTTGGAAATAATTGGATTGGTCTGGAATTCCTTTAGGGGACATCTCTCCTTTCTCCTATTAAGTTCCATTTGGGAAGGACATGTGAGTTCTGAAAGTAATCATAGATACCAGGAGGCTCCTCAAGTGATATGAACACATTTCATGTTAACAGGATGGGCTTTTAGCTCCTGTCTGGGGGAGAGACTATAATTGGTTTTATTGTCTAGAGCTATTGGTTATTTAACATTTCGAGGAAGATAAAATTGTACAAATTGTTTTAAATAGTTATAAATTGTTATAAATAGTAGATAGAAAAGCTCACTTTAATTAATATATTAAAATTAACCTAAGCTGTATTTTCTTGAACCTCAATAATGGTTTTAAACAAAAGCAAACAAAAATATAAATGTTACCATGCCACCTATGTGGAACAGGTCATTTTGATTACACCTCGAATCCACAGCATTTCATATTGCTTCCAAAGTGTCTCTGCGGCAATTATCTTACCCTTGATCCTCACAAAGCCCCTGGGATGTGGGCAGTGTAAGTGTTTATTATCCCTATTTCACAGATCAAGAAAGCGAGGCACCAAGAGAGAAAATGGTTCACTGCAGGTCCCATGGAGACCTAGTGAGAATCTCGGGATTCAATTCAGGTGCCTGACCCTAGAGCAGTGTCTGCCCACTGTGGCACTGTGTGCTAATAGCCCTCACTGAACTGCAACTATTTCAGGGTTCCACCAAGGAATATTTGAGGGAAGCATTCAGTTTCAAATAGTTATGAGTAAGTTTGGAATCTTTTAAGGGCACCAGTGTTCTTGGAGTATTTCATTGCAAATTCACTTTGAGACTAAAGTGCTTGGGCTGGTGGGTGCTGCCCCATGGTGAGGCATGTCTAGGCAATGCTTGAGTGTTTGCAGCTTTTCTGGAGACTTCCAAACCCCAGACTTCCCCACAGTATGGCTCACCACCATCTATGCCATCTGTGTCGGGCCTTAGGTATGGCTTTCTCCTAGGGTGATGGAGTGGAAAAGCATGGGCTTTGGAGTAACGCAGCAGTGGGCTTGAGTAATTGTTCTAACACCTGCAACCTGGATGACCCTGGTTGATTGCTTTACCTCTCTGAGTCTATGTCTCTGTCTGGAAACTGGAAGTAATTATATCTCCTCAATAATGTTCTTATGAGGTTCAAATAGAAAAAATGATTGCATGGTGTAACAATGGCTTCAGTTTGTCTAACACTTTGTTTTCCAAGTGCTTTGTATACAGTGTCCCATTTAATTCTTTTTCCTTTATTTCTCTTGAGCTTGTGCCTGGAGATAATTTTTTTTTTTTTTTTTTAAACGGAGTCTTGCTCTGTCGCCCAGGCTGGAGTGCAGTGGTAAGATCTCGGCTCGCTGCAACCTCTGACTCCCAGGTTCAAGCAATTAGTCTGCCTCAGCCTTCCGAGTAGCTGGGACTACAGACACACACCACCATGCCCAGCTAATTTTTGTATTTTTAGTAGAGATGGGGTTTCCCGATATTGGCCAGGCTGGTCTTGAACTCCTGACCTTGTGATCTGCCCACCTTGGCCACCCAAAGTGCTGGGATTACAGGCGTGAGCCACCGCGCCCAGCCCGTGAATTTTTTTTTTTTTTTTTGAGACGAAGTCTCGCTCTGTTGCCCAGGCTGGAGTGCAGTGGCACACCTTGGCTCACTGCAGCCTCCACTTCCCAGGTTCAAGTGATTCTCCTGCTTCAGCCTCCCGAGTAGCTGGGACTACAGGTGTGTGCCACCATGCCCAGCTAATTTTTGTATTTTTAGTGGAGATGGGGGATTCACCATATTGGCCAGGCTGGTCTTGAATTCCCGACCTTGTGATCTGCCCACCTGGGCCTCCCAAAGTGCTGGGATTACAGGCGTGAGCCACCGCGCCTGGCCTCTGATAATTTTTTAAATGTCTTACTTTACTGATGAGGTAACTGAAACCTTGAGAAGCTGGCAGGCAGTATGGAGGTTAAATGCATGGACTCTGGAGACGAATTACGTGGGTTTGGACCCCAGTGCTGTCTCCCATTTGCTGTGCGACCTTCCTTGGGCAACAAGTTACTTAACTTCTTTTGCCTCAGTTTCTTCATCTATAAAACAAGGATAATAATACTGTATATTTCATTGGGCTATTACAATTAAATGAGTTATTCATATACATAAAATGTTTAGAATGTTAACTGGCAAATAGTAACAAAATGTTGTTTTGTTACTAAGTATTTTGCCTAGGTCAACACAGCTAGTGAGTGGCAAAGCCAGAAGTTGGACTAAGGTCTCTCTAACCTCAAGATCTTTCTATTGAATCATGTTTTACCCTCTAGGAAGTCTTTCCTGATCCTCTAGATTTAGACTGGGTACCTCTTGTTTACATTTCTGGACCCCTGTTTATTTCCCCCATCATTCTGCTGTATCTTGCTTTCTTGGCTCTAAAGGATCCATCTTGTATCCTTACTGCTTGATTCATAGTAGATGCTCAATAAATGGTGGTTTTCATTTGAATTTGAGAAGACTTTCTGAATGTCTCTTGAACCACCTTCTAGCTATCCTTGTTAGGGTTCCACGATTCCTAGAAATGTGGACCTCATGACTAGTAGGGCATGGAGGGGCCAGTGGGATGGTCTGTGTGTTGGGCCTGATGTGTGGGCTCAAGGCCAGTGCCAGGGCAGCAAGGTCACAATGATTTCCTTGAGTAGCACCCTTGGGCTGGAGATGGGTTAGGTGGGGTGCCCCTTTCTTGGGACATGTTCTGGATAATCAGATATCTTGTGTTCTTGATGCAGGTAATATAGCTGCTGCTGGAAGTGACGAGAAGTGCAAGCTGGCGATGCAGAGGGGTGCGCAGTCCAGCGTGAACTACAGTCAGGGCAGCCTGAAGGATGCAGTAAGGAAGCTGGTGGGCGAGGGCGGGGTGAATGTGGCCATCGACATGGTGGGAGGAGACATCTGCCTGGAGGCTCTCCGCAGGTGCATGGGGTGGTCTGTCTAGAGTGGGCTGGAGCTGAAACCTTTCCTGATCTCTGCCTTCCTTCTGGCCTTGCTTCTCTCTCATCTTTGCTTTTCATTTCTTCTGTAGGCATCAGCATCAACGAGAACAGCAAGTGGGTGGGTGAAAAGGAATAGAAGCAGAGAAAATCAGGAAATGCTTATATATAGCAAAAACAAAATACCCATCTGGAAAATATCCAAAAAATGACTGCAGACTCTCTTAGTTGGCAATGCCAAATGCTTTAGAAATTATTCATGTGTTAAATTCAGTTATGCCAGTTCTCACTAACTACTTTATATCCATGTCTGTGGGGAATTCTTGCAGAGGGCATTGTTCAGCTATTAGAATTACTGGGGTGGCAGTTCCCCTTTTCCCAGTTCATTGTGGACCAAACTACAGGCTCTTCTGATCTTACTGCTTTCTGAAGCAGCCAGCAGCGTAGATAATTCCTTGACTTGTTTTATTTAAAAAATATCACTGGAGATTTAGTAGGAGTGTTGTATCACACCAATTCTCATTCTGTTTTCAACCAAGGATTCTGGAGTACTCTGATAGCATTGGTTTCATTTCTCATGTCGTCCTGGCAAGCATAATTTTGTAGTTTATCTCAGTTTCAGGTAGAAGCTGCAGAAGCAGAGAGCAGCCTACCCACAAAAGGGGTCCAGTTGGTTCTCTAGCCCCTGAGCTGAGTGGCAGGCAGTCTATATGTTTGTTCATCTCTGCACTGTGCCTGGTGCTGTGCTTAGAGGAGAAGCAAAGGAAGGAGCGTGTAGTCCAAGTGGAAAGCCAGGATAGACAGCTGGTAAAACTCGCCCATCTCTTGCCTTCCTTCTTGCCTTCTGGATAATTGTGTTTTTGCAATAGCTTCTCATTTCCCTTCTAAAGAAGAAAAGCAAAAAGCAAAAGCCAAACAAATATACACATATTTTATATCAAAGATGTTTGCAAAAGTTGTTTCTGTAACTCATTGCTTAGCAATGGTACCGTAGGGGAATTTTCATACTGGGCTACAGAATACTTATGCATTTTTGTAGTTTATTTAAAATTCTCTAAAGAGGCAATGTGTTAAAGGAATCCTAAAGTAAGTCTTTGTATAAAGCAAATGGTCCTTCCCTCATTAAAGTGTATTTCTTCTTATTCCTGCTTCCTAAGTTCATAATCTTCAAACTGAGTTGTTTCAGTACAACCTATGGAATGACATTGCCCAATTTTCTTCCACAAAGTGGTTGAGGTAGTTAAATAGATAGTCTTGATTCTTCATTTTTTTCTGAGATAGGGTCTCACTCTGTCACACAGGCTGGAGCACAGTGGTGCAATCATGGCTCCATGGCTCACTACGGCCTTGACCTCCTGGGCTCAAGCAGTCCTCCTCCCTCAGCCTCCTGAGTAGCTGGGTGTATTAGTCTGTTCTTACACTGCTAATAAAGACATACCTGAGAATGGGTAATTTATAAAGGAAAAAGGTTTAATTGACTCGCTGTTCAGCATGGCTGGGGAGACCTCAGGAAACTCACAATCATGGTGGAAAGGGAAGCAAACACGTCCTTCTTCACATGGCAGCAGCAAGGAGAAGTGCTGGAGAAAGCCCCTTATAAAACCATCAGATCTTTTGAGAACCTACTCACTATCACGAGAACAGCATGAAGGTAACTGCCCCCTTGATTAAATTACCTCCCACTGGGTCCCTCCCACGACATGTGAGGATTATGGGAACTACAATTCAATATGAGATTTGGATGGGGACACAGCAAAACCATATCACTGGGACTACAGGCATGTGCCACAATGCCTGGCTAATTTTTTTTTTTTTTTTTTTTTGAGATGGAGTCTCTCTCTGCCACCCAGGCTTAAGTGCAGTGGCACTATCTCTGCTCACTGCAAGCTCCGCCTCCCGAGTTCACGCCATTCTCCTGCCTCAGCCTCCCAAGTAGCTGGGACTATAGGCGCCCACCACCACGCCCGACTAATTTTTTTGTAATTTTAGTAGAGATGGGGTTTCATCGTGTTCTGGCTAATATTTTTATTTTTTGTAGAGACAAGGTCTCACTATGTTGCCCAGGCTGGTCTTGGCCTCCTGGGCTCACATGATCCTCTTGCCTTGGCCTCCAAAGGTGCTTGGATTATAGGTTTAAGCCACTGCACCTGGCTCAACAGCCTGGATTTTAAGTGGGCCCCCTTATAAAATTGTCTAGTTCCTTTGGTTCCCTAATACTTTGCTTATGGTATATATATATATATATGTGTATATATATATATATGTGTGTGTGTGTGTGTGTGTATATATATATATATTTTTTTTTTTTTTACTGAGAAGCCCAAAGTAATAAATGATGGTTCACTCCTGCCAGTCTGCAAGGTCAAGAGGACTGCCCAGCTGTGGATTTAATACATGTTGGTTTTTTTAATGTTGGTAAAATATACTATAACCTAATATTTATCATTTTAATGATTTGTAAGTGTGCAATTCACTGGCATTAAATACAGTCATAATGTTGCATAATCATCCCCAACAAAAACTCTGTGCTTGTTAAATATTAACTGCCTCTTTCCCCTTCCCCAACCCCTGGTAACCTCTGTCCTACTTTCTGTCTCTGTGAATGAATGTACATTGCTCTTTTTTTCATTTTACTTTTTTTATTGTGGTAAAAAACAGATAACATAAAGTTTACCATCTTAACCATTTTCAAGTGTACAGTTCAGTAGTGTTAATTATATTCACATTGTTATGTGACAGATCTCAAGAACTTTTTCATCTTGTAAACCTGAAACTCTATAGCCATTAAACAGCGACTCTCCTTTCCTCCCTTTCCCTAGCCCTTGGTAACCACCATTCACTTTCTGTTTCTACGAATTTGACTACTTTAGATATCTCATATAAGTGGAATCGTACAGTATTTGCCTTTTTGTGTTTGGCTTATTTCACTTAGCATAATGTTCTCAAGGATCATCCATGTTATTGCATGTGACAGGATTTCCTTCCTTTTTAAGGCAGAATAGTATTTCATTATATGTATATATCACATTTTGTTTATCATTTTTCTGTTGATGGACACTTGGACTGCTTCTACCTCTTGGCTATTGTGAATAGTGCTGCTGTGAATATGGCTGTGCAAATATCTCTTTGAGACCTTGCTTTCAATTCTTTTAGATATATATCAGAAGTGGAATTGCTGAACCTATTTTTCATTTTTTGAGGAACCTTCATACTGTTTTCTATAGTAGTTGCACTGTTTTATAATCCCACCAACAGTGCACAGGTGCTTAAACTTCTTCACATCCTCGCCATTTGTCACTTGTTATTTTACGAGACTAGCCTTCCTAATGGGTGTGAATGTATGTTGCTTTTTTATCATTTCTTTTTCTTCTTCTCTTTCTCCTCAGCCTGGCATGGGAGGGCAGGATTGTGGTGGTGGGATTTGCTGGAGGAAACATTGCTTCTGAACCAGCCAACCTTCTGCTCCTGAAGAATATCTCTGCTATGGGCCTGTACTGTGGTCAATACAAAGATATGAACTTTCCCGTCTTCTCCAAGAGCCTATCTTCAGTGCTTCAGTACTGCCAGCAAGGGTGCATCCAGCTATATGTCAGAATGGTTTTCAAGCTGGACGAGGTGAGACACACTTAAGGGATGTGATGCAGATGAGGCCAGGAAATAACTTGTGCAAGCTACTGGGCAGTTTATCTCTGGATGCTATCAGTCCTCTTTTTATAAAAGGAAAAGATGAAAATGCAACACAGAATAGTGGGATTGCACAGGTGTCAGGGTCACAGGATTTTTCCCAGCCTTCTGGGTTGTATGGCTGTAAACTCAGGCCTAATGTGAATCTGAATCCGTGAAGGCCATGTGAAGCCGAAATTTGAGGGCTCTGTGTGCATCACTGCTCCCTCAAATAGAGGAAAGTTACGGTTCTTTAGAAAATGATTTACACGTGTTGATATGAACTTTGAACTCTACAACATACAAGCCTAAGAAGAAAGTGCTTGGCATGACCTTTGGTTTTAAAATATAGATGCTTTAAAGCACAACCAGATGATCTAAGTTGGGGTTCTGTGAGGAGAACACTAAATAATGCCTGGCATCATAAGACTATAATTCATCCATTAGTCACTGTAGTTAATTTTGTTGGCTATTCACTACCTTTTTTCATTCCCCCCAGTCTCATTAATGTGGCTTAAACTTCCTCTGAAGTGTAATTGTGAGCATGCATATGCAATATAGTTGTAAATGTGAATCTGTTAGGCATTCACTGTGAAATCTTTATTTTTTTTTGACTTAATTTATTTTAATGTTCAAAAAACTGTCTTGGTAACTCTTGTCAGCCATAGATGGAGGTGATATTTTGTTCAAATGCAGATTAGTGGAGCCCAAGCTGTCGATGCCAGACTTCATTGCTAACCAGCCTTCCATGGTTGTTTCTTTCTGTGAGGAGACCCGTTCTTTTCAAACATGGCTTATTTTCTTTATCTTTTTAATATGTAAGTCAGGAAGATGGTGTTCAATGGTGAAGAGAACCTGACTGGCCAGTAGAAAACTGGTTGGATGCCAGTCACAGCTCATCCCTCCAGCCATGCTATTTTGTGGAAATCCCCTTGCTTTTCTGACTTCAGTTTCTGCCTCTCTAAATAAGCAGGAGGACGTGATGAGTGGTTTTTAGACTGTGCTGCAGGAGCCACAGCAGGGATGTGGGGCTAGGGCAGCAGCCATAGATGTGAGCTGCCTGGGCTGTGGGACCCCATCGCTGCTAGGGTTTGAGTAGCTGCACATTTTAACTACTTTTTCAGACTTTTAAGCAGAGGTCTTGTGGCTTTAAAACTTGAAAACCCCAAGTTCTGGGTCCCCTTCCATCCTGTGGCGTTTATCACGTGACTTCTAACCTGAGGCTATACCTGTTGATAAGGGATAAGGACAAGTAGGCATACAGAAGTGGAAACAAGTGTCTGTTTGAACTGTCTCTTCTCTCTCAAGGTCTTTTAGGTGCCGTTTAGGCAGGAACGAAAGCCAGAGGTGGATTATTGTTTTAATTATCCCCGTTGAAGTTCTCTCTCCTCTGTAAACATGAATTGACTATGTAATTACTAACCACCTGTCAGCTTCCATTTGCCCTTCTCCTTTCCAGTGAGGTCTCTGCATGTGGGATGTATAGAGTTGTTCTCACTCTGCTGCCCTTGGTGTAATCGGGTGGCTCTTTAGGCCATGCTCCCTCACACATTTCAAGCATCTCATTCATATACCATCCATTTACCATGTCTTCTTTTTCTGTTTCTTTCAATATGCAAACCATTTAGAGGATTCATAATAGGAATGACAGCTCATATACATTAGGTGCTTACTGTGGGTCAAGAACTATGCTAAACACTTTACATGCATTATCTCCTTTAACCTTCACAACAACCCTTTGAGGTATGCCAACTTTATTATATTTTACGGATGAAAGAATCAGGACTTATAGAGGCTAGGAGCCTTGTCCAGTTATAGGTAGGAAGTAAATCTAGTCTTGCTCCATCTGATGCCAGAATCTGGGCTGCTTATGACTGTCAAACTCTCTCCTCAAACAAGCCAAGAAGTCACTTCTGAGAAGCCTTATTCTATAGGATGCAGTTTATCTATTTATCATAGAATTATCTGTGTGAAAGAGATTATTTTAACTATGTTATAGTTATACTCTTATATTTTCCTGAGCAGTACCAGAATTTATATATTTTGTTCTTTTGTTCTTTGTTCTTTTGAAAATGAAGATGGTTAAATGAATATATAATTAATTTCACTGAACTTTAAAGCCTGGGTAAGAAAAATATTAAATGAGTAAATCAGTAAACGTGTAAATTAGTTAACATACTGGAAAAAGTTATTTATCAGGACCTGTTTGGGTTTGGAAAATGACCACTGTACTGTATATAGAGAAAATACAAACTAAAATGCACTAGTATTTCTGACTGGCTTGTATTTTCTCCTGAATATGTGTACTTGCAGATTTAACCTTGATAGTTGATACTAATATGACCACAAACTTTGCACCATAGATTTTTGAGTAGGCACAGGGTGTGAACTTCCATAGGACTCTGCTTGTCCTTTATTTACTTGTGATTACTTCTTTAATGCCTGTCTTTCCCATAGAGCATAAACTCTGTGCAAGCAGGGCCATGTGCTGTCTGCACCTCTATATCTCCAGCTTCTGGCAGGTGCTCACATACCTGTTGAATGACTGTGTGTGTGTGGGGCTCTGGGCTCAGACCAACAGCGCTCAGACGCTGGCTGTGGGCAAATTACACATATTTGTGCCTTAGTTTTCTCATCTGTAGCAGGGGCAGTAATATACCCTGCATCCTAGGGTGATTATGAGGATTAAATAACATGATACATGTAAAAGCACATAATGAATATAGTAACTTTTTAAAAGCATAATATATTTCCATGATAAAATATGGAGTTGAGCTTTTTCAGTTCCCCTGAACTGTAACACTTTTGCTTTGATGTCTCAGAGGGAAGGATTATAAGACAGTCTTTAGATTTTGAATTCTACCTAGAATTTATTATTTTCTGAAGGATTATATCTATGCTGTGGTGGGTGGATCATGAATTGGTCCTGTAATCTGTCCAGAGGAGGGCATTATTTTGATGTGCAGTGTCTGTTTTCTGTAGGGAGCTGTCTCTGAATGTGTCAGCTTGACACGGTATTTAACCTCACAGATCTGAGCTTATTTATTATTTAAAGGTCAAGTGAGATCATCATATGAACAGATGGATAGAAATTGTTAATGGATAGAAATTGCTTGAAATTTTCTTAGTGTATCTGTGGCATATTCTTAAAAATGAAACTACTCTTTTAGTTTAGAAGGTCTATTAATTATAGCCCATTGTTCTAGACCCAGTTTGAGGAATTCCTCATATCTGCTGGCCCCACCTGCCCCAGGCCTTGGCCACTTGTCATGCTTTTCCAGTGATGCCTCCTATAGCTGATCCTACAATGCATACAGCCCAGACCACTATCTCTAGGATGCATCTCCTAACATCATTGATTGCCTTGTGCTTTCCTGGGTTGGGAGCTGATCCTAGAGGCAAGGCCACTATTGTGTTCATCATACAGGAGCTTCTGCAGCGCTGGTACAGAGGTTTGATCCAAATGGACCTGTTGAAGCTTCTGGCTTCCCCAGAAACTGTATGCAGGGTCTGGGCAATGCAGTTCAGAAGTATGGATATTTTACTCCATTGGGCAAGCTTTTCATTGGGAGGAATGAAAGGAGATAAATTGTTTGCCTTTTCTCCTCCCTGTTGACTGTTTCATATGGCTGCTGCTTTATTTATTTATTTATTTAAGATGGAGTTTCATTCTTGTTGCTCAGGCTGGAGTGCAGTGGCATGTTCTCGGTCACTGCAACCTCTGCCTCCCAGGTTCAAGTGATTCTCCTGCCTCAGCCTCCCGAGTAGCTGGGAGTATAGGCGCCTGCCACCACTCATGGCTAATTTTGTATTTTTAGTAGAGATGGGGTTTCACTATGTTGGTCAGGCTGGTCTCAAACTCCTGATCTCAGGTGATCCACCCGCCTCAGCCTCCCAAAGTGCTGGGACTATAGGTGTGAGCCACTCTGCCCAGCCTTTTTTATTTATTTATTTATTTTTTTGCAACCATTGCCTCTATCCAATGGCTTCTCTATAGAGGTCCCGTGTGAACAACAGCCAACTACATGTCCCCCTGAAACTACAACCAATTCAAAATCAGTAACACAGTGCCCTGTAGTTTCTCTCCTTCTCTCCTTGGTTTGTTTTACTTTTTCTGTTACCCTTGCCTCCCTGGGATTGCAACCCTCTGATGCATTAGGGCATAACTTTTGATTAGGTTCTATTTTCTAAGGGCTTATGCTGATGCTCAACTTCAAAAATTTATTTATTTTTATGTTCAGTACCACATTGTCTGACTTTTTTTAAAAAAAGTTAAGTTTGTTGAGATATAATTTACGTATAATAAAATTCACCCTTTTTAGGTGTACAGTTCTCTGAGTTTTGACAAACCTATACAGCACGTAGCTACCCCACCAAGATATAAGAACATTTCCGTCACCCCCAAAAGTTCCCTTTTGTGCCTTGTAATCAGTCTCCTTTTCCTGCTCCACAGCTACTGGTAGTCACTGACCTGTTTTCTTCCCATTTAATTTTTCCTTTTCCAGAGTGTCATGTAAATGAAATCATTCAGTATGTAGCCTTTTGGGTCTGATTTCTTTCTCTTTGCGTAATGCTTCTGAGGTGCACCATGTTGCTACATGTGTCGGTAGTCCATTCCTTTTTATTGCTGAGTAGTATTTCATTGTATGGATGTACCACAGTTTTTTTCATTCACCAGTATGCAGACATTTGATTATTTTCAGTTTTTTGGTGATTGTGAATGTATCTTCTATAAACATTCATGACAGGTATAGACATATGGTTTTATATATTTTAGGACTGAGATTTCTGGGTTATATGCTAGATGTATGTTTAACTTAAGACAATTTACACAGATGTGTGATTGGTTTTACTTTTCTCCTAATTCTCCATTTTTGCCTAGATAACATCATGAAGCAAGAATGATATAAGGCAAGGATTGAATTGTAGCTGCTACCGAATGATAACTTTAAAATAAATCCGTGCAGAATTCTAAAAAGAGCAGATGTTGATGCCACTTCAAAAAGAGGCAACTTCGATTATATCAGCAGCTGTTTCTCTATGCCTCAGTTATTCAGAAACAATTCTGTTTCGGTTTCTATGTCCTATGATTTTGAAGAGAAGGCTGTTGTTACTACATTCCTATCAAAGCCCGTATCACACAGGTTTTCCATTTCTTTGGCTGTATTCTGGATTAGAAACTGGTGCTCTGGCATACAAATGTGCCCAAAGTTGAGCTCTCTGTTTCAACACTTTGGGAGTTTGCTTGCACTGGTTTGCTACTACATGTTTAGCTTTTAATAAATTGGCAAACTATTTTCCAAAGTGCTTGTACCATTTTGCATTCCCTGTGTGTGAGAGTTCCAGTTGCTCTGCATCTGCCAAAACTTAGTCTTGTCAGTTGTTTCCTTGAATGTTAGCCATTTCATTAGGTTTGTAGTGGTATCTAAGATTTAGATAAACTTAGATCAATGATGTGATGAATATAATTCACCTATGACAACATCCTGCTAACCAAAAGTTTTTACCTTTTAGAAACTATCCCAATTCTGTAGGCCAGGGTTGAACCTCCTTAAAGCGTGAGTCTTACAGGGCCTGTAAAACAATAGCACAATGAAAAAAACAGTATCTAGGTAACAACTGATACGATGAATAGAACAGTACCTCACATCTCAATATTAACATTGAATGTAAATGGCCTAAATGCTCTACTTAAAAGATACAGAATGGCAGAATGAATAAAGAACCACCAACCAAATATTTGCTATCTTCAAGAGACTCACCTAACACAAAAGGATTCGTGTAAATTCAAGGTAAAGGGGTGGAAAAAGATGTTCCACACAAATAGAAACCAAAAGAGAGCAGGAGTAGCTGTTCTTACAGGCAAAACAGACTTTAAAGCAGCAACAGTTAAAAAAAAATACAAAGAAGGACATTATGTAATGATAAAAGGATCAGTCCAACAATAAGATATTATAATCCTACATTTATATGAATCTAACACTGGAGCTTCCAGAGTTATAAAGCAATTACTACTAGACCTAAGAAATGACATAGTGACACAATAATAATGGGGGACTTCAATACTTCACTGACAGCACTAGACAGATCATCAAGACAGAAAGTCAATGAAGAAACAATGGACTTAAATTATACCCTAGAACAATTGGACTTAACAGATACTTACAGAAATTCTTCCCAGCACCTGTAGTATTCTATATTCTTCTCATCAGCACATGGAACATTCTCCAAGATAGACCATATGAAGACCACAAAACAAGTCTCAATAAATTTAAGAAAATCAAAATTATATCAAGTATCTTCTTAGACCACAGTGGAATAAAACTGGAAATCAACTCCAGAAAGTACCCTCAAAACTATACAATTATGTGGAAATTAAATAATCTGCTCTTGAATGATTTTTGGGTTAACAATGAAATCAAGATGGAAGTTAAAAAATTCTTTGAAATGAATGATAATAGTGACACAACTTATTAAAACCTCTGGGATACAGCAAAAGTAGCGCTATGAGGAAAGTTCATAGCATTAAATGCTTACATCAAAAAGCATGAAAGAGCACAAATTGACAACCTAATGTCACACCTCAAGGAACTAGAGAAACAAGAACAAACTAAACCAAAACCCAGAAGAAGAAAAGAAATAACAAAGATTAGAGCAGAGCCAAATGAAATTGAAACAACAACAACAACAAAATACAAAAGACAAATGAAATAAAAGCTGGTTCTTTGAAAAGATAAACAAAGTTGATAGACCATTAGTGAGATTAACCAAGGAAAGAAGAGAGAAAATCCAAATAAGCTCAATTAGAAATGAAACTGGAGATATTACAAATGATACCACATAAATACAAAAGATCATGCAAGGCTACTACCAACACCTTTACGAGTACAAACTAGAAAATCTAGAGGAAATAGATAAATTCCTAGAAACATACAACCCTCCTAGATTAAATCAGGAAGAAATAGAAACCATGAACAGACCAATAACAAGCAGAGAGATTGAATCAGTAATAAAAAAATTACCAAAAACAAAAAAAGGTCCAGGACCAGATAGATTCACAGCTGAATTCTACTAGACATTCAAAGAAGGATTGGTACCAATCCCACTGAAACCATTCCAAAAGATAGAGAAAGAGGTAATGCTCCCTAAGTCATTCTGTGAAACCAGTATCGCCCTAATTCGCAAACCAGGAAAGGACATAAGAAAAAAGAAAACTACAGACCAATTTCCCTGATGAATATAGATGCAAAAATCCTTAACAAAATACTAGATAACCAAATCCAACAGCCCATCAGAAAGATTATGCATCATGAACAAGTGGGTTTCATCCCAGGGATGCAGGGATGGTTTAACATATGCAAGTCAATAAATATGGTACATCACATAAAAAAAATTAAAAAAAAACTATATGATCATTTCAATAGGTACAGAGAAAGCATTTGATAAAATCCAGCATCCTTGCATGATAAAAACCCTCAATAAAATAGGCATAGAAGGGACTTACCTCAAAGTAATAAAAGCTGTATATGACAAACCCACTGCCAACATCATAATGAATGGGGAAAAGTTGAAAGTATTCCCCTTGAGAACTGGGACAAGACAAGGATGCTCACTTTCACCACTTCTATTTAACATAGTACTGGAAGTCCTAGCCAGAGCAATCAGGCAAAAGAAAGAAATAAAGGGTATCCAAATTGGAAAAGAGGAAGTCAAACTGTCACCATTTGCTGATGATATGATTGTATACCTAGAAGACCCTAAGACTCATCCAAAAAGCTCCCAGATCTGAGAAATGAATTCAGTAAAGTCTCAGGATACAAAATCATTATACACAAATCAGTAGCACTACTGTACACCAAAGCGACTAAGCTGAGAATCAAATCAAGAACTCAATCCTTTTTATAATAACTGCAAAAAACAAACAGAAAAACCCTCCCAAAAACCTAGGAATATACTTAACCAAGGAGGTGAAAGATCTCTACAAGGAAAACTGCAAAACACTGCTGAAAGAAATCATAGATAACACAACCAAATGGAAACATATCCCATGCTCATGGATGGGAACAATCAATATTGTGAAAATGACCATGCTGCCCAAAGCAATCTACAGATTCAATGCAATTGCTATCAGAATACCAGCATCATTCTTCACATAACTGGAAAAAACAATCCTAAAATTCATATGGAACCAAAAAAGAGCCCACATAGCCAGAGCAATACTAAGCAAAAAGAACAAATCTGGAAACATCACATTACCCAACTTCAAATTATAGTACAAGGCCATAGTTACCAAAACAGCATGCTACTGGTTTAAAAATAGGCACATAGACCAATGGAACAGAATAGAGAGCCCAGAAATAAAGCCCAATTCTTACAGCCAACTGACTTTCAACAAATCACACAAAAACATAAATTGGGGAAAGGACACCCCATTCAATAAATGGTGCTAGGAAAACTGGCAGGCACATCTAGAAGAAACAAACTGGATCCCTATCGCTCACCTTATACAAAAATCAACTCAAGAACTCAAGATGGATCAAATACTTAAATATAAGACCTGAAACCATAAAAATTCTAGAAGATAACATCAGAAAAACTCTTCTAGACATTGGCTTAGGCAAAGAATTCATGACTAAGACCCCAAAAGCAAATGCAACAAAAACAAAAAATAAATAGATGGGACCTAATTAAACTAGAAAGCTTCTGCACAGCAAAAGAAATAATTAGCAGAGTAAACAGACAACCCACGGAGAGGGAGAAAATATTTGCAACCTATGCATCTGACAAAGGACTAGTATCCAGAATCTACAAGGAACTCAAATCAGCAAGAAAAAAAAACAAATAGTTCCATCAAAAGTGGGGGAAGGACATGAATAGACATTTCTCAAAAAGAGATATACAAACAGCCAACAAACGTATGAAAAAAATGCTCAGCATCACTAATAATTGGGGAAATGCAAATTAAAATCACAGTGAGATACCATGTTACTCCTGCAAGAATGGCCATAATTAAAAAGTTAAAAAACAATAGATGTTGGTGTGGATGTGGTGAAAAGGGAACGCTTTTACACTGCTGGTGGGAATGTAAATTAGCATAACCATTATGGAAAACAGTATGGAGATTCCTTAAAGAACTAAAAGTAGAACTATCATTCAATCCAGCAATCCCAGTATTGGGTATCTACCCAAAGGAAAAGAAGTCATTATATGAAAAAGACATGTACACACATGTTTATAGTGGCACAATTTGCAATTGCAAAGATATGGAACCCACCTAAGTGCCCAATGACCAATGAGTGGATAAAGAAAATGTGGTATATGTACACCATGGAATTCTACTCAGCCATAAAAAGAGACAAAAAAAAAAATGCCTTTTGCAGCATCTTGGATGAAGCTGGAGGTCATTATTCTAAGTGAAGTAACTCAGGAATGGAAAATCAAATACCGTATGTTCTCACTTATAAGTGGGATCTAAGCTATGAAGACTCAAAGGCATAAGAGTGATATTAATGAATTTTGGGGTCTCGGTTTGGGGGAAGATTTGGGGGATGGATAAAAGGCTACATATTCGGTACCATGTATACTGCTGGGTAATGGGTACACTAAAATCTCAGAAATCACAACTAAGTAACTTATCCATGTAACCAAAAGCCACCTGTACTCCAAAAACGATTAGAAAAAAAACCCAGTCCCACTCATCTCACATATACTCATTCATTCATGATTTATTTTATTCATCAAACATTCACTTTATGTCAGTCAATAAAAAGTAAGATTTAGTCTTGCCCATGAGGAGTTTATGTTTTAGTTGGGAAGATCTCAGGACAGTACTATGATGGGGGAGAGCCAGTTTCTAATGAATGCACACATCAATATGATATATTTAGAAAACTCTAGGTTACTTTGATTATTCCTGATTGATGAACTAGTTAAAAATTCCAACAGCAGAACCTTCATATCCTAAAACAAAAGCAGTGTTTTTATCTTGCTGCAAATTCCAGGTTGCATATCTCCAGAGACAAATTTAATTATGGCTTCATCCACCTGAAGGCAGAAAACCAGAGTGCTGGGAACAGCCTGTGTATCTATTACACCTAGGCATCAGTATTGTACAGTCTTCCTCTCTGTAACACAGCCTGTAGAATCCAGGAGGAAAGCGTCCCTAGTCTATCTGAAGTAGCTATCAAAAGACTCTGGTCTAAAGCCATGCATTTTACTTTTTAGTTTCTCACTCAGAGCCTTATCACTTTTATTAAACTTCCAGTCCTTAACACCACTGAGAGTCTGTTTTCCCAGCCCGGACAGAGACCACCAGGTAGAAAGGGACAGAGTTGGGTTATTTTTAGAAGCAGCTACAGTTACAACAGAAGTGGCAACTGGACATGGAGAGGTGACAGAATATCAGAAAAATAGAAGGTAAAATAATGGATGTTCAAAATTTTGAAATGCTGAAGTCATGGAACAAGATTATGCTTTCCCCCAGTATTCTCTGTAATAGAAGTCACAGAAATATGTGATACATTTTAATAAAGATTTTTATGCAAAATGATTAAAATTAGCTTGAGCATTTGAAGGGACAGCTTTCTTTTTATGTTAACATTTATTTGCAGAAGACCTTGACTCCCTTAGGATGCCAGGTGAAAAAGTATCACTAGCTTTAATAATATTTATTTTCTCAAGTATTTTCTATTGTCGGGCTATGACACATCTCTGGGAACAAGTTACTTCTAACTGACAGGGAGAATGATGCAGCTGTGAGTCACCTGGAAATGACTGACAGGGGGGATGAGTGTTTCAAACATCTGTCTTAGACCTCTTCCACCTCCTCGTCGAGAGTCTAAACTTGCTTAGATGGGAAAGGTCTCTGTAAGGCACAGAGCTCTGAAAAACAGATGTTTTCAGAGGATTTCATGCAGGGATTTCATGCAGCAGAGAGATTGCCATGATTGATTTGTTCCTGTACTTATTTTACTTTATTTTTTGTATTTTTTTTTTTTGAGAATCTCAAACGGAAAGGGTTGATTAATCATAATCGTCATTTCAAAGTACATTTTCATTGTTGGGCCATGGACAGCTGATCTTTTGTTTTTATGTCTGTATATTTATGAATGTCTGTATTATTCCCTTTCCCCTCATTTCCCACTGCCTCTCCCCACCTTTTCCTTCCTTCTGAGCCAGTCTGTGATGAGTTTGATATGCATCTTTGGATTTGCATTTCCTTGTAAAACAAATAGAGTTAATTTGTGTGTTAATTTCTTTTTAAGTTACATAAATGGTGTTATGCACTAGACCTTGTTCTGTTTCATATAACTCAGTCGGTGCTTTTTAAGATCCATCTGTGTTGCTGTTCCTGTATCCAGTTCATTGCTTCCCACTGTTACATCGTGGTGCATCGTATGCATCCACCACAGTTTATAGATTCATTTTCTACTGATAAACTTTGCGGTTGACTTGATGCCCTAATCAAATCATAATAATCAGTATGGCAGTAAACAGACTTATTGCACAACCTTAGGGACTTGTGCAAAGGTCACGTTGGGGTTATTTTCCCAGGTGTAGATTGTTGGGTCATAGGATGTATGCATACTTAATTTGACTGCCAGTTACTCTCCAGAATGACTTGACCAGTTTATGCCTCTATCGTCAATCAGTACGTGAGAATTCTTGTTTATTTGTCACCCTGTTGATATGTCCAACGTTCAGAATTTTGCCAAACTGGTAAGGCGTAAAGTGGCATCTTACTATTTTACTTTGAATTTTCCTGATTTCTAATACATTTAAGTATCTCTTTATATATTTGGTATCCATTCAGGTTTCCAGTGCTTTGAATTGCAATTTAAGCTCTTTGTGTAGTTTTCTATTGGGCTTCCTGTCTTTGGGTTTTGTTCTTGTTTTTTTGAGATGAGGTCTTGCTCTGTCACCTAGGCTGAAGTGCAGTGGCACAATCATGGTTCACTGAAGGCTACCTCTGGGCCTCAAGCAATCCTCCCAAATTCAAGTGAGTTCCTACCTCAGCCTCCTGAGCAGCCGGGACTACAGGCATGTGCCACCATGCCTGGCTAATTAAAAAAACCTTTTTAATAGAGATGGGGTCTCCCTGTGTTGCCCAGGCTGGTCTCCAATTCCTGGGCTCAAGCGATCCTCCCAACATGGCCTCCTGAAATGCCGGGATTGCAGGTATGAATCACCACGCCTGGCCTTCCTGTCTTTCTCTAAGTTGCAAACGTTCCTTGTGTAATCTGTGGCTCTCAAACTTTGATGTGCATATAAATCACCTGGGAATCTTTTTAAGATTCAGATTATGGTTCAATAAAGACAGGATGGGGCTCAAACCTGTGCATTTCTTATAAGCTCCCAGATGATGCGGAAGCCTGGGGTTCTTGTACCACCCTTTGAGTAGCAAAGTTCTAGATGTTAGTTTGAGACTTTGCAAAAGTCTCCTTCCACATTTGTCATGCTACTATCACTTTTGTCTAGATTTAATTGCTTTTTGTCTAGATTTAATTGCTTCACAGCTCTAAAAAAATCCTCTGAGCTCCACATAGTCATCTTTACCCCCAGCCCCTGAATCCCTGGCAGGCACTGATCTTTTTACTGTCTCTACAGTTTTGCTTTTTCCCGAATGTCATATGGTTGGATTTAGACTGCATGTAGCCTTTTCACACTGGCTTCTTTCACTTAGAAACATGCACTTAAGGTTCCTCCATGTCTTTTCTTGGCTTGATGGATCATTTCTTCTTATCACAGAATGATATTTCATTGTATAGATGTACCACTGGTTGTTTTTCCATTTACCTATTGAAGGACATTTTGGTTGCTTCCAAGTTTTGGCAATTGTGAATAAAGGTGCTATAAACATTTATGTGCAGGTTTTTATATGGACATACATTTTCGGATCATTTGGGTAAATACCTAGGAGTGAAATTGCTGGATTGTATGGTAAGGATATGTTTAGTTGTGTAAGAAACTGCCAAACTGTCTTCCAAAGTGGCTGTACCATTTTGTATTCCCTCTAGCAGCAAATGGGAGTTTCTATTGCTCTATATCTTCATCAGCATTTACTGTTAGTGTTTTGGATTTTAGCCATTCTGGTTGGTGTGTAGTGGTATCTCATTGTTGTTTTAATTTGCAATTCCCTAGTGACATATGATGTTGGGCATCTTTTTATATACTGATTTGCCATCTGTATATCTTCTTTGGTGAAGTGTCCGTTCAGATCTTTTGCCTGCTTTTTATTGTTAAGTTTTAAGAATTCTGTGTATATTTTAGATACACATCCTTTGTCAGATATATGTTTTGCAGAGATTTTTCTCCCAGACTGTGGCTTGTCTTTTTATTCTTTTAACAGTGTCTTCTGCAGAGCATAAGTTTTTAACTTTAATGAAGACTACTTACCCATTTTTTTTTCATGGATTGTGCTTTTTTGGTGCTGTATCTAAAAACTCATTGCTAAACCAAGGTGACCTAGATTTTTCGCTATATTTTCTTCTGGAAGTTTTATAGTTTTGCATTTTACATTTAAGGTCTATGATCCATTTTAAGGTTTTTTTTTGTGAAGAGTATAAGGTCTGTATCTAGATTCATATTTTTGCATGTGGCTGTGCAGTTTTTCCAGCACCATTTGTTGAAAGACTATTCTGTCTCCATTGAATTGCTTTGTTCTTTGGTCAAAGATCAGTTAACTATATTTGTATGGGTCTATTTTTGGGCTCTCTATTCTATTCCATTGATCTGTTTGTCTATTCTTTCACCAATATCACACTGCCTTGATTACTGTAGCTGCTTTTAAATATATGGTTTGTAACCTTGTACTTCCTAAAAAATGATTCAAGATAGATTACAATTTCAGTTACATAGGAAGTAGGACAATTTTAATAAAAAGACAAAAATTATTAAACATAAAAATACTGATTCTTCTGCCAGTGCCTCCATTCTTTCAAAAGCTGGAAAACAAAGCACTATTACAGTGGTGTATGAACAGGCCTAGGGCTTTTTACCGTCTGGCATTTATCTGACAACACTGAGAATTATACATTTAGAGAAATACTGAGGCTGAGTTATTCTTGAATGTTATTGTTTTCCTTTGCATTTGTGATAACTAGTTAGTGTTGCATAGTTAGTTATAGTTCATTGGAGATACATCTTAATACTTTAGTTATTTTATTGCTTGATCCTGCATCAAATGTTTGTTGAAATATCCATATATGCAAATCTGACCACATTCTTTTGCATTTTGTTTTAGGTCAATGATGCCTTCCTTCATGTGATACAGGGGAAATCCGTGGGCAAGGTGCTTCTCGCTCTTAAATAAATCCTTGCCTGAGCAGCAAAGTTAACATGTCCAGATCAAAACTCCACATCTTTCCCCAAAACCTGATTTCCCTTCTGTGTTTCCAAAGGTGTTACCACTTTCCTTACTAATCCAGGTTTAAAATCTTGGAGTCACCTTTGATTCTGTTTACTAATTGCTCCTAATTAATATGATTATATAGTTTATTGTCCAAACCTTTTCGAGAGTAAAAGGGTGCCATTAGTAATTACATCAGGAAAACATATCCCAGGCAAACCAGGATATATGGTCAGCCTACTTGATGCATTATGAAATGCGGTGATTGCCGAGTTCTGTCATTCTCACCTCTAAGATATCTCTCATGTCCATATCCTCTTTTCCATTCTGACTAATTAAGCCTCAACTGCTATTACCAGTGACCTTCTAACTGCTTTTCCTACCTTTAAGCTATTCTCACCCCCTCCATCCTTGTGATGCATTATTGCCATCGTGATCTTCCCGAAGCATAGCTCTGACTATGGCCCATCTCAGAAAACCTACAGTGGCTCACCATTGCCTGATGGTGGAGTTCAGAGCCCTTGAGCTAGCATTTCATTATGACCGTGATTTTTCCCCGCACCACTTTCCAGCCTTGTGGTCCACAATTCCACTGGGCCTTAAGTATGTACTGAACTTTCCTGCCTCCCTCATTTTGCTCTGCTTGTGCAATTTTTTCCACCCTCCATCTCTGTCAAACGTAAGCCTTCCTGACCTCTAAGACCTACCTTTGTCATGTACCTTTACCCTCAGGCAAGGAGCAATCTCTTCTCTTCCTCTTCTACCTTGCTGTAGCTTCTCCCCAAGGATTTATCACATTCTGCCTTGAATCATAGGGAACAGCATGTGTAGTGGAATGAACACAGGCCTCTGAATCCAAGATACGAGTTTAAATCCCAGCTTTGGAGGTGGTTACTTAAAGTCTCAGTGCCTTCATTCTTCTTCCTATATAAAGTAGATATTACAATATCTAACTTACAGAGTCATTGGGAGCTATACATGCAGCGATTGGGTAAAGCACCTGGCACATGGCAAGCGATTAGCAAATGCTGGTTACTTCTACTTCTTTCTCTTCCCTTTTCCCAGTCTATCATAATTTCCTTGAGAGCAGGCACCATGTCTTATTTACCCTTGTATTTCCCACAGTACTTCCCATAGTGAGTTACCCTTAGTAAATACTCAGTAAGTTGAATTGAATTTAAATTACCTGTAAGTCTTAAAATGTGGGATTAAATTAAGAATATATTGTCCTGGAAATACCCAAATGTCTATTGATGGATGAATGGATAAACAAAATGTGGTATACACATAATGGAATATTATTCAGCCTTAAAAAGGAATGAAATTCTGACATGTGCTACAATATGATGAACCTGGAAGACATTATATGTGAAATAAGCCAGACAGAAAAGGACAAATACTATATGATTCCACTTATATGAAGTACCTAGAGTAGTGTAATTCATAGAAACAGAAAGTACAGGTTGACATCCAAAATCTGAAATGAGAAATGCTCCAAAAACTGAAACTTTTTCAATGCCGACACGATGCTCAAAGAAAATGCTAATTGGAGCATTTCAGATTTTGGATTTTTGGATTTGGGATGCTCAACTGGCATAATGTGAATATTCCAAACTCTGAAAAAATCTGAAGTCTAAAACACTTCTGGTCTCAAGGATTTTGGATAAAGGATACTCAATGTGCAACATGTAGAATGGTGGTTGCAAGGTGGGAGGAGAGAATGGAGAGTTACTGTTTAATGATACAATGTTTCCGTTTGGGAAGATGGAAAGTTTTGGAGATGTGTGATGGTTATGGTTGCGCAACAATGGGAAGGTACTTAGTACTGCTTAACTGTGCACACTTAAAAATGGTAAAAATGATAAATTTTGTGTATGTCTTAAAACAATAAAAGAAGTTTTTTAAAAAATCATGTTATCCTCCTTTCTAAGTGAATCCATTCAGGGAGGAGAACTGGGAATGTGTGTAGCGTGCGTACCTTAGGTTGAAGTCAGCTCCAGTCTCTGCCGGCATCCTGGTTTGTTGGGAGAGGTCCTGTACTTTTGCTGGGTGCTAAACATTGTGCTCTATTCCTCCTACTGCATGAGTGATAATTCTCAGAAAGGAGGAGGTGGCATGGGGATAAAAACAGGCACCTGACACAACAGGGAGATGTAGGTACTTCCACTTATTCTTGATGAAGTCCGCTTCCAATAAATGTGGTAAGAGGCTTTGTTTAGAAAAAATATATATTTTTTTGAAGAATAGAATGGTAAAATAGGGATTAACATTTGAGGAAAGAATTTAAAATGGAGAAATTAGCAGAAGGAAGAGGGAGGAGAAAGATGTCAGGGAAATCACCCACGTGTGTGTTGTGGGCCACGTGGTGCCTCCACAACGCCCAGCGCACATGCTGCTGCCTCTTCCGTATCTCAGGGGGTGTGTTTCAGCCTTCTGGGAGCTTCATGCCCTGTGATTCCATTTCATAATAGGCTTCTTCTCACTTCCCTTCCCCCAACCCCATTTCATCTTAATATGAACTACTTTTATATTTAAGTGAAAGTTGGTTTTCAAAAATATTAAGAAAGTAAACTTTGAGCCTTATTTTAGAGTTTTCTAACACCCTTTGGCATAACTGAAGACATGCTGGATAGATCGTGGGAGAGAAGACAAATCAGGATTGGGAAAAGTGTATGAGCCCAGCCAGGAGCTGTCTTTTCTGCTGCTGAGAGCTGATCAGTACGTGTCACAAGTAATAAAGATCTATTGTCCCTGGTTCACTAACATCAAAATGACTTAAATAGAAAGAGACAGTCATTTAGGAGAATGAGTTTTTTCAGATTTAACACGTTTTGGTTAGAACCCCTAATGACCTGTTCTCTGCTTGCCTCTGTTCCTGTTTCATTGGAATGATTTGATTTGAAAGCATTTGACTCATATTTTAGTCATCGTTTGGTTGTTCTACCATCTGAGCCATTAGTTAGTCTGAAAAAAGAATCAATGCAGCTCCAAGTGACAGTATTTATTCTATATTCACAGACTTTTCCCAGCGTTTCCTCGTAGGCTGCTGCTGGAGGAATCATGCCCACACGCCCACCTCCCCTTTTTCAATAACTGTGGGTCTCTCCACCTGCACATACTTCTCTCCAAACCAAAGTGAGATTTTCTGCCATTAGCCGTGGAATGATCCTATCTATGCACCACCAGTATATTTGTCCCTGCTCCTTCCTCTGTAATCTCTGTGAATTTAGAAAATGACCTTTTCTATTTGAGTTATGGTAAAGATAATAAGGGCTGCTATTTGAGAAGTAAAGGATGGTGAGGTGCCTTCATGTACTCAATTGTATTTAATTTAAAACAATTGGAGTAAACTAAGAAAAATTCATTTTATTATTTCTTTTTCTTATTTTCCTTCCAAGTTTATATAAAGGAATCAATGAGCAATGACTTTTTTTTTTTCTTTTTTTGAGATGGAGTCTCACTCTGTCATCTAGGCTGGAGTGCAGTGGCACGATCTCAGCTCACTGCAAGCTCCACTTTCCGGGTTACGCCATTCTCCTGCCTCAGCCTCCCGAGTAGCTGGGACTACAGGCGCCTGCCACCACACCCAGCTAATTTTTGTATTTTTACTAGAGACGGGGTTTCACCATATTGGCCAGGCTGGCCTTGGACTCCTGACCTCAAGTGATCCACCCACCTTGGCCTCCCAAAGTGCTGGGATTACAGGTGTGAGCCACCGTGCCAGGCCAGCAGTGACTTTTTGAAATCTCTTTTGTTTATAAAAGTGATGTGAGGGGAAGACCGAATTAAACAAACAAATTCTGGCATTTCCATTTGTTCTCTTCCATTTCACGTCTTCATCAGAACTTATTGCTAGATTGAAGGTCTGACTTGGAAATTAGCTTGTTTCTAGAACTGTATCCTTGTTGAGGAATCATATACAAAGTGGCTTTTTTCCCTTTTTCGCACTGTATTTAGAAATGATCCTTTTCTTGAACTTTGGTGAACTACATCATTATTTTAGAAATGGCATTGTTAAAATAATTACAACAATACCATATAGTCACTGGAAAAGTCAAACCACCAAGAAATTTATAAGTAGAAATTGTTATCCTATTTTTCCTCTTTCTTGTCTCATTTCCATTCTCCCGGGAAAGCACTGCAAGCAATTTGTTGTTAGTCTTGACTCTTGCAAACCTTTTTAAATAGAGGCCCCCTCCACACTCCCTCCACAAACACAGAGGTGTTTTTTTTTTTAAATAAAGATATGTAAGTTTTAAAAATAGTATGCATACTGTTCTGTAATGTGCTGTTTTAAATTTAAAATATAGACATTCATATTAGTATATAGAGTTATCTCTTTTTAACAGCTGCTTAGTATTCCATAGTGAGGAGGTATATAATATATAATCATTTCCTTATTAGTGAGCTTATTCACATAAATGTTTATCAATGTGCCTCTATGTGAGCAAAAGTTTACAAATCTAGTGGGGGAGACAAACATTAATCAAATATATAAAATCATGCTAAACTGGTGCCATCTGAGGTCTAATGGAGGAATTCAACTCAGGAAGGTCAAGAAACATTCCCTGAGGAAAGACCTTTGAGCCTCTATCTGAAGATGGAAGCTTCTAGGAATTTAATCCTAGAGATTTAGATATGGAAGAAAGGGAAGAATATTCCCAGACCCTGTGGGTAGTGAAAGCACAGTGAATAAAGGGAGCTGAAAGAAGGCTAGTGGGGCTGAAGCTTGAGGAATGAAGGTAACTGTTGTGAGATGAGGCTGGCAGTGGGGACCAGGTTAGGCAGGGATGTGCAAACAAGTTATGGGAGTTTTGACTTTACCCTAAAAGCAAGGGGTGCCATTGCAGTGTTGTAAGCAGAGGTGAAACGGGGTAGCATGACCAGAATGGCCTTTTGGAATCCCTTCACCTGTAGTGGGGAGAAGGGATTAGAGAGGAATGGACAGCTAGGAGTTCATTAAAGTCCAAATGAAAGATGGTTGTATCTTGGACTAAGGTGGTGGTGATGGGGAAGGAGAGAAATGGACAGAAGGCAGAGCTATGCAGGAGATGAAAGTGAAAGGACTTGATGTTAAATTGGGTATAGGGGTAAGGAGGAGGAAAGGAGAGGGAAATGTCAAGATGACTCCTAGCTCCTAGATGTTTGAGAAGAGGGACATCAAAATTGGGTTTTGGCAGTGGAGATGGGCTATGATGGGGCAAAAGGTTAAGTTTTGTAAATATTGAGATTTACAGGACATGTTAAATACCTGTCTGGGACTCAGAAGAGAGATGTGGCCTGGAGATACAACTTTGGGAATCATTTGCATGAGGGTGATATTGATGCCTGTGGTGTGGCTGAGATTATCCATGGAGAGTGTGTAGGGTGAGAAAAGAATAGGGTATAGGCTAGTCTTGAACATGTTTCCTTTCAATAGAACCATGTAATATTTCATAACTGTGCTGTTTACCACTAAAAGTCTTAGAAGGGGTAGTTTGGTGATTTAAAATAAGTGCCAAGTGAATATAAGGAAGGATGCACTGCACAGTTGCAAAAGCACCGTCCTCTTAATGAAGGGCCAGGGACTGGGACTCTAATTCCAGCTCTTTGATCTTAGTCTAGTTACCTTTTTACTGTTTTCATGTGAAAAATAAGGATCACATGTTTTCTCTACCTTGCATGGTTCATGTGAGGGTCAAATGAGATAATGTATGTAAAAGTGCTTTGCAAGTTATTTTCATAATAGATTACAAGGTTGACTTTTACCAGTGTATTTAAATTCATTGCAGAGTTCAATTCATTTCATTTTATTGGAGCAAAAAAATGTATATTTTTTCAGCATATGCTGGGCTGACATGGAGCAAAAGAATTGTTTGATTTTTAAAATGATCCGTCAAATATTTTTACATTTTAACTAAAGCCATTGTGCTCTTTTATACAGAAGAATAGACAGAGTGATGGGAGCCCAATGATCTGATGTACTTCAAAGAATTACAGAGCCAGACAAGGTCTAGAGAAGGACATGTAAGTTGATCAAGAGGGTAGAGAGCGTTCTTTGTGAGCGATGATAAAAGAATTGGAACTCTTCATTCTGGAAGGAAAGACATGGGCTGAGGGGGGAATATGATTGAGATTTACAAGATAACGAAAACCTAGGATAAAAATATGAACTTATTAAATCCCCGAGCATAGGAACTACGGACGACTTTAACATTTTAAAGAAATAGTTTTAGGGCAAAGTAAAAATAGCACTTTTTAACAGAAGAAGAGTAAGCATATAGAACTTACTACTCTTAAAGTTTGCTAAGACCAAAAGCAAATATTGTAAGAGATTTATATTGTTGGAGGATAGATTCATAGGAGATTATAAAATGAAACCAAAACTATTTGGTTAAATCTCCCTAATCTGTTAGGATGAGGATACGGAATGACTATTAAACTTTCCTGTCTCTATCTGGCATCCTTATCTAAATCAAGATTCCTGAGTGTACATGCTGGAGAGCAGAGAGCATAGAATTTGGGCTCAGGGGCCTGGCTGGCTGCAACTATTACCTCTGTAACTTTAGAGAATCATTTCTCTTCTGTGTACCTCAGTTTACTCATCTGTTAAAGAAAGGAAGAGGGAAGGTAGTATAAACTATTATGAGAGATTCAAATGAAGTGGTGTTTCTGAAAGTGTTTTGTCATTGATAAATAGGTTTATCCTTCAAAATGTAATAATTTCCTCTTTTATTGCAGCATTTCCAGTTCTATGCCCTTCAGGTGGGATGAGCTTTACCGTGCCCGTCCTGACCCTAGCCTAGTTAGGGAGCGGTACTTGCAACTCAGAAATAGAGAGGATGGAGGGCAGGGAAGAATCCCTGGTCCTCTAAGGAGGTGGAGAGAGTGCAGACACCCCTTTTCTGATACCCCTTTCCCTCTCTGGGAAGATCTGGTGGGTAAACTAAAGAACTAAAAGTAGGGAGAACTTTCCAAACATCTGTCTTCTCCTTTAGATGTTTTGGGTGATAAGATGCCACTTAAAAGATGGGGGTGTTTGATCTCGGGTAACTTCCAGGGTTCTTGTGGATCTTAGGAACCCTGAAAAAAGCCAGTACAGGGGCTGGATGAGAAAAACCGTGGGGACTGGTTTCTTATGGCTATCATTGGTTTAGGATTTAAGGGAGAGAGAAAAATATTGCAGTTCTCTAAGGCGGGAAAGCTGATGGAGATCTGGGAGCAGGGGAAGTATGTCTTACCAGCAGGATCCTTTAAGCTCCATGTGTATCTCTTGGGAATATGACTTTGACAGAGGGGGTACACAGCAGCAGGAAGAGAGAACTGATAACAGATAACTTCCTATCTCTTCCATAGCAGATATGAATTACTTCACCTGGCTTTCAAGCACTACATCATACAATCTCATCTGATCTTACTTCCCATGTGGTATGGTGGAGAAAGAATGGCTCATAAGCCAGGAAACCTTGGATTTGAATTTTTGCTTCACCACTAATTAGGTCTGTGAGCTCAGTTTCCCATGCATAAAATGATGATAATAGTAATGGCCTTATCATTGAGTTGCTATGGGGATCAAATAAGATTATATTTGCGAAGCGCTTAGCATAGTGCCTGGCACATCATAGACCCTACATAAGTGCCAGCTTTTGTCATGACCCACCAGTACCCTCTTCTGTAAGTAGACTGATTGCTAGACTATGAGCTCTATGAAAGTGGGGATCGGGATGCATCTTGTCCACCATGGTGTCTGGTGCATGCCAGACCCTGGAGGAAGAAGTCTCCCTGTACCAAGATTCTGTCATTCCCTTTCTATGCAAGTTGTATCCATTCAGGGTCCAGTTGAAGGCTCATTTCCTCAGTGAAGCCAGCTTATATTGATCTTTCTGTCTCAGAACTCCCTTAGCAATTCAGTCCTCAGATAGCCATAGATTCGCATATTTGACTTGCTGCATTGTATATGTTAGTCCTGTCCTTCAATGATGTTCAGCTAATGGTGAAACTTGCTATGATCCAGGTCTTGGATTAGAGATGCGACCAAGGAGTCAATTCCTTAGATGCGGGACTTCTATTATATGTGATACTTTTTCCCCTGCATGGGATTCAGTGCAGGAAAGTGCCTGTCTTGCCTCAGACCTGAGGGAAACCTACTGTTTTCATGTGCTGCGTTGACATGTGACACAGTGGGGTGCTTTGCAGGAACCTCTCCCTTTGAGGGGGACATATTTTCTGGCACTTACAACTAGAATTCCTTCCTCATTCCTAGTACCTTTGACTTGATGGAAAAGCTGTGCAGGGCGTTAGTGTTATTGCTAATTTGTCACAATGAACATAAAGCAGTGCTCAGAATATCTTTCTCAATATTAAAACAGCATTTACATGTCAATTGGTGCCACTTTCACGTAACATACCACGCTTGCTTAAAAGATTCCCCTTCCTTTCCTTTTGTTCTGAAAATTGCGAGAGCCAGTGGTAGAAGCTGGGACAGGTTTGCTGAATTTCTTCCTCCCTTTCTTCTCTCAAGAAAGGGTGAAGGGCAATGCCTTTCTGGAGGCAGTGTGAGGGAGTGGCACTAGCCCTTGCACGTTTCCTGCTTTGCATTTCTGCTCATGTCTCAGGTCCATTTTCTGATTCCAGGCCACCCTTTACAGATATGATGGAGCCAGGAACCACTGTGATCCACCAAGGATACCTCCCTACAGCTTCCAAATCAGGGTCAATAACCTGCTCTTCCTATAGAACAGCTCTCTTTTGACTTCAGCTTGTAAAAATTCTGATTTATTTATTAATTTCATTTTTATCCTCTCTTTTGCTTTAAAGGTTATATTTTTTAAGTTAAAAATAACCACAAGGAGACCTTGTGATCCTCTTCTCACTGACCCAGATATTTTAAGAGCAGATATTTTAAGAGACTGACAGCCGCTTCTCATCTGGGGATTCAGGCCAGCTCTCAGGAGCTGATGAGCTAAATGTAATAATAAAATATTAATCCTATTTCCCATACATGAACCACTCTTCTTGTTTTCCCTTACCTATCCAGACCCTACTCATCCTTCAGTGCATTGTAGAAAAAGCCTTGGAATTGGGGATAAAGACTTGTGCTCAATTCTCGACTTGGAAATTTTTGCTATCTGACCTTGGGCAAGCCACTTCATGTCTGTGAATCTTGGTTTCTTCACCTGTAAAACAGGAATGCTGAGACTCTCTCAGGGTGAATGTAGAGGGTTTAGGGTCCAGCCAGCCTGGTGACTGGAATATACAGAATGGAAATACCAAACTCCAGAAAGCCCAATTTGAGTAATCATCAATCTTTGATCTCTCCTATTTTTGTATTTCTGTGTTATTGAGTAATCCTCAATCTTTGATCTCTCCTATTTTTGTATTTCTGTGTTATTGAGTCTATCTACATCATAAAATTTAACAATTAACTATACCCTGTCTTTAATATGTGGCTCTAGTTTTCTTCACATCCCCAACTAGTGGGTAAGCACAGGAGGGCGCTGGGCATTTTATTTTTCCTGTGTTAACATTGCAATATTAGGCACTTAATTCTTGATAATTGATAGATGGAGTACTTTACCCATTTAACGAAATTAGCTTCTGCCACACAACACAGGTTATTTTTGTTGTCTTGATTGGTCCAGTTTCACTGCTTGTTGCTAATGATGAGCTAGCAGGACATTTTTTAGGCTTTCATTCTCTTGTCAGATTGTGGCTTCTCATCAAATATATGCAATATGTGTATTCAAAGACACTGCTGACCTGCTATGAACAGAGAGTTTACTTGTTTATCCACTGTGACGATGCATTTTCCCGGTGGAGCTTTGTTTTCTCTCTCAAGTGGGTTTGAGGAGGCCCATGGAGCTGTGTTTGTGCCTGCTGAGACTGTCTTTCCCCTGCCCTGACACAGAGGGCCAGAAAGGAGGCCTATGGCTGACGCTCTTCTGGCTGTGACACCCTCTCAGTGGAATTCATAGTGGCCCAAAGAGCTGGTGTTATTTAGGTGGGAACCCCATTCCCAGATGTCACATCGCTTTCACCAACTGCCTGCTGTGAGTTGAATTGTGTCCCCCAAAAGATATGTTGAAGTTCTAGCCTGTGGTATATGTGAATGTGACCTTATTTGGAAATAGGGTATTTGCAAATGTAATCAAGTTAAGATTAGGCCATACTGGATTGGCTCAAGGCATAAATCCAGTGTCTGCCATCTTTGTAAGGAGAGAGAGGGATTTGGCCACACACAGAAGGAAGATGGCCGTGTGAAGATGGAGGCAGAAATTGGGCTGATGCAGCTACAAGCCAGAGAATGTCAAGGCTGGCTGGGAGCCACCCGAAGCCAGAAGAGGCAGGAAAGGGTTCTCCTCTAGAGGCTGCAGAGGGAGCGTGACCCTGCCCACACCTCGATTCCAGACTTCTGGGCTTCAGAATCATTGGAGAATACATTTCTGTTGTTTTAGGCTACAAAGTTTGTGGTAATTTGTTATGGCAGCCACAGGAAACTAATATGCTGCCCAAGAGTCTAAATAAAATACAAAAGAGAAGCTCTAATTAGAATAGATTACCCACCTTCACCTAAAAGGCCTTGATCCTAATCCCGCTGTGCCCTACCTGGTGATTACCTGAGTACAAGGCTCCCAGGCCCTTCCCCTACACAGCTCTGTATGGTTCTTTATTTGACTTCATCTCCCAGGCGCCTGACCCCTAGCCCCTTCCTCTATATCCTCAACCTCACTGTTGTGCTCTAAATGATGCCCGACTAGCTCCTGGGGACAGGGGGACACCCCTCAAATGTACCAGGGCCTGATGGTGGGGTAGGTATCTGCATTGCTCCTCATGGCCACTCCCAGGCTATGCTTCTCCCTAACCCTCCCCCGAGCTTGGAAGCACAGGCCATGGGAATCTGTGTAAGCCTCTTGTGCCATGGCCTCTTACCAGCCTGCTGTCACTCTTCCCACTGAGTGAAGCTTTGAGCCCCTGCCGGCTCTCCTTTGCTCTTCTCTTGGTGATTGCATTGTCCACGTAATTCAGTCAGTCCCACCCCTGGCTGCGCTTTACAATTGTCTGGGAAGATTTTAAAAATGCCCACCATTAAGCTTCTCTCCTCTTTCCCTGTTTCTTCCCAATTAAGCCTGAATCTTTGGGGAGTTGGAGGCATGTGTATTTTTATTTTATTTTATTTTTTGAGACAGGGTCTCAGTCTGTCACCCAGGCTGGAGTGCAGTGGCGCCATCTTGGCTTACTGCAACCTCTCCCTCCTGGGTTCAAGCAATTCACCACCTCAGCCTCCCGAGTAGCTGGGACTATAGGCACACACCACCATGCCCGGCTAATTTTTGTACTTTTTGGTAGAAACAGGGTTTCACCATTGGCGAGGCTGGTCTCAAACTCCTGACCTCAAGTGATCCACCTGCCTCGGTCACCCAAAGTGCTGGGATTACAGGTGTGAGTCCCCACACCGAGATGGCATGTGCCTTTTTTAAGAGCTCCCAGGTCATTCTAGAATGTGGCCAGGTTGGAGAAGCTGGTGATGCAGGTAGTATTCTGGCCTCTTGATTTCTTACCTTCCTTAGAGCCAGCAGCCCTTCCTCCTCCCTCAGCCACCCGCTCTCAGTCATGCTATGGTGATTGGCTTTCCTAGTATTTGTTCCAACCTCAAAAATGTGGATTTCTGGCATCCTACTCTGACCACCACCTCCTCACTTCCAGTTCCTCCCTCTAGAACCCCAACTCTGACCATCATCTGGCCTCACCAGGTTCCCTAATCCATATACTTTTTCGTTGTCCATCATGACCCTCAGGTTCCCCTTTTATCCTTCCTTTCCCAGCCTGAGTCCATGGTCCCTGTTCAACTCCCTGGCTCTCGTGTTTCTCCGATGCTTTCCCCTGGCAAACCCCAGACCTGATAAAAATCTACTCACCAATTCAGGTCTGCATCCTGGCACCAAATCTCAGAGTGTGGCTGGATAAAAATACATAGCTGACTTACTGGTCTTAATTTTATGCACAGAGTGCAAGTGGATTCTCAGTGGTGCCTGGCAGTGCTGCCTCATTTCCCTAGTTAATTCACTTTCCTATTCTTTGAGAGGCTATTTTACACCTTCTCTCTCCAAACCAACTCCCTCTAGTATCTCTGCCTCCTCACTCTTCCAATAGGCACAGCTCATTTCTGCCTCCAGACGTTTGCACTTACAGTCACTCTGTCTTCTACATTTCCCCCTGCCATTCTTGCCACGAAAAACCCCTCACCGGATTCATTTCCACTTCTCAAAGAAGTATTCCCTGACTTCTCTGCCTAAAATAGCCTCCCATCCGGGCCCTGATGCTCTCTATCCTCTGACCCTTCCTTATGCACTTACCCCCGCTGGCATTACATGATGGGTTTATTTTTGTTCTCTTGTCTCCCTCCCTCCCTCCCTGGTGCCTAGGCTCCATGCAGGCAGCACCCTTCTGGTCTATCTGTTTCACCTCTACACCCACTACACCAGGGACAGTGCCTGGCACACAGCCAGCTCTCAGCGAATGAACCAGTGAATGGATGAGCAGAGGAATGGGTCTATGTTGTATATTTTTGAACTGCTGACTTGGGAGGAAGTATAAACAGGGATTAAAAGTTCAAGCTCTTGATTCATACTAGACCTAGACTCAAAGTCTGGTTCTTGAGACGGAGTCTTGCTCTGTCGCCCAGACTGGAGTGCAGTGGCGCGATCTCAGCTCACTGCAAGCTCCACCTTCCGGGTTATGCCATTCTCCTGCCTCAGCCTCCCGAGTAGCTGGGACTACAGGCGCCCGCCACCTCGCCTGGCTAATTTTTTGTATTTTTAGTAGAGATGGGGTTTCACCATGTTAGCCAGGATGGTCTTGATCTCCTGACCTCGTGATCCGTCTGCCTCGGCCTCCCAAAGTGCTGGGATTACAGGCATGAGCCACCGCACCCAGCCGACTCAAAGTCTGGTTCTATCCTTGCTAGCTGTGGGCCATTGAGCAAATTACCCACCTTCTCTGAGCTTCAGTTTTCTCACCTATAATAGAAGGGGATGGATGACAGTAGCTACATCAAAGGGCTGCTGTGTGGATTGCATAAAATTATATACATATAAAAAACAGCATAAAGCTGACAAACTGTAAGCACTCAACAATTGTTAAATAATAGCATAACAATTTACTAATTACTATTAAGTTAGAGGTATAGACCATAGGCTGCAGCAATAGTCTAAATGCTTTACTGGTAATGATTCAATCACTCTTCACAACAACCTTTGAGGTAGTTACTACTAACCCCATTTCACAGATAAGGAAGCTGAGGCCCAGAGAGATTCAATGATTTACCTGATATCATGGAACTAGAGAGTGGCAGAACCAGGACCCAGCCTGGCAGTATGTCTTCAGAGCCCACACACATAACCATGTGATATACTGCCTTTGCTCTAAAAAGGGGCTTTTCACATTTTACATAGTCACTCCTGAGGAGTTCAAGATGTTTTCCCAATACTTGACTCAGACTCGTGGTGGATAAACGTGAGATTTCTCGTCTATTGTAAATAAGTAATTTAGCTTAAGTATTGGAGATTAAAATTCTTTCGAGAAGAAACATTTATACTTATTATTTTCTGCCATGGGTTTTGGTTTAGTGAAGTCTGAGCTAATACTTCCAATCTGCTGGTGATGTTGGAAAGGATGTGCCTATGACACCCAAAAGTATGTATTTAGAAGCACATCAGTTATTGCATTTTGTTTGTTTGTTTGTTTTTGAGACGGAGTCATGCTCTGTCGCCAGGCGTGAGTGCAGTGGTGTGATCTTGGCTTACTGCAACCTCCGCCTTTTGGGTTTGAGCAATTATCCTGCCTCAGCCTCCCAAGTAGCTGGGACTACAGGCGTGTGCCACCACACCCAGCTAATTTTTGTATTTTTAGTACAGACAGGGTTTCACCATGTTGGCCCGAATGGTCTCGATCTCTTGACCGCCTGCCTCTGCCTCCCAAAGTGCTGGGATTACAGGTGTGAGCCACCACGCCTGGCCCAGTTATTGCATTTTTCACTTTTTTTTTGGTTTGTTTTTGTTTTAGAAATGGGGGTCTTGTTATGTCCCTCAGGCTGGTCTCGAACTTCTGGACTCAAGCAATCCTCTTGCCTTGGCCTCCCAAAGTGTTGGGGTTACAGGTGTGAGCCACCGTGCCCAGCCTTTCTTTTTCTTTTCTTTTTTTGAGATAAAGTCTCGCTCTGTCGCCCAGGCTGTAGTGCAATGGCACGATCTTGGCTCACTGCAACCTCTGCCTCCCAGGTTCAAGTGATTCTCCTGCTTCAGCCTCCTGCTTTCATTTTTATTCTATTGTTTAGTTACATGCAGACAAGTCTAGTAACTTCCCTAATTTATCCAAGCTGTCTGAACCAAAGAAAATGCAGGTCTATGAGTATGTGGATGTACGCTTTTTGCACATATTCCAAATGTGTCTCTTTTTAAATAGGGGACATGTGTGGGAAATGAGGTTGCAATATTGTCTTAGGATTGGGGGTCACAAGTTCCATGTAAACTAAAGCTCAATATTATCAAATAGGAGCCTGTGTAATACAAATGTTCTTAAATATGTGCAACATTCGCAGGTAAGAAATCTTTTAATATTCCTTCTTATTTCTTTTTTCACGAATCTTTTGTTCTCCACCACCCCAAGTTAATTTGAATTCATCTCCCACTGCTGACCTCTCACAGCACTTAATGTTGATATCACACACTTGGCATTTGTTCACATTCTGCTCTTTATGGATATCTACTTGTATCCTTAATTTCGTCTAGTTGAGTAATTATGAACAACCTAAAGGAGAATAAACTAATTGCGAGACAAGATGGCAAATGCAGGCCATATTTAATTATTCTTTGCATAAATCTCAGGAAGTGCTCTTTGCACACAAAGCAAGAATATGGTAATTATGAGTGTCTTTTCTAATTATGACAAGCCACTTTCCACAAGAACTGCTTTTAATATTTGCAGCACGATGTTTTGGGATCTTTGAGAGCCAAAAGCCCTGAGTTCTACTGTGCGACCTTGGCAAGTTATTTAACCTTTCTGAATCTCTAATTTATTTTATTTTTTTTGAGACAGGGTTTCATTTTGCTGTCCAGGCTGGAATGCACTGGTGTGATAACAGCTCACTGTGGCCTCAACCTCTTGGGTTCAAGTGATCCTCCCACCTCAGCCTCCCAAGTAGCTGGGACAATAGGCACACCACTATGCCTGGCTAATTTTTGTATTTTTTGTAGAGAGAGGGATTCGCCCTGTTGCCCAGGCTAGTCTTGAACTCCTGAGCTCAAGTGATTTGCCTGCCTCAGCCTCCCAAAGTGCTGGGATTACAGGTAAAAGCCGCTGTGCCTGGCCTGAATCTCTGATTATTTCTGTCTAAAATTATGGGTTGAATTAGAGATAAGTGCTATGGTTTGATTGTTTGTTTTCCCCCACAATTAATATGTTGAAATCCTAACTCCCAAGGTAATGGTATCAGGAGGTGGGGACTTTGGGAGGTGATTAGGTCATGAGGGTGGAACCATTATTAATGGGATTAATGCCCTTACAAAAGAGGCCTGAGGGATCTCAGTCATCCTTTCCACCATGCGAGGTCACAGTGAGATGTCTGCATATGAGGAATGGGTCTTCACGAAACACTCAATCTGCCATCCTCTCGAGCTTGGACTTTTGAGATGCCAGAACTGTGAGGACTAAACAGCTGTTTATAAGCCACACAACCTATGATATTTTGTTACAGCAGCCCATACAAACTGAGACAAGATACTTTAGGATTACAAAAAATGTTTAGGACTCTACTTTGAATTATTTTTGTAGTGGAAGTAAAAGAACATTTCTTTTTAAAAAGTTATTTCTTTTTCTTTTTTTTGTTATTATACTTTAAGTTCTAGCGTACATGTGCACAACGTGCAGTTTTGATACATAGGTAGACATGTGTCATGTTGGTTTGCTGCACCCATCAACTCGTCATTTACATTAGGTATTTCTCCTAATGCTATCCCTCCCCCAGCCCCCCAACCCCCAACAGGCCCCAGTATGTGATGTTTCCCACCCTGTGTCCATGTGTTCTCATTGTTCAGTTCCCACCTATGAGTGAGAACATGTGGTGTTTGGTTTTCTGTCTTTGTGATAGTTTGCTGAGAATGATGGTTTCTAGCTTTATCTATGTCCCTACAAAGGACATAAACTCATCTTTTTTATGGCTGCATAGTATTCCATGGTGTATATGTGCCACATTTTCTTAATCTAGTCTATCATTGTTGGGCATTTGGGTTGGTTCCAAGTCTTTGCTATTGTCAATAGTGCCGCAGTAAACATATGTGTGCATGTGTCTTTATAGTAGCATGATTTATAATCCTTTGGGTATATACCCAGAAATGCAATTGCTGGGTCAAATGGTATTTCTAGTTCTAGATCCTTGAGGAAATGCCACACTGTCTTCCACAATGGTCGAACTAGTTTACACTCCCACAAACAGTGTAAAAGCATTCCTATTTCCCCACATCCTCTCCAGCATCTGTTGTTTCCTGGCTTTTTAATGATTGCCATTCTAACTGGAGTGAGATGGTATCTCATTGTGGTTTTGATTTGCATTTCCCTGATGACCAGTGATGATGAGCATTTTTTCATGTGTCTGTTGGCTGCATAAAAGTCTTCTTTTGAGAAGTGTCTGTTCTTATCATTTACCCACTTTTTGATGAGGTTGTTTGTTTTTTTCTTGTAAATTTGTTTGAGTCCTTTGTAGATTCTGGATATTAGACCTTTGTCAGTTGGATAGATTGCACAAATTTTCTCCCATTCTGTAGGTTGCCTGTTCACTCTGATGGTAGTTTCTTTTGCCATGCAGAAGCTCTTTAGTTTAATTAGATCCCATTTGTCTATTTTGGCTTTTGTTGCCATTGCTTTTGGTGTTTTAGACATGAAGTCCTTGCCCATGCCTATGTCCTGAATCGTATTGCCTAAGTTTTCTTTTAGGGTTTTTATGGTTTTAGGTCTAACATTTAAATCTTTAATCCATCTTGAATGAATTTTTGTATAAGGTGTAAGGAAGGGATCCAGTTTCAGCTTTCTACACATGGCTAGCCAGTTTTCCCAGCACCATTTATCAAATAGGGAATCCCTTCCCCATTGCTTGTTTTTGTCAGGTTTGTCAAAGATCAGATGGTTGTAGACGTGTGGTGTTATTTCTGAGGCCTCTGTTCTGTTCCATTGGTCTATGTATCTGTTTTGGTACCAGTACCAGGCTGTTTTGGTTACTGTAGCCTTGTAGTATAGTTTGAAGTCAGGTTGAGTGATGCCTCTAGCTTTGTTCTTTTTGCTTAGGATTGTCTTGGCAATGCGGGCTCTTTTTTGGTTCCATATGAACTTTAAATTAGTTTTTTCCAATTCTGTGTAGAAAGTCATTGGTAGCTTGATGGGGATGGCATTGAATCTACAAATTACCTTGGGCAGTATGGCCATTTTCACAATATTGATTCTTCCTATCCATGAGCATGGACTGTTCTTCCATTTGTTTGTGTCCTCTTTTATTTCCTTGAGCAGTGGTTTGTAGTTCTCCTTAAAGAGATCCTTCACATCCCTTGTAAGTTGGATTCCCAGGTATTTTATTCTCTTTGAAGCAATTGTGAATGGGAGTTCACTCATGATTTGGCTCTCTGTTTGTCTGTTATTGGTGTGTAGGAATGCTTGTGATTTTTGCACATTGCTTTTGTATCCTGAGACTTTGCTGAAGTTGCTTATCAGCTTAGGGAGATTTTGGGCTGAGACAATGGGGTTTTCCAAATATACAATCATGTCATCTGTAAACAGGGACAATTTGACTTCCTCTTTTCCTAATTGAATACCCTTTGTTTCTTTCTCTTGCCTGATTGCCCTGGCCAGAACTTCCAACACTATGTTGAACAGGAGTGGTGAGAGAGGGCTTCCTTGTCTTGTGCCAGTTTTGAAAGGGAATGCTTCCAGTTTTTGCCCATTCAGTATGATATTGGCTGTGGGTTTGTCATAAACAGCTCTTATTATTTTGCAATATGTTCCATCAATACCTAGTTTATTGAGAGTTTTTAGCACAAAGTGCTGTTGAATTTTGTCGAAGTCTTTTTCTGCATCTATTGAGATAATCATGTGGTTTTTTGTTGTTTCTGTTTATGTGATGGATTACGTTTATTGATTTGCATATGTCGAACCAGCCTTGCATTCCAGGGATGAAGCCCACTTGATCGTGGTGGATAAGCTTTTTGATGTGCTGCTGGATTTGCTTTGCCAGTATTTTATTGAGGATTTTCGCATCGATGTTCATCAGGGATATTGGTCTACAATTCTGTTTTTTTGTTGTGTCTCTGCCAGGCTTTGCTATTAGGATGATGTTGGTCTCATAAGATGAGTTAGGGAGGATTCCCTCTTTTTCTATTGATTGGAATAGTTTCAGAAGGAATGGTACCAGCTCCTCTTTGTACCTCTGGTCGAATTCAGCTGTGAGTCTGTCTGGTCCTGGACTTTTTTTGGTTGGTAGGCTATTAATTATTGCCTCAATTTCAGAGCCTGTTATTGGTCTATTCAGAGATTCAACTTCTTCCTGGTTTAGTCTTGGAAGGTTGTGTGTGTCCAGGAATGTATCCATTTCTTCTAGATTTTCCAGTTTATTTGCATAGAGGTGTTTATAGTATTCTCTGATGGTAGTTTGTATTGCTGTGGGATTGGTGGTGATATCCCCTTTATAATTTTTTATTGCATCTATTTGATTCTTCTCTCTTTTCTTCTTTATTAGTCTTGCTAGCAGTCTATCAATTTTGTTGATCTTTTCAAAAAATCAGTTCCTGGAATCATTGATTTTCTGAAGGGTTTTTTGTGTCTCTTATCTCTTTCAGTTCTGCTCTGATCTTAGTTATTTCTTGCCTTCTGCTAGCTTTTGAATGTGTTTGCTCTTGCTTCTCTAGTTCTTTTAATTGCGACGTTAGGGTGTCACTTTTAGATCTTTCCTGCTTTCTCTTGTGGGCATTTAGTGCTATAAATTTCCCTCTACATGCTGCTTTAAATGTGTCCCAGAGATTGTATGTTGTGTCTTTGTTCTCATTGGTTTCAAAGAACATCTTTATTTCTGCCTTCATTTCGTTATGTACCCAGTAGTCATTCAGGAGCAGGTTGTTCAGTTTCCATGTAGTTGTGTGGTTTTGAGTGAGTTTCTTAATCCTGAGTTCTAATTTGATTGCACTGTGGTCTGAGAGACAGTTGGTTGTAATTTCTATTCTTTTATATTTGCTGAGGAGTGCTTTACTTCCAACTATGTGGTCAATTTTGGAATAAGTGCAACGTGGTGCTGAGAAGAATGTATATTCTGTTGACTTGGAGTGGAGAGTTCTGTAGATGTCTATTAGGTCTGCTTGGTGCAGAGCTGAGTTCAAGTCCTGGATATCCTTGTTAACCTTCTGTCTCGTTAATCTGTCTAATATTGACACTGGGGTGTTAAAGTCTCCCATTATTATTGGGTGGGAGTCTAAGTCTCTTTGTAGGTCTCTCAGGACTTGCTCTATGAATCTGGGTGCTCACGTATTGGGTGCATATATATTTAGGATTGTTAGCTCTTCTTGTTGAATTGATCCCTTTAGCATTATGTAATGGCCTTCTTTGTCTCTTTTGATCTTTGTTGGTTTAAAGTCTGTTTTACCAGAGAGTTGGATTGCAACCCCTGCTTTTTTTTGCTTTCCATTTGCTTGGTAGAGCTTCCTCCATCCCTTTATTTTGAGCCTGTGTGCATCTCTGCACCTGAGATGTGTCTCCTGAATACAGCACACTGATGGGTCTTGACTGTTTATCCAATTTGCCAGTCTGTGTCTTTTAAATGGGGCATTTAGCCCATTTACATTTAAGGTTAATATTGTTATGTGTGAATTTGATCCTGTCATTATGATGTTACCTGGTTATTTTGCCCGTTAATTGATGCAGTTTCTTCCTAGCATTGATGGTCTTTACATTTTGGTTTGTTTTTGCAGTGGCTGGTACTGGTTGCTCCTTTCCATGTTTAGTGCTTCCTTCAGGAGCTCTTGTAAGGCAGGCCTGGTGGTGACAAAATCTCTCAGCATTTGCTTGTCTGTAAAGGATTTTATTTCTCCTTCACTTATGAAGCTTAGTTTGGCTAGATATGAAATTCTGGGTTGAAAATTCCTTTCTTTAAGAATGTTGAATATTGGCCCTGACTCTCTTCTGGCTTGTAGGGTTTTTGCCAAGAGATCCACTGTTAGTCTGATGGGCTTCCCTTTGTGGGTAACCCAACCTTTCTCTCTGGCTGCCCTTAACATTTTTTCCTTCACTTCAACTTTGGTGAATCTGACAATTATGTGTCTTGGAGTTGCTCTTATCGAGTAGTATCTTTGTGGCGTTCTCTGTATTTCCTGAATTTGAATGTTGGCCTGCCTTGCTAGATTGGGGAATTTCTCCTGGATAATGTCCTGAAGAGTGTTTTCCAACTTGGTTCCATTCTCCCCATCACTTTTAGGTACACCAATCAAATGTAGATTTGGTCTTTTCACATAGTCTTATATTTCCTGGAGGCTTTGTTCATTTCTTTTTACCCTTTTGTCTCTAACCTTGTCTTTTCATTTCATTTCATTAATTTGATCTTCAATCACTGATACCCTTTCTTCCACTTGATCGAATTGGCTATTGAAGCTTGTGCATGCGTCATGAAGTTCTTGTGCCATGGTTTTCAGCTCCATCAGGTCATTTAAGATTTTCTCTACACTGTTTATTCTAGTTGGCCATTCGTCTAACCTTTTTTCAAGGTTTTTAGCTTCCTCGCGATGGGTTTGAACATGCTCCTTTAGCTCGGAGAAGTTTGTTATTACCGACTTCCTGAAGTCTACTTCTGTCAACTCATCAAAGTCATTCTCTGTCCCGCTTTGTTCCATTGCTGGCAAAGAGCTGCGATCCTTTGGAAGAGAAGAGGTGCTCTGGTTTTTAGATTTTTCTGCTTTTCTGTTCCGGTTTCTCCCCATCTTTGTGTTTTTGTCTACCTTTGGTCTTTGATGTTGGTGACCTACAGATGGGATTTTGGTGTAGATGTCCTTTTTGGTGATGTTGGTTCTATTCCTTTCTGTTTGCTAGTTTTCCTTTTAACAGTCAGGTCCCTCAGCTGTAGGTCTGTTGGAGTTTGCTGGAGGTCCACTCCAGACTCTGTGTACCTGGGTGTCACCAGTGGAGGCTCCAGAACAGCAAATATTGCAGAACGGCAAATATTGCTGCCTGGTCTTTCCTCTGGAAGCTTTGTCCCAGAGGGGCACCCGCCTATATGAGGTGTCTCTTGGCCCCTACTGGGAGGCGTCTTATCTCCCAGTTAGGCTACACAGGGATCAGGGACCCACTTGAGGAGGCAGTCTGTCCGTTCTCAGAGCTCAAACACCATGCTGGGAGAATCACTGCTCTCTTCAGAGCTGTCAGACAGGGACATTTATGTCTGCAGAAGCTGTCTGCTGCCTTTTGTTCAGCTATGCCCTGCCCATAAAGGTGGAGTCTATAGAGACAGAGGCCTTGCTAAGTTGCAGTGGGCTCCACCCAATTCGAGCTTCCTGGCTGCTTTGTTTACCTACTCAAGCCTCAGCAATGGCAGACTCTCCTCCCCCAGCCAGGCTGCCACCTCACAGATTGATCTCAGACTGCTGTGCTAGCAGTGAGCAAGGCTCCGTGGGCGTGGGATCCACTGAGCCAGGCACAGGAGAGAATCTCCTTGTCTGCTGGTTGCTAAGACCTTGGGAAAAATGCAATATTTGGGCGGCAGTGTCCCGTTTTTCTAGGTACAGTCTGTTACGGCTTCCTTTGGTTAGGAAAGGGAAATCCCCCGACCCCTTGTGCTTCCTGGGTGAGGTGATGCCCTGCCCTGCTTTGGCTTGCCCTCTGTGGACTGCATCCACTGTCCGACCAGTCCCAGTGAGATGAACCAGGTACCTCAGTTGGAAATGCAGAAATCACCTGTCTTCTGCATCAATCACGCTGGGAGCTGCAGACTGGAGCTGTTCCTATTTGGCCACCTTGGAACAGCTCCTAAAAAGTTATTTTGGAAACAGTTGTACAATTCAGAAATTTTACCCAAATCAGGACTCTTCCCTATTTAACATTGAGAACTTCCTCCATTCCAGGGTAATAAATACCCAATACATATGTGCCTTCTGCTTCACACTTGTATGTACTTCATACACAGCCATTAAGGTGAGTGAAAACTTGAATTTTCTATAATTTTCCCCATTAAAAAAAGCTTCTGTTGTCTATATAATTAAGATAATTTAACATCCAAGTACATTCATATGCCTCACATAATTTTCTTTTTTTGAGACAAGGTCTTACTCTGTCACCCAGGCTGGAGTGAAGTGGTGTGATCTTGACTCACTGAATTCTTGACCTCATGCCTCTCAACCTCAGCCCCCCAGGTAGCTGGGAGTACAGGTGCACGCCATCGCACAGGGCTAATTTTTATAATTTTAGTAGAGATGGGGTTTCACCATGTTGCCCAGGCTGATCTCAAACTCCTGGGCTCAAGCGATCTGCCTGGCTCAGCCTCCCAAAATGCTGGGATTACAGGCATGAACCACCTTGCCCAGCTCACTTCATTTTAATTCAAAAAAGTGGCTGAGAAATACATAGTGACCTCTCTTATGTTCTAATTATGTAAGATGCATTGGTTATTTGGTCATTGATCAATAAGTGCTTATTTCCCAGTTTTTGGCTGGTGCTAAAATGCAGGGATTGGTTGATCAATTCTAAGTCTCCTCTTTTCTGCAATCGGTAGTTTTTAAAATAATTTCTGAATCACCCCTGGAGGCACTATCTGAGACAGTATGGATTGAACAGCACTGTCAACAACATGTTCTGGGGTCCCTGCCTCTGTAGAAAGGACGTGAAGAGTTGACCTGCCTCTGAGAACAATCTCAAAAGAGGGAAGGGCTGTGTGAGGTCTGGGCTGGAAGAGGATTTTACATTGTCTCTTTTGCGTGGCTTGTCTTTTCCAGATAAGCAGAAGACATCTTTAGGATTCTTTTGTGTGTTTGGAACAGAGAGAGGAAAAACCCAGATCCATTTAAGATTCAGCAGAGGGCTTGGAAGCCTAAGAGTTCAGGCAAGTTACCACTTGTCAGTGATTCTTACCTAATAAAGACAGCTTTATTATTTCTTCTGATTATATAAATAGTCTTCTTTGATACCTACATACTCATAAATAAACTGAAATAATTCTGTATATGCATATATAATGGCATGTGGGATAATATACCTTTTCACTCAATAATATGTCATAGAAACCCTTCCAAGTCAACTGGCATAGCTTTATTATTTGTTATTAGGTATCCTAATGCTTCACAACATAAATATCTCATTATTTATCCAACTATTTCTTTATTCATGAGCATTCACATCTTCACTTTTTTGCTACTCCAAACTAACAATTTTATAATGAACTAACATCTGTTATGCTGAGTTCCTAATTTTCACTTTTTCAATGTCTAATCCCGATGGAATTTTTTCCCAATTATTAACTTGCTGCCCTGATTGTTTAGGAATTCAATGTAACAGTTAGGTTCTCTTTGGAACTCTCATTTAGAAATACAAAGGGGAGTGTGTGGTTTCTGTAATGTCAGAGAGTGGCCTCTTTTTTCAGACCTTCTCAATATGGTGGTCAGATCATGTTTCCAGCCTCAGGAGCTGCCTATTAAGCCATTCCGATGGGAAACTGCTGCTGAAGCAGAAAGGTTCTGGGCAGCTGACGTGGCAACACAGTTTACAGTATCTGCCAGCTGTGAGTAACAGCAGGCTGTCATGATGGGATATAGCAGAAGCAGCAGCAGCAACTCCTGATTTAGGGGCAATCGATGTAAGTACTTATTTTCACCATTAACCAATTAACCCAAACCAAATGCAAATTGAAGAATGCTAAGAGGGAATACAGTTCTCACTAAAGACCCTTCTAGCAGACTCATTTGAGAAGCATTTGGTCTCAACCAGAACAAAAAGGCATTAAGCCAGCACATGGTTTTCAGCAAAATGAAGAACTTCACAGGGTTTTGCTTGAAAAAACTAACTTCAGCTGTGGCTAATGCCAATTTCCAACCCTAACTCCTTGGAGTTCCTTCATACTCTGGCAAAGGCTGTTCCCTGGGGGATGGAATGGATTGTTAATGTGCAAAAGAACACGTGATTTCAACTTACTAAAAAACTTTAGGCAGGTTTGATTATGGAAAGATGAAAGGAAGCTTAGCAGTTACAGTGTTTGGGAAAAGGAGAGAGGCTGTTAAATATTTTGAGGAGGATTCAAGTTGGTTAAAACTGACTTAGAGGCAGTGTGGAAACTTTTGCTCTCAAGCTATATAGATGGCTAGGGGTGTGGTGCCTGCCAACCCCATGACAATAGAACTCCGGCTTGGATCTCTTCACAAGAGGAGGCTCTGTGGCTGCTGTTCCCAAGGCTTCCACCCTGGAAATCGTGTTTAGAGTTTCTAGTATTTTCAGAGATCATAAACCATGTATTTATGGGTTGGTGATTTTTTTTTTTTTCTGTTGAGACCTTTTACTCTGATGTTCAGCTCTGCATAAAACCTGAGTGACCAACAGCGGCTTAACCTGAGTACGGTTAACTTATTGACGAACAGATATTTTTGATTGTCACCTCTCTATGTGGGGGGATACCTAAGTGAACAAGATGGAAGAGGTGGGTCACTGCCCCTGAGGAGTCTGCTGCCCAGCAGGAGTAACAGATGTTATAAGAGGAGAAATGAACACTGGGCTGGGAGTCAGGGGACCTGGATTCGGATCCTGGCATTGATCCCAGTGAACCATATGGCACTCTGGGCTTCAGTTTATGTGCTATAAAATGAATGCATTGGGATGGATAACCTCTTCAGTAATTGATTGCTCACCTAGTGTGAATTTTCCCCTTGCTGAACAGCTTCTCACACAGCATTACCTTAGCTCCACATCCAATTCGGGGACAGGTGCTTTATTTCTGAAATGGATCTCACATGTCACCAGCCAGGCCTCATCAGATTGAGATATTCTATAATAGAAACTTGAAGGATTCTCCTAAATGGGCCCATTTACAGTGTAATGTTGATAGGTGGAAAGGTTGCTTTTGAGAAAGATGTCTTAAAAGGAGCAATTCCACACAGACTCATCTTAAATATCTATTTCTGTTTTCAAATGGTTATTGATTGGAACAAGTACCTTTTCAACGGCTGCTGACTTTTGAGAGGCAAAGACACAACAGCCTGACTCTTAAGAAAATGAAATTGCTTGAAATAAGTGTGACCCATAGGCTTAAGGTTTGAAATAAATTTAACTGAGTCAAAAACTAAACTAAAATAAAAATTAGCCAGGCTATGGTTTCAAGTAGAACAGAAAATACCCACCATTGGTGGCCATGCAGTGCAGCCTCAGCTTCCTAGAACTCCTCACCATCAGTTCAGTCCTTTTTGACTTTGGAAGTTGTAGGAGATTCATAACACGTTAGTAGAATGATGGATCAAATCCATTTTTAAAAAGCACAATTTTTATGTAGACTTATTGTCCATCAGCCCTGCTAGCCTAGCTCACAAAATTATCTGCATGGGCATTCATACCCTTGCTGCCTGCCTCCCTTCCCCAAGAGAGAGGTGTACTTCCTGACCCAGGACAAATCCCTTCTCTTGGATTACTTATCCCCATAAGCCTCCTCTGGAACTACCACACTCATCACTCAGTTCCTTTATTCTGCCTGTGTCTTCAGTCTTTCCACTGGCTTTCCACCACAAGTAAAAACATCTTTAAGTCTCTCCCATTTTATAATACACCAACCGACTACCCACCAAACCAGCCAATGAGCAAACACAATCCCTCCTTACTGTTTTCTCCCTTTTCTGACCCTTTCACCAACCCTATGGACTCCAGTGGGCACTTTTGAGTTCTTATGTAATTTGATGTCTTACTGTGTTTGTTGTCTTTATGCCTTTCTTGACAGCCTCTCCTCCCTTGGTTGCCTTTGATGCTGTTCTGACTTTGCCTTCTTAGTCTTCATTACTTCTCTTCCTCTGCTTTTTACCTTAAACTATTATTTTCTTATTTTGAAGTCTGTGCTCTTCTTTGACAATCTGATTCATATCTGAGATTTTAATTATGACTTGTATGCTGATAATGCCTAAATCAAAGCACATACAAATCTTCAGGAAAGAAGCAAAGTATAAACAAATGAATACCACCCACCACAGGTGTGTGTCTCTGCAGACTTCTCTTGGGAGCTCTTGACTCATATTTACTGCCTAAGACACCTCCAGTACATTGTCCTGCAGGCACCTCAACTCACCATGGCCCATCCTGAACATAGCTTTCTCTTAGTTGGCTGCCTTTCCCTCTGCATATAATAATGTATGTAACTTCTACCCTAACACTTACCACATTTTATTAAAGTGATTGGTTTATTTTATTTGTCTCTCCAGTTAATGGTGAAAACCTGAGAAATAGAATTATGTCTTTATTTTTGTATTCCTAATGCCTACAACATGAGGCACATAATAGTTATTCAGTCATTAATTATTGAATGAATAAATGGTGGACAGATGGCTGCTTGCTGCTGTAGGTTGACATTCTGTTATGTCAGTCAACCCAGTGAGAAACATCCTTCTTTCACAGTAGTTCAAGCATAAGTTCCGGGTGCCTGCTTTTTGGAATGTCTCTGGACATGTGCTGACTGCTGAGTTAATCACCATGGCCAGGGAGATGCAAGACTCTTACTGTCCAGGTCTAAATTTTGTGCTCATTCATAGAGCAAGAGATGGGGTCAGTCTCACACATGGCAAATAAACTGAGAGGGGGCAGGGAAGTTCATAAAAGTAAAACTGATAATTTATTACTAGAAGCCAGAGTGTAGGATGCTGGCAGAAATGGCAGGTATTCATCATAACTGTGTGCAAACCCCCTGGCTTTTATCATATAACTGCTATGATAAAAGCTAAACATCAGGGGTTTGCACATACTTATGCTGAGTACCTGCCATTTCTACACTCCACTCTTCTTGTCCGGGTGCCAAGCAGGGACAGTCTTCAGTATCAGCTCTCAACTTTTCTTTGCATTCTAAGCTCAAACCACATTGAGCATAAAACCCATTATGATGCTGCAAATGTACCAGGTCTTCCTTCGCCTCTTAGCCCTCATCATGTCTGTTCTGCCCAGAACACATCCTCTCTTGCTCTCCTTTCTCTCTTTCCAGGATAATGCACTCTCATCCTTCAGGTCTCAGTTGAGGCAGATTTTTTTTTTCTTTCTTTTCTTTCTTTCTTTCTTTTTTTTTTTCGCAGAGAAACCTTCTCTGGTGAGGGTTGATACCTTTTCTTTGCATTACATCTGCTTCTCATTGTCATCCTCTCCCAGCACTTATTATTGGAATTGCCTGTCACCTAGGCTGTGTCCCCATTAGGCACTAAACTCCAAGAAGAGAAGGAACAAGTTCACCTTGCCCACTTAGTGTGGCCTGAATTTAACACCTAAAATGATTATTGCCGCATAGTAGATATTCAAGAAATACACAATAATAAAGTACTCCTGGGTTCCCACCTGTTTCTTGGTTATTAAATAGGAGCACAAACTGTTTTGGGTTCCTTCCATATAGTTTCAGGGCTAGCAGCTTTCTTAGAGGAGCTATGGGGAAAAGGCTTTTCTCCCATAGGAACTGAATAAATGAAAGTCTTCGTTTATTATTTCATAAATAAATGAATTAATATTGTCTAAAATATTATTTGGTGAATGAAGGAGATAATTAAAAAAAATTCTCCCAGGGGTGAAATTATACCACAGTTGGATTCATTTAGTGACATAATTTATTTAATGAATGACATCTAGATCAGCACTAGGACATGGTGTCACAGTGTCATAATGTTATGAGGCATACAGAATATTGCATCCTAAGTGTAAAAGGGAATACGTCTAGCAAGCTCGTACAGAAACTACATCACAGAAGCAGTGTTGCATACAAAGAATCTACAAAATTCAGTTATGGGATGCTCCCAGAAAATAGTGAACTTTAGCCATCTCCCTTGTAATGACAGCAGACACATATGCTTAGTAATATGCTTTGGCTGTGTCCCCACCCAAATCTCATCTTGAATTCCCACATGTTGTGGGAGGGACCTGGTGGAAGGTAATTGAATCCTGGGGGCAAGTCTTTCCCATGCTCTTCTCATGATAGTGAGTAAGTTTCACGAGATCTGATGGTTCTATAAGGAGGTGTTTCCCTACACAAGCTCTCTCTTTGCCTGCTGCCATCCACATAAGATGTGACTTGCTCCTCCTTGCCTTCTGCCATGATTGTGAGGCCTCCTCAGCCATGTGGGACTGTAAGTCCATTAAACCTCTTTCTTTTGTAAATTGCCCAGGCTTGGGTATATCTTTATCAGCAGCATGAAAATGGACTAATACACTTAGAAAATCATCTTCTTGTGCCCTTCAATGTCCTCCAGAACCTGAAATTTGAATTTGGTTTTTTGGCATCATAAGTGGCTTCTATGGAAATTGTCCTGCTATGCTAAATTTAGCATTAGAACAGCACTGCTGGGGAGCTTTGCTATATTTGCAGCCACTCATTCCAGACTGATAGAGCAAGGGATGTGAGTACCATTTAAACACATGTATGCATCCACACTGTACACACACGGGCCATTTCTGTACATGGAACAGTGGGCAGAACAGTAGAACCTGCAAAATAGTATGAACCTTTATACAAGGAGAACTTGTCCCATTTGTCAGAAATTAATCTTTGAATTCTTATTTTTATGATTTAATATCTATCTATCTATCATCAGGTTGAATGAACCTATTTACACTGACTGATAACTTTGAAGGTTATAGTTATTGTATTCACATGAAATAGATTTTAAATAATTGCATTTTTGTGTTAAATATATTACTATATTACATGGCTATTACTAAGCCATATGCTCTTCCGAGCAAAAGCATTCCAATAGAAGACCTGTGGTTGATTTTCCTCTACTTGATGACTGGTACTGACACACTCTGTGAATTTGGTAAAAGTATCACTTTTATTGCCTCTAAAATGGACATTCTACTGATGCCACTGGGTAATGAAAATAATGAGCTAAGGATAGGCATCTCTGGGAAAGATAAGCTATGACTGCAATGGATTATTATGATGAGCGACAGAGCAGAATAAAAATTAAAAACAATAACCTCAGATTAGATTATGTCAATAATGAAGAATAGCTAAGATAAAAGTTAAATATGAACTGCTATGATAAAAGCTAAATAAGAACATATACTCTGAACAGCCTAGAAATGAACTTTTCTGCTATGCTATTTATTTATTTATTTATTTATTTATTTATTTATTTATTTATTTGAGACAGGGTCTTACTTTGTCACCCAGGCTTGAGTGCAGTATGATCATAGTTCACTGCAACTTTGAACTCCTGGGCTCAAGTGATCCTTCCACCAAAGCTTCCCAATTAGGTAAGACTACAGGTGTGAGCCACCATGCCCAATTAATTTTTTCTTTTTTGTAGAGACAGGGTCTTACTATGTTGACCAGGGTTTCTTGAGCTTCTGGCCTCAGCAATCCTCCTGCCTCAGCCTCCCAAATTCCTGGGATTACAGGCATGAGCCATCATGCCCTGCTAGAAATAGTGCTATGCTCTTTTAAACAACGTTGATACCAACCATTTGTTGGACACTTACCAAGGTGCAGGGAGTGTGCTGAGTGCTTTTCCTAGATCATGCATTAATTTATTTATCAAATACTTATTGTGCACCTCCTACAGGCCATGCACAGTACATTATCTCATTTATTCTACAACAATCTCATGAAGATATTCATTATTATACACTCATTTAGCAAATGGGGACACTTAGCCTGAGAGGTTAAATAACTTGCCTGAAGGCTCACAGCTAATCAGCAGAGGCATTGGAACCCAAATCCAATTCTGACTGCAAAGCCTGAGCTCTCAATTCCCATAGTGTACCAAAGTCATGAGCTTTGTATATAGTTTAGCTTCTCACACCTTTAACAGAATATAAGTAACCTGAAAGAGAGAAGAGCAAAGATTTATTGAAAACCCACTCCTGTAATTAATAGGCACTTTCTATGGTGTTTTTCCATGTATCATTTCATCCACATCACAGTCCTTTTAAATGAGATTTCATTTTTAAAATCTCATTTAAAAATTTCATTTAAAAGATGGGCTCATAGAGATTAGGCGATTTTTCCAAAGGCACATGGCTAGCAAATGGTGTAGTTAAAACCAAATCCAGGTTTCATTTTCTATTTTCTTTCCTTTGGGCCTTTGCTACTTCCCAAAATGATGAAGGAAAGGACAGTTTTTAAGGAGATATAAACAAGATCACAGCTCTGTACCCAGAGAGGAGCAGATTGCTGAGTGGTATGGGGGCTGTCTACCCTATTCAGACAGCTGCAATGAGAGTCCGAGTCCCATGTGACTGTGTGTATCATGCATCAGGAAGTAACATCTGGACTCTAAAATACTGGGTTGTGTTTCTATATGGAGCTGAAAGACCTACTTTCCTTGAAGGACAAATACTACCCATCTCAGGTAAACTGAGAGTGTCACTAGCCCCCTAGGTACCTTCTAGTATCTTATATAATATGATATTTTTTATCCAGCAATAGAGAGTAGTTGAAGTTCTATGACTGTAAATGAAAGAGCCATGTGTGCATGAGGGCCTTGGCTTGAGTCTGTCTGGCTTAGACACTGCTTCGCCTGCAGGGATGGAGACTTTCCACAGATCCTTTCCAGCTCATTGGTTCTGTGTATCTGAATGTCTGCTTCTGTTTAGAGTGCATCTCTCAAAATTTTCCAACAAATGGCAGGGAGTGACTTCTGGGGGTACAGGGTATGTGTGTGTGAATGTGTGTGTATGTGTATCTGTCCCATTGCACATGTAAAGTTTCTTTGAAGTATCATGCTTCATCTTAAAAATTAAGGCAAATTTGAATTTCACTCCAAAACATTTGTATTTGTTTTAAATTAAGATACTATTAAAATTGTTTAGAAAAGAAAATTGATGAGTATCCGTGGCATCCTGCATTGTTCCTGAAACAACAAGTACTCCAGTGTGAGAAGCACTGGGCTGCATTTTCTTAAAGTTTCTAATTTTGTTGTTTTCACCTTAGCCCATTATTTTTTTCCTGTGTTGTTGTATGACACATTTTCTCTATTTCTTTTTGATCTCATGGCTCAATGGGGGCATTGGATTAAGTGTCAAGGAGAAATTGTAGATTTCACAGCAGTGATGAATAATCAGTTAATCCCTTACTGATGACTTGTGCAGAATACTTCTTAGGCAATTTATGGTATTTCCAGGGAAATAATAACTGTTAACATTTATTGTGCATTTTGTGATTTGCCAAACACTTTGTAGGGTTTTAATCTAATTTTACCCTTATAATAACTCTGTGAGGTAGGAGGTTCTATTATTATCCCTATTTTACAGATGAAGAAAAGGAGATGCAGAGTAATTTGCCCAACTTCACACAACCAGCATAGTAGGACTGGGATTCACACCTGGACAACTTTATTCCAGGACCACCAAGTTGTCTTGCTCCTTTGGGGAATTTACATCCTGTCGACCTGCAGCTGAGAGAACATTCCAAGAATATTCCAGTCCTACTTCACTTAGTGGGTTTATGAGTCACCTCTGCCTGCTGGAGCTTGACATGGGGTCAGAAGTCACAGCAGCATCCATCTGCCACCCACTGTTCTTGATATAGGGGGCATCAATCAAACGGGAGGGGTGAAGAGAGGAGGAGGTTGGGCCACCTCTGCCAGCCTAGGGCTAATAAGGAAGCATAGAGTCATTCTTCTTGAATGATAGACTGCCTCTCCAGCTCTTGGCAGCAGAGGTGGATGCAGAGCAGGCAGGTTTGCAGGCAGCTACGTAGGTGGCATTTGAAGGAGTCCTTTGTGGGTGCAACCACAGGGTGCCTTGGTCCTGTAGGAAGCCTGCATTGTGCCTAAACCTTCACTCCTAAGGTTGTGGTAAGAGTAACAATCCCAGGACTGGCACTGGTAGCTTATGGCACCTGTGCCAGGCTAATTGTCTCTGGCACAGGCACCATCTTTTCTTGGCACACTCCCTCCTAATAACTAGAACAGCTGAGCAGCACAGGACGCTCTGCATCTTGTCTGCCACCCAGCTCACCTGAAGCAAGGGGCTGGAGTCTTGGTGGCCAACACTGGCTGAGGCCATGAGAGTTCCATATCCCAGGACTGTTTCCAGGGGGTAGCTTAGTTGGAGTCAAGAGGCTGCTCTGCACTAAACCGTCACTCCCTGATTCATTCTTGGAGTCAGAAATATGAGATGCTTGCTGACTAAAAAGAGCCACAATGCATCAGATGTTGCTGGAAATACATGTGTGGCCATTATCTCATCATTCCCACTTTGATTAAGAATTTTTAAAAAATTATTGTAATGTAATGTTTTTCTTTCACTGTCTTGTTGGAGTGGGCCTCTCAAGATTAGCTAGGGACTTCATTTTCATAAAGTATGCAGATAATTTGTGTCTGTTTGTGTCTCATTTATATCCCACACAGCAGCCCTTTATCCACACTTAGGTCAGCCCCCTAAACTCACTGCCTCAGCCTTCTCTTTTACTTTCTCTGGAAACTCTCTTTCAATATTTAATTCTATACTCAGGCTATGAAAACTATTGGGTACAGTCATACAGTATAAGCTGTTGCTGGTATACATTTAAGGTGTCCATTCATTTATAAATAAAATTTTATCGAGCTCTTGTCATATGCCAGGCACTGTGCAAGGCACTGCGAATATTGCATGGAACAAAGCACAGAAGGCTGACATCCCCATGGAGCTTGAAGTCAGCCTAGGTGTTCAATAACAGCTGCATTTCCAGCCCACTTGTTACTCTGAGCACACGTTCTTAGTTAAAGCCCACTCCTATATTCCACACTGGCCATTCCAAACCGTCATAATGTTTCTCAAGTCTCTTACCAAATTCTCACCCTAGAGGTGGCCAGTAGAACTTGGCATTCTACTCCACAGGGAATTCTTGGTTTCTGTCCCCTTATGTTCAAACTTATCTCCACCTGTGCCCATCTTCACCTCTTTTTCCCTGATTTAGAGGAACAGGTGCCCTTCCTCGGCTAGGTTTAACTTTTGTTCCTGTGCTCTGGATCCCATGTGATGCATTTTCTCTGAGATTTGTTTCTTCAGTAATTGTGTATTTCCAGTCTCTTCATATGAATCAGCAGAAACCCTCTCTTGTCTAGTCCACCCTAAACCAATTCTTCAAATCCAAGTGCCTCATGGTAGCCCCAACCCTTTTCTTCACATCTAGGGTTCTGGAAAGAGTAATTTTACTTGCTGCCTCCTCTTCCGTAATTTCCATATGCTGTAGAAGTGATTTCTATGTCTAATCCCTCACTCCCTTGACCATGGCCCTACTGAAATTGTTCCGTTAAGATCATCAAACCTCTTAATTGTCAAATCCAGTGATCCAGAGAACACATTTTTACTTGTTGTCTTTCTCAATATTCCTCCTAGGTTTGGCATTGTTGACCACTGTCCTGCTTTTGAAGCCATCACCTCTGGCTTCTGGGACACCATCCTTTTCTGGTTATCTGCCCATCTTTCTGGCACCTCCATGTTGTCTTTCATAGGCTCCTCTTTCTGTGTCCAGTTCTTCTATGTCCACCTCAGAGCTCCTTCCTCAGACTTGTCTTCTAAGCATTTCTTCAGTGATCCTGTCTGTGTCTGTGGCTTCAACCACCACATCTCTCCTCCATGCTTTCTCTTGAGCTCATTACAGTGAACTACTTATTGACCATACTCACCTCTGTGTCCCACAGGCCCCTCACATTCAGCATGTGCAAAACTGAACACATCATCTTCCCCACCAAACTGGCTCCTCTTCTAAGATTATTAGCCAAAATAAAAAAAAAAGGTAGCATTTCATCTCCACAGCCTGAAAACTTGGATCATCCTTGACTTCTCCTTCTCCCTCATCTTCTACAGTCAACAGACCATCAATGCATGTTGATTATATTTTATAAACATATATATATATATTCTATATGTCCCTTCTCCTCCAGTCTCTCCACAGCTGCTCTCGTTCAGGCATTCATCTGTCCTGCTTGATTTATGGAATAGCCTTGAACAGCACACCTACCATTTCCAGTCTCCTGCTTTCCGCTGTGCTTCTTCCATTAGAAAAATCAGTGATATATCCATTAGAATGATGATTACATTGTATTACTATTGCATTGTACTGTGACTCATTGTATTATGATTCAATGTCTACTGCTCTGCTGAATTGAGAGCTTCTTTGGGGCAGGTATTGCATGTTATTTATCTTTGTATCCCCAGTGCATGTGATAATGATGGGCATATAGTAGGTGTTCAATAAACACTTGTTCAGTGTACAAACGACTCAACCTCTATCAAGAAAAGCAGACTGAGCACAGTTAATCAATCTTGGAAGTTTTGAGCACTGTCCCATTTTAGCAGCTTGAATGCCTAATTAGTAACTGATGTGACAATAACACATTTGATGGTTGAACTAACACTATTGATTAAAAATAATGTCAGTTAATTTTGCCTTTTAAAATAATATACATTTATTGTAGAAAAGTTAGAAAATATGGATAAGCAAGAGGAAGAAAATAAAATCATCCACCATTCCATTACCTGGTGGATAACTACTGATAACACGTTGATGTAGATCTTCTCAACTTGTTTTCTAAATTTTTACTTTCAGTAAAGGATTAGGATGAAGCCTGAGGGATGTCTTAAATGCTGAGCTGCCCTTTGCAAGAGTAACCAGTCATTAAATCACAGTGCTCAAGGATTCCTGGCAAACCTGACCTAGATCTAGGTGGGTGTTCACATCCATCAGCACTAATCCGGTGGCTAAACATTAGCAGCATCATTAACAGTGATAATACTTTTGCTAGACAGGTGTCAAACTAGGGTAGTGTCTTAGTCAGTTTGGGTTACTGTAACAGAAAACCATAGACTAGGGCTTAAACAACAGAAATTTATTTCTCACCCTTCTGGAGGCTGGGAAGTCCAAGATCAAGATTCCAGCAGATCTGGTGTCTGGTGAGGGCCACTTCCTGGTTTGCAGATGGCCATCTTTTGGTTGTATTCTTACACACCAGAGAGCAGAGAGAGAGAGGAGAAGCAAACCCTCTTGTGTCTTTTTATAAGGGAACTAATTCCATTGACAAGGCTCCACTCTCATGCCCTAATTACTTCTTGGAGGCCTACCTCCTAATACCATCACATTGGGAGTTAGGTTTTCAACATATGAATTTTGGGAGGAAACAGACATTCAGTTCACAGCAGGCAGTTACTCTTGTTTGAAGCTAGACCCTAGACAGTGCTGTCCGGCATTTGGAAAGGAGGATGGAGACTGGGAAAGGAAATTCACATAAATTAGTAAACTTCTAGGACTCCAATCCTGGTGCATAGTTGGGATGCAGGGCAGGAATCAAGTATGAGGACAGAGCACTTGGGGCAGGATGATGTGAAGACTGTAGCCATTTGGGCATGAGGGAGCCTACTGGATTATCCAAGAACACTGCAGCCAGGACTTGGGGTGGCAAGACTCATTCTGGTCCACCTCCTGGTGGGGATTGAGCTCCTAATGTATTGTCAAACTGGGTCAATTTGGTTTAGAAATCAGGAAGAATTGAGCTGCCAGGTCGAAAGACTTAGTAATTGTAGTTATGTGGGGCTGGGAAGGTAGGAAATGATAAATCCTAAACCCTTTGGAGTGGTGAGATCCCATCACAATCTAGTTAATTTTGTGACCCATATAACTGTTGTATGCCATATGTCTATATAGAATAATTAAAGCTAATTAGAATTAATTTTGGTTGGTGAGTGTTTGAAGAGTTTCATAATAACTCTAGAGATAATTAGAGATACTTTGGGATGTCACAAAATAAGCATTTAGAATAATTTGACTAGATGTTTAAGCCAGGGTTGTGCAATGAAGGCTAGTAACAGAATGACAATTCTATAATTGCAAGAATGCTGAATCAGGAAGTAAGAGTTTGGGGTTCAAATCAGTATGCTGCTAAACAGGTTCTCTGAAATAAACCAGCAACCCACCAACAACCTTGCTTTGTAGCAGTTGCCAATTTCTGTGGTGTAAATACTCCCACCATGGTGGATTTCAAGTTTTCCATGGTTTAACAACCGGCTCACACAATTCCTGAATATTTAATAATCAGCTCTTACTAAACTTGCACTGGTGTGCAAGGCAGCTAGAGCACACCAGTGTAATTTTCACTGAACTTCTAGGTAACTTTGTGATCTTGGGTAAATCATTTCACTTGTTTGGATCTTGGTTTTATCATCAAAAAAGCATAGTTGCTAAAATAACCTCTAAGGTCCTTTTCAAAGTTAACATTCCCATAATGCAGCTGGTGTTACAGGGCAAGACTAATGTCACATTATATGCCAAAAGAGTGACATCAAGAACTTTTGTGAATGTTGTTGTGATATATCAGAACATATAATTTGATATCACGTCAGTGTAATCATCACCCACATTCTGATTCCTGCTGTTAATGTGCATGTTCTTCTCTAGTTCCTCTTCCCAGAAGGATTAAAAACAACAGTGCAGCCATTAGAGAGCCAAACTTCACAGCCCAAGAGTGAGGTAAGAAACCATTAGTGGCTAGGCATGGTGGCTTACGCCTGTAATCCCAGCACTTTGGGAGGCTCAGGCAGGTGGATCACAAGGTCAGGAGTTTGAGACCAGCCTGGCCAACATGATGAAACCCCTTCTTTACTAAAAATACAAAAATTAGCCAGGGGTGGTGGCACGCACCTGTAATCCCAGCTACTCGGGAGGCTGAGGCAGGAGAATTGCTTGAACCTGGGAGGTAGAGGTTGCAGTGAGCTGAGATTGTACCATTAAACTCCATCTCTGGGCGACAGAGAAAGACTCTGTCTTGGAAAAAAAAAAAAAGAAACCATTAGCTACAGTCAGAGAATTCTATGCTCAGTTGCTGGGTTCTAGAGTCAGCTGAGGGGCTGAGAGAAAATCTTGTAGCTTAGGTACATGACCCTATATGACCATGAGACCCAAGAGGGGTGGTTTTCCCTGGACTAGTAAGGACAGACATGAGAGACTAATTTGTGTCTTTTATATTTATGTGTGTCAAATCCTGGCCCTTAATAGGAACACAGTAAGCATTTGTTGAGAGAAAGAATAAACCATTTGGGATTTTTTAAAAGAGCAAATTCAGAATTTTAAAATATTAATTCAGAAGTAGTCATGTGCTTTTCTGCGTTTACCTTAATAATGCAGAAGAAATGTATATTTCAAGTGCGAGAAACTACTTTCTTGTTATAATGGAAAACTTTTTAGTGCCTTCAGTTCAGTACTGGGGATATAAATCTGCCTTCCAGCTAGATGACAGAATTTATTACATAACCAGAACCCAATGGTGAGAAATATACATAAGAAAAACCCACACTGGGCAAACCAGGTGTTTGCTCCCACCAGTGAGCGTGTCCCCTTCCCCATGTGCCTCAACCAGTGGAATTAACTTGTCTCTTTGGGAAGGAAAAGATAATATTGATCTGCAGGGCATACTTACCTATATATCATGTGCTGCTTTACCAACATTTCAGCCCCGTAATGACCCTCATAAGCTAAGCATTGCCATTCCCATTTTAAAGAAAAAGAAACTGAAACTCGGAGAGGTTAAGTAACAGAACCAGCTAGTGGTAGAGCCCCGAGTTAACACCCCAAAGGTGGTGCTTTTCTCGCCAGACCAGGCTGCCTTGGGGCTTCTGGACTTCCTCTTCCTGATGTCTCTCTTCCGTGATTGCTGTGGGAATTTGGATGATTTCTCATGTGAGTGAACCTGGCTCAGCCCATGCTCAGGCAAACAGAAGCGCCAGTCTCTGACAGGGTTCTGAGCAAATTCGTCAAGTCAGGCGGGTCCTGGGCTGCGGTATCTGGGCTGTACTTTGCCCTAATGAATCAGCTCCATGGAGGTTGGGCAGTTGCAAAGGTAACTGACATGATGTAGATCTGAGGGCCTGGGGAGTCTTGGTAGATGTGGCACCTGGACTTTGACAGTCTCCAAGAGGAGAGGAGGCACTCTTGGGCCAGGTCCCTGGAGCAGCGCTGAAGGAAGGTGGGAAGCCATCAGAGCAGGTGTGTGGGAACACTCGCTCCCTTCTTTCCCCTCTTTGAGCTGGACGTGCTGTGCCGTCAGATTAGGAAAGGCAAGATTGCCTTTACTGGGGCTAGGAAAGGTCATCTACATGAATGTGTGAGTCTGATTTGTCATCATAGATGTAATTCCTTCATTTTGAGAATCGAAGGTGTTATTTATTTGGTGTCCTTAATCTGAGGACTGATTTGCTGGAGTTGATGTCTCTTGGCAGCAAAATGATGTGATTTCAGTGGAAAGATTGGGTGTTGCACCTTTGCAGTTGGGAAAGGGCTGCCTAATGAGACTATCTGGGGACAAGGAGAAAGCAGGTTTCTTCTCATTCTGCTTACTTGGTCCAAATGGTTTTGAGTTCCACCAGCCTTCAGAAAAGGCTCATGTGCCCTTCCCTGTGTCTGGGACATTTGGCCTTTCCTGGGATTTGCTGGCAAAGGCTGTCATTGCACCTGGCTTTTTCAAGGGAGTGAGATGATATGGGAAGGAAGCCAGAGGTTCCCCTGAGTTGTGAGTGACCTTGAGGTGGGAGGCCCCCTCCGCACCTTGTTCTTCTTGTGTGTTCTGCCGTCTCATAGCTCTTGGCTCATAGCTGTCGACCTCGGCTCCCTGGTGTTTGAGCAGAGTGACGTCTCAATTTCAACACCCACTCTTTTGACCTTTTGTTCTGATATGAATTTTTATATGAGGCTGGGACCTTCAGTAGTGGAAACAAGTTAACTGATTTGATCAGAATCTTGCAACCTAAAACAGTTCCTAAGGAAGAAAAAAATCGAGGCCGACCTAGCCTGTGGATGCTCCTGACACAAGGAATCCCTGAGCAAGAGTAAGATCTGAGGCGTGCTTTCCTTTTGTGGGTGCAACCCCTGTCCCCCGCTACCCCGTGCAATGGGCAGAGGAACCTGGAAGGTAATCAGTCCTTGGAGCAATTTCCCTTTTTCAGGATTACGTGGGGGAAAATTAGTTTGATGCTAGGGAGACTTTCAGCATTTAAAATCTCCAACCGGGAAGAATCCTGAGATATGGCCTTCTATTTTCTTATGAAAACAATCCCAAATTTGCCTCTTGTTGGCTCCTCTGGAGGAGGAGCAGGTATGACCATATTATATAGGTTCTAGTTCTTTGAGGGGGTTAATGTAAGGATTCAGAAAAGGTGCTTCTTGAAAAGGTCAGTCTAAATTTCTTTTTGTTTAATAAACATCTTCAGCCACTCATACTACCCTAATCTTTATCCTTGATAACACTGCTATTTATTGAGCATTTTAACATGTTAGGTAACATGTTACGCACTTCGCATAGGTTATCTTTAACTCTGTCAATAACCTTGCAAGGTAGTCCTTACAGTCTCCATTTCATGGGTAAGGAAATTGAGGCTTGAAAAAATGAACTAGCTAGTTAAGTGGCAGAGTTAGGATTTGAACTCTGATCTAGCTCTCTGCAAGACCCACTCTGTTTATGATACCACAGGGCCTCCGCTGTAAGTGTTAAATAAACACTTGCTGGGGGAATATGTGAAGAAACATCAACTGGGATTCCTTGATAGCATTTTTAGCTGTACCTATTATTGTTATCTGTCTCCCTTGCCTCCCTCATCTGTCGTTGTTCCACATGTACTTTTTAATTTTTTAAGCAATATTAATATAATTGTCTAGTCTGTTATTTGCTTCATGTATCTGAGATTGTTTCTCAGATTTCTCTGTATCCGTGACCATATGGTTTGTTTTAGATATATTTCGAGGACCATAGCTGCTCTTTTCACAAAACCTAATCAACCACTATGTTTGGATATAGGCTTCAAGTGATGATTTTTTCCTTTTTCTTTTGTCTGCAGGAAGATAAAATAACTGCACAACTTACTCAAAACCCAGGACAAATTCAGAGAGTCAAGGATGGAACTTTGGGCTCCCCAGAGGCTGCCCCAGACACGAGGGAAGGCCACAGCACCCTCAAAGGATCCAGACCGAGGGTTTCGGAGAGATGGACATCATCGGCCTGTCCCTCACTCTTGGCACAATGGAGAGAGGTTTCACCAATGGCAAGACAACCGTGGGAGCCCCCAGCCACAGCAGGAGCCCAGGGCAGACCATCAGCAGCAGCCCCATTATGCATCCAGGCCAGGGGACTGGCATCAGCCTGTGTCTGGAGTTGACTATTACGAAGGTGGTTATCGCAATCAGTTGTATTCAAGGTATGGCTTTAGGGCTTGGAATGAATGCAACTCTCCTAAATGCGTATGAATAGGTTGTTCTTTTCCTTCTTCCTTTTCCTTTTATTTTTCTCCCCCTTTTTTCTTTTTCCTTCTCTACCTTACTACGTGGCTTTAGCTAAATCCTGTCCTCTCCCAAATTTGTTTTTGATGACTGAAGATAGTATTTCTCTCCTGTTTTTCCCCTAGTGGAGCTTCTTAAAGAAGCCATCACAAATGCCACTGGGTATGGGGGCTTGGGGAGGCAGTGTCAAGGGTAGAAAAAGTGGTGAAATTCAAGACAGCAGATGGAACCCTCTTGCTCTGGGATTGCAAAAGTTCATTTATGTAGACTATGGAAAAGCTTTTCTTGGAGATCCCTATAAGGAGTTCCTCGTTGTCATTGGACCACTCTACCTTGGGATTAGCATGACACTACCAGCACCAAGAAGAGTCCTAGTGCCTACGACAGTACCCGGAATGGAACAGGCATACCAATAATCTGTATTGAATGAATGGGAACTTAAAAAAAATTGACCTCAGGGAAAGCAGATAGAAACCTGCAGGCTCCAAGTTCGGAAGGAAGAGGTTGCAGTGAGGTCATTCTATCCAGGTTGGAGAATCTGGAATTCCTGCTTCCCTGGTCTGTAAGCACTGGACTTAATATTTCATGGAATGTTGGAAGCCGTCTATGTTCTACTTCAGCTTTTCCAGTTGGGGTGATATTTACCTGCTTACAGATTCAGGGTTGAAATTATGACAATTATTATAAAGAAATTTATCCCTAAGAAATACTAAAGAATTGCTAATTGGGCCAGGCTCCTGGATCACGCCTGTAATCCCAGCACTTTGGGAGGCCAAGGCAGGCAGATCATCTGAGGTTGGGAGTTCGAGACCAGCCTGGTCAACATGGTGAAACCCCGCCTCTACTAAAAATACAAAACAAAACAAAAAAATTAGCTGGGCGCGGTGGTGCATGCCTGTAATCCCAGCTACCTGGGTAGAGACGGGAGAATCACTTAAACCCGGGAGATGGAGGTTGCAGTGAGCCAAGATCACGCCACTGCACTCCAGCCTGGGTGACAGAGTGAGGCTCTGTCTCAAAAAAAAAAATTATTAATTGATAAAAACATTAATATTATGATGTTCCTCTCCCCAGTCTTTTTGGATTGTTGAATTCTCAAAGAGAGGCGTGTTCAGGACAGAGGCAATAAAAGTAATCAGACTTAACATAGTCCAGTTTGACTTTTAAATCTCAACTCCATCTGGGATAAGCATGGAAATTACGGTGGTGTATTGGAGACTTAACACAGTCATCTCAGGAAGTGGTTTTCTCAGATAATATCAGGATGGAGTTTTCTAAGATAATATGTATGTGTTTGGGGAGTGAGAGTTTTACTACAAAATAAAAGAGTTTTAAATAAAAAAGAGGTTTTTAGAAAAAGAGTTTTAAGTAAAAAAAATTGTACTATAAAAATTCTACTCCTGTTGTGCAACAAAGGCCTGACTCCTGCTTTGATTCTGTTTACAGGATCTAGAATTAACTGTGGCTTTCAAGCAGATTCTAGGCTGGGGTCACAACTCTGTCCTCTGAACCTGTTTAGTTTGTCAAGTTCTTCATTGGTTTCTCTCTTTACTACCCTTGTCCTCAACTGACCAGTCTTCTTTGTGATATTTTAGGCCAGGTTATGAGAATTCATATCAGAGCTATCAGTCTCCCACAATGAGGGAGGAATATGCTTATGGAAGTTATTACTATCATGGACACCCACAGTGGCTGCAGGAAGAAAGAGGTATGGAAAAGTCTCCAAGAAGCCTCTGGGATTTGGGGATGGGGCAGCTGGTCTGAGAGGCAGGGGAGAGACCAAAGGAGCCATGTTCAGACCCTCACCTTGGGCATCCTTTCTTGGCCAGACGAGACCATAGCAGAAACACTCCTCCTAGATGTCCTGAGAAGAGATATAAAGGAGTTGTTTTCCTTTGTATGCATAGATGATGGTACTGTTACTAGCACTATGGGTAGTTTGTACTTCATCCATGTTTTTTCTCCTACTTTGCCTTATAGCCCAGATTATATAGTCTTTGACCAAGTAACAGTGAAGTCAGTTCTTAAGGACATCTGCTGGGCTATAGTAAGAGTGTATCACTTCACCCTGAGGACAGCAGATATGCACCCAAATGAGTGTTCTACCGTATGCTAATAGGTATAGGGTGTGTCTTAATGGCAGCATCTGAACTGCTAGGAAAGATAAATCTGTTTCAACATTGAACACACACACACACACCAATCCCCATCGTTGTGCGGTTGTATAGATCCATGCTAACTAGTTCAGAGGGGACTGAGAGGCGTCCTATGGACTTTCTTTATTAGCTCTCACCTATCTATTTTTTCAATTTGGAAAATATGTTTTTAGATCTACTGTGCTCCAGGAGCTCCTCACAGCTCACTAATATCTTTCTAAGAACTTTCAGAAACAGGAAGTGACCTGTCTTGATTTTGTTTTCTCTGAGGGTGCAGTGCCAAGGCAACGGAGTCCTTATATCTGGCACGAAGATTACCGAGAGCAAAAGTACCTTGATGAACATCATTATGAAAACCAGCACAGTCCATTTGGAACAAATAGTGAGACCCACTTCCAGTAAGTGTGAAAGGAGAGGCCAGTTTGACATGATGTTGTCAAACTCAGACTATGTCGGGCAAATCTTCTGGCGTCTGATGCTGCCATCTCACCTCCAGAAGCCCATGTACCTTTGTTGTAGCCACAGGGATATGGGAATATCCCAGGATGGGCCTGGCCAGCTGTTAATATGGACCCTGGGAAGGGAGGTTCTTATCACTGACAGTCTGTTCCCAAAGCTGGGCGAGTCTGAGTCCTGTGAGGTTCCTTGAGGTCTGTCCTAAAAGAGGACTTTAATTCTGTGTTGGCCTTAGAACAGATATGGCCTAGCAAAAGTTCTCACGATTAGGTCATGAGAACTTACCTGGTGCTGTGGTGCTTTTCCTCAGCCTACGCCTGAGCCCTGAGAATGGGCCATCTCCCTGTGGTAAGACAAGACAGGGAAGAGAGTTTTGCTCAAGCATCTGTCCTGGTGCTTGCAGCTGTGGAATTCACCAACCTAAACACTCTGATGTAAGTCATTCCAGAATGTCAGGCTGTAGAGACCAACCCTTCTCATCAGGGCCTGAGGCCACTTCCAGCCACTGAGCTGTGGAACTCCAGCACTCCTGTTTTTCTGGGATTAGTAGATTGAGGTGGTGAGTAGGAGGAAAATGCTTTCTCCTATGGCACCCAGGCTGACATGGTACCTGCCCACGCTTTGGAGCAGGTCAGCTTCCGGCGGAGAGTGCCTCAGCCTTGCTGGCTTGCCCAGGACCCCGCTCACTGCTCCTGTCATTTTGCTGCAGATCTAACAGTAGGAACCCTTGTAAAGACAGCCCTGCTTCCAACTCTGGACAGGAGTGGCCGGGGGAGCTGTTTCCAGGGAGCCTGCTTGCTGAGGCCCAGAAAAATAAGGTAACCTAAAGTGACGTGGGGGCTGGAGACTGTGGCCATGTGTCGCAGCTGACACTGTCAGCAGTGGCAGAACAGGGCCCTTGGGGATGGATGTCCAGTGGCCAGCCGTCTGGAGGACCCATTCCTCCCCTCTTGGCAGAACCTCCGCCCATGCCTTCCTTTTTTCCCTCCTTACTGCCTCAGTCTTAGGCATCCGAGGCCCTGAACTGAACTCCTTTGCATTTTTATCAAATTGACAGGATCAAGAAATGTCACCTAGCTCACTCCAACATACTGGGAAAGAGAGGACGCTGTCATCAGGTGTTAGGTGTTAGGGACCCCAGGGGACTAGCAATTTGGTTTAATCCAGGAAGTGGGAAATTGCTAGAATCTTTGAATTCAGGTTTGAGAAGCAGGGCTTGAAACCTTTTCTAACTCTTCATTCATCCCTTTCCTCTAAAAATCTTATTGTATGCGCCAGCTGGGCCACAAAATGGAAATCTTTTTTAAAATAAACTTTTTATTTTAGGATAATTTTAGATTTGTGGAAAATTTGCAAATATACTACAGAGATGGGTTCTTTTCTTTTGAGACAGAGTCTCACTCTGTTGCCCAGGCTGAAGTGCAGTGGTGCAATCTCGGCTTACTGCCACCTTCACCTCCTGGGTTCAAGCGAATCTCCTGCCTCAGCCTCCCGAGTAGCTGGGATTACAGGTGCCTGCCACCATGCCCAGCTAATTTTTGTATTTTTAGTAGAGACCGGGTTTCACCATGTTGGCCAGGCTGGTTTTGAACTCCTGACCTTGTGATCCACCCACCTCGGCCTCCCAAAGTGCTGGGATTACAGGCCTGAGCCACCACGCTCGGCCAGAGATGGGGTTGTAATTTTGAAAGTCTTGTATTAATCTTGTCTCCCTTATTAGGTTTGTATGAGGTCAATTTCTTTTGTATACTTAGTGCTTAATAGAGTAGGGCACATATTATTATGACTAATAGTAACAATACAATGACAGCAGCCACATACATATGTACAGCACCTTACACTGTACAAAGAGCTTTACTTTTTATTTTATTTTATTTTTTTGAGACAGAGTCTCACTGTGTTGCCCAGGCTGGAGTGCTGTGGCACAATCTCGGCTCACTGCAACCTCCGCCTCCCTGGTTCAAGTGATCCTCCTGCCTCGGCCTTCCTAGTAGCTGGGACTACAGGTGTGCACCACCATGCCCAGCTAATTTTTGTATTTTTTAGTAGAGATGGGGTTTCACCATGTTGGCCAGGCTGGTCTGGAAATCCTTACCTCAGGTGATCCTCCTGCGTCGGCCTCCCAAAGTGCTGGGATTACAGGTGTGAGCCACTGCGCTTGGCCCAAAGAGCTTTTGAATCCATTATTTTACTTGTATGCACACAAGATGTAAATTCAATGAATTTCTTTATTTATTTATTTAGAGACAGAGTGTTGCTCTGTCACCCAGGCTGGAGTGTAACAGCATGATCATAGCTCACTGCAGCCTTGAACTCCTGGGCTCAGGTGATCCTTCCACCTCAGCCTCCCAAGTAGCTGGGGCTATAGTTGTGCACCACCATGCCCAGCTAAATTTTTTTATGTTTTGTTTTTTTGTAGAGATGGGGTCTTGCTATGTTGCAATTTGGGGTCTCAAATTCGTGGGCTCAAGTGATCCTCCTGCTTTGGCCTCCCAAAGTGCTGGGATTACAGGTGAGAGCCATCATACCTGGCCCCATGAATTTCTTTACACCTGCATCCAAGGGGAAAGCACAGTACCTGGAGCATAATAGGTGCTCATTAAACAGTCAATGAAGGAGGGCCAGGCATGGTGGCTCACGCCTGTAATCCCAGCACTTTGGGAGGCTGAGGTGGGCAGATCATAATGTCAAGAGATTGAGACCATCCTGGCCAACATGGTGAAACCCCATCTCTACTAAAAATACAAAAATCAGCTGGGCGTGGTGGCGTGCCTGTAGTCCTAGCTACTTGGGAGGCTGAGGCAGAAGAATCGCTTGAACCCAGGAGGTGGAGGTTGCAGTGAGCCGAGATCATGCCACTGCACTCCAGCCTGGTGACAGAGTGAGACTCTGTCTCAAAAAAGAAAATTGTTTATGAATGAATACATGAATTGCTTGAAGTATATAGGGCAGATATGATTATATCACAGATGAAAGCACTGAGCTCAGAGAGCCTAAGTCACGTGTCCAGGGGCACAGCAGCTGAGTATAAGGCAAAGCTGAGATTTCAATTCAAGGGCCCCTGACCCCAAGGCCTGCACTCTTTCCATTGGGTCATAATATATCCTTTGGCAAATGCCTATCAACTTGATTATCTCTTTTTATCCTTTCAACACATCCACTTTCACCGTATGTATTTTGTTTCTTTGAAGGAACGCTTGAGAAGACCAGCTCTCTGAAACTTCTTCCTGTGTGTTTTTGTTTTTAACTTTCAGCCATCATTGGCTAGTGAGTCCAACCTTCTCCAGCAGCGTGAGTCTGGTCTCAGCTCCAGCAGCTATGAGCTCAGTCAGTACATCAGAGATGCCCCGGAGCGGGATGATCCCCCAGCTTCAGCAGCTTGGAGTCCAGTTCAGGCTGGTGGGTTCTAAAATGATCAGAAGAGTTGATTGAATCTGATGTGGAAGGGCTGGGTGGCAAGTCTCTGGGAAAGTCAGCCTTACGATGGATCATTGTCCACCTCATTTGCTTATGTAGGTCACCTGGGCAGAGAGGTCAACTTTGGTTCCATTTTCTCTCTTTTTGCTTGTAATAGTAATTGCATCATAGCTGATTCCTGGAAGGGAACACTGCCCCTATCCATTATCAAGTTGGGAAAGGAGGCACTCAGTGGTGCTTTTAAGAAAGGGAAGACCAGAGAGAATTAGGAAAAGCAAAAGCAAGATGCAAAGCTTCATTGCTTTGTCTGGATGTAGGAACTTTGTCATGAGTATAGAGGCCATGAAAGCCAGAGACTCCTTGGCCTCTCAGCATCACTGAGAGTCTGGGCTGAGAGCATTATCATTTGGACTGAATCATCAAGCCCACGCATTGTATTCTGACACCTTCTCAGAGGCTTAAATCTGACTGGAGCAGGGAACATGGGCTTCTTCTAATTACACAACCCACCCAGAATCTTATTTTGGTTCAGGCAGAATTTGGGCAGAAATACATCTGTGGCATATTCCTAAACTAAAGAAAAGTGATGGAAGTAACGCTAACAATGTCCATCTGTGTCTGTTGGTCAGAAGATGTCTCCTCAGCTGGTCCCAAAGCACCCATGAAGTTCTACATCCCTCATGTTCCTGTGAGTTTCGGGCCAGGAGGTCAGCTGGTGCATGTAGGTCCCAGCTCTCCCACTGACGGGCAAGCAGCCCTTGTTGAACTGCACAGCATGGAGGTAAAGAAGACCCAGTGTCCCTGGAATGCTGGCACACTGCTTACCCAACTACTCCTAACATGCTTACCTTGCTTTCCTGTGCCTGAGCCGGGGCATCTCCAGGAATGGGATGCTCTTGCGGGAAACTGGGCCATGTACCCCCTGGATTAGGAGGGTGCAGGAATGGGTGGGGCTCTTCTCTGAAAGAATTGATGCTACAGTTGTGTTTTTCCTGAGATGTCAATGTCTCATCTTTAGCAACAAAATTCACTTTTTTCTTTCTGCTTTCTCCACAAGGCCTTGAGCCATATCCTAGCCCCACGGCCTTGGGGTCTGACACTAGACTTGACTGAAAGGGGCCTAGGGTGGCCACAGTCTTAAACACAAAATCTGATTGTTTTATTCCAGGTTATTCTTAATGATTCCGAAGAGCAAGAGGAGATGAGAAGTTTCTCAGGACCCTTGATTAGGTATAGTGCTGTAAGAGCTGCTGAGTAAGGGCTTTTGAAACCTAGAAAATCTTCCTGCCCAGATCAGCATTTTGGAGATTTGTTCTTGGTTTCCTTGGAAAAAAATATCTGTCCTTGTTGGAGTGGAATTCTCTGTGCTGCAAGATAGAACCAGATGTGGCCTGAGTCATTTTGACAAGCCATTCAATAGTTGAAGGACAGAAAGAAAAATTAGCATGACAGTTTAGAAATCTAAAACCAGTTCCATTATGCAGAGGCTGCATGGTTGGAAGTTTTAGCATTCCGTGTGCTTGATAGATGTTAGTAGAAAAGTGGAGCATCGCCTGGGAAGTCACTGACAAGTGGATCATAGCAGAAACAATTCTTGTAACAGTGGCTTTTTCCTGGAGAGGTAAATAAGATCGGCAGTGTTCAAGTTACAGAACAGTGTGCAAGTGAGCCCTCTGCAGTACTGAACTAGGACTGCTTTTAAATGTCTAGTTATATTTCTGATAAATGTAACTCAGGGCATCTTTGTTGAGGAGAGAGTCCTTGCTGGATGACAGCCCACGTGGGTCTCAGGCTCAGGCGTCTTACTGACTAGGAATACCATGGTGGACAGGTCAGTTAGCCCTCTCTGAACCTTAGTTTTCCCCTTGAGAAATGGTATAACACCTGCTCTCCCTACCCGAGGCTTGTCTATGAGTCTCAAGTCAGATTATGCACATGGAAAGTATCATCACTACTATATAAATGTATTCCTCAAATGGCATTTGACGGTTCCCTCAAGTAAAAATGAGTGTTATCTCTTTCTTACAAACAGGTATACAGATATGGGGCAAAAAAGCGAGTTGGGTATTCAAACACTGGGGTACTAAGCCTAACTTGGCTTTGATGTTATTGGATAATCTTGAGCAAATCATAATGCCAATCATATTGATCACTTAATATATGCCACACAATTTTCTAATTCCTTTTTGTATGGAGGTAGGTCCTTTTACTGTCCCTATTTTAGGGGACAAAGCTGAGGCTCAGAGGAGGTAAGAAACTTGTCTAAACAGAGAAGTGGCAGAGCCAGATTTAGATCCAGGGTTGTCTGACTCCAAAGTCTGCTTTTACTTGCTTTCCTGTGCAGTGACTTCAGGTCTCTGAGCCTCTGTTTCTTCATCTATAAAGGGGGTGCATGAGAGAATCTCTGAAATTTCTTCTTGTTCTATAAGAAAATAACTATCCTATAGCTATAGACTCATTACCTTAGCCCTGGCTTGTCAGATTTCTATCTCAATCACAGCCCAGCCAGCACTTGCACACTTAGGAGGAGCCTGGGGTCCGAAACAGGGAAGTGTCTGCCTGCTCACTCTTTGCTCCCTAAATTTTTTCCATGTAGGGAAGATGTACATAAGGTGGATATTATGACGTTTTGCCAGCAGAAAGCAGCTCAGAGCTGCAAATCTGAGACACTGGGGAGCAGAGACTCAGCTCTACTGTGGCAGCTCTTGGTTCTCCTTTGTCGCCAGAATGGGGTAAGTTCTGTTCTGGTGGGAGAGCAGGTGCAGGCTGAAATTTAAGTCTTCATGGGATAGATAAGATTATGTTTATGACATGATTATGAAAAGCAATATTAAAGAAGCCACAAATTGCCCCAAGGGAAAAAATTGCTCAAATGTCAATGCGAGTTTGCTAACGCAGATCTTCCCTGATGATCTTCTTCCTTGGTCTGGGAAAATTGTACAGTTTCTGGGTTATTGCACCAGCCAGATAATATACCTGTGAAATTGTGAATGTTTCTGGTAAGCTTTATGGCTCCTGACAGGCAGAAAATAACCATGATAGTGATGCTGAAGTCTGAAATATAGCAATCTAACAAAGGACTGCCTTATGTTTGCATAATTGGCTTCCATGTGAAGAAGGCAGGCTCCCTGGTGCCTTCCTTCTCCAGCTGGGGCTGCCAGCCTGAGGACTCATAGGATTCTCCCCAGATGATCCTCTTTGCCTTACAGTCCATGGTGGGGTCTGACATCGCTGAGCTGCTAATGCAAGACTGCAAGAAGCTGGAGAAGTACAAGCGGCAGCCCCCTGTGGCCAACCTCATCAACCTGACCGATGAGGACTGGCCAGTGCTGAGCTCTGGGACCCCGAACCTGCTCACGGGAGAGATCCCCCCCAGTGTGGAGACACCTGCGCAGATCGTGGAGAAATTCACTAGGCTGCTCTACTATGGAAGGAAGAAGGCAAGTATGCCCTTCCCCCATACTTATTTTGAAAAAGCAATCACCATCCCTCTCCACCACTCACCGCTGCTCAAATTATGTGAATAGTATATACTCATTTCAGGGAGGATGCAAGAAGTTCGGAAAGACAGAACAAAGAAAATGAAAACACCCATAGTTCTACCACTAAAAGACAATGAACTATTAAATGAAATAAGCCAGGTACAGAAAAACAAACATCACATGTTCTCACTTATTTGTGGGATCTAAAAATCAAAACAATTGAACTCATGGAGATAGACAGTAGAAGGATGGTTATCAGAGGCTGGGAAGGGCAGTAGGGGAGGGTGGGAGGGAGGGTGGGTGGGTTAATGGGTGCAAAAAAAAGTTAGAATGAATAAGACTTAGTATTTGATAGCACAAAAGGGGAACTATAGTCCATAATAGCTTAATTGTACATTTAAAGATAACTAAAAGAGTATAATTGGGTTGTTTGTAACACAAAGGATAAAGGCTTGAGGGGATGGATGCCCCATTTATCAGGATGTGATTATTATACATTGCATGCCTGTACCAAAATATCTCATATTTTTTACTCCATAAATATATATACCTACTATGTACTCATACAAATTAAAAATAAAAAAGATAATACCTGTTAACATTTTGATACATTTACTTCCAGCATTTTCCCATGCATATATATTAAAAAGAAAATAAAATTGCATATACAGTTGTTTATTTCTCTTTTTAAACTTAAGATGATATGGTAAAATACCCTCATGGCATTATATATACCCCAATAGCGCCATTTAAAAAATAGTTATACAATATTCCATCATATTAATGTATCATATTTTATTTATCTATTCTACTATTATTGAATATTTAGACTATTTATAATTTTGTCAACCACTATAAATTATACCATTTACACATCTTGTTACATAAGTCTTTGCCTGATCTTTTAAATTTTTTAGGGCAGATTCCTAGAAGTGGAATTATTGGGTATATAAAGGGCATGCACTTTTAAAAGGTTCTTTATATATACACCAAATTAATTTCCAGGAAGTTTGTTTACAAATACTCCTGCTGCTATATCTAAGGCTTCCTATCAATATTGAATATAGATGCTCCATGACTTACAATGTTTACATCCCAATAAACCCATCATTAAATAGAAAATATCATAAGTTAAAAATGCATTTGATACACCTAACCCGACATCATAACTTAGCCTAGCCTACCTCAAATGTGCTCAGAATGTTTACCATAACCCACAAAATCATCTAAGCCAGAGTCTGTTTTATAATAAGGTGCTAAATATCTCATATAATTTATTGAATATGCTACTGAAAGTGAAAAACAGAATGGTTGTATGGGCACTTGAATTACAGTTTCTACCGAATGTGTATTGATTTCACAGCATTGTAAAGTCAAAAACTCATAAAGCAGGGACTGTCTGTACTTTAAACAGATGAAGATTGATTTCTAGCTTAATTTTGAAGTTGAGATTATGCTTTACAAAATTCATAAAAATTTAAGTATTTGGATAGATAATTAAAATCAATTTGAATCAATTTAATTCAAAAATTAAAATATAAAAAAGATATACTTGGGAAATGATGCTCCCACCCCCTAGTCACCCAGTTTTCCTCTCAGAAATATCCAGAGAAATTTTATGCATATATTGTTATTTTCTCTTTTCTAAAAAATAGCATGCTGTATACCATTTCTGTACCTTCCCTTTTTGATTTTACAAAATACCTCAGAAAACACTCTATATTAGAGTTGCCGAACTTTTTCTATAATTGGACAGATGTAAAAAATGTAAAATGTAAACATTTTACATTTTGCAAGCCATGGGGTCTCTATTACAACTACTCAGGTCTGCCCTTATAGTGTGAAAGCAGCCACAGAAAATATGTAAATGAATGGAGGTGGCCGTGTTTCAGTAAACTTCATTTTGGATATAGAAATTTGAGTTACCATATAATTATAATGCATAATGAAATTAAAAAAAAATTTTTTCCAATCACTTAAAAAGGTAATAACTATTCTGAGGCTATGGCCAGTACCAAAATAGGCAGTGTGCTGGATTTGGCCTTTAGGCCATATTTTGCTGACCTCTGCTCTATAGCCTATATAAATGCCTTTCTCATTATTTCTTATGTTGGCATAGTTTTCTACTGATAAATTATAATTAATTTAACTAAACCCCCTATAGCTTGACATTAAGAGTACTTCCAATCTTTTGCAATTACAATGTTGCAATGAATAATCACTGTCATTTTGCCCACTGTGAGAGAATATATGTAAGATAAATTTCCAGAGGCAGAAGTGTTGGGTCAAAGGATATAGTTTATGATTTTGATAGATATTGACAAATGGCCTTTTAGAGATTGTGCCAATTCACTCTACCAGCAATGCAAAAGAGTGCCTGTTTTCATACATTCTCACCACAGTGTGTTTCAAACTCTTTGATAGGTGCCAATCTGAGAAGTGAAAAAATGCTGGGCGTGGTGGCTCACGCCTGTAATCCCAGCACTTTGGGAGGTGGGCGGATCACTTGAGGCCAGGAGTTTTGAGACCAGCCTGGGTGACATGGAGAAACCCCGTCTCTACAAAAAATACAAAAATTAGCCAGGCATGATGGCATGGCCTGTAGTCCCAGCTACTTGGGAGGCTGAGGCATGAGAATCACTTAAACCTGGGAAGTGGAGGTTGCAGTGAGCTGAGATCATGCCACTGCACTCCAACCTGGGCAACAGAGAGACACTGTCTCAAAAGAAAAAATTATCAGCTAATTTAAATTTTTTTTGTAGATATGGGGTCTTGCTATGTTGCCAGGGCTGGTCTCAAACTCCTGGGCTCAAGTGATCCTCTCCCTCCACCTCCCAAAGTGTAGGGATTACAGGTGTGAGCCACCGCACCGGGCCTGCATTTCTCTTATTGAAATGAATACATTCAATTCAATTCAATTCAAAATGCATTCAATGAAGTTGAATATTTTTTAATCTGTGAATTTTTTTGTCATTGATTTTCTGCATTTTTCTATTGAGGCTTTGATCCTCACTTATTGATTTGTTGGAGCTCTTTTTGTTTTTAGGGCTTTCTGTGCAAAATTGTAAGTTTCTGGGGGTCATATTTAGAAAGGCTTTTTCTACTTCAAAATTAATTTATAAAAATGAAGTTGAAGTACTTTTGTGATTCATTTTTACATTTAAATATTTAATTTCTTGTTTTTGTATATGACGCTTTTATTTTTTTAATTGACAAAAATTGTATATATTTGTGGTATACGACATGATATATATGTATATATACACACACACTGTGGAATGGCTAAATGGAGCTAGTTAACATATGTGTTACCTCACATATTTATCATGTTTTTTCTAATGAGAACACTTAAAATCTCCTCTCTTAGTGATTTTCAAGTGTACTATACATTGGTATTTACTGTAGTCATGATGTTCAAGTGCTACGAAACTTTTGCTAAAGAGATGAGGCTAACTGGCAACCATGTCTGATGGGAAGATGATGGAATAGCACAGTGGATTTTGATAAAGTGAAGGCTGGTGAAGGTGACATCCTAGAGAAAAATACTGTGCTAGCTACAGTCTGCTTCCTGGCTGTTCACATTCTTATATGAGGCTCTAAGAGTTTTCTGGAAGCCTAGCCTCTGCTGCTCAGGATGCAGCAGCACCTAAGCACAGGAACTTGTGAGTGGAAGGTGGGAAAGGCACTCTTGAATGTGATGTTTTGGTTTTCAGGAAGCCTTGGAGTGGGCCATGAAGAACCACTTGTGGGGCCATGCTTTGTTCCTGTCCAGCAAGATGGACCCACAGACCTACAGCTGGGTCATGAGTGGGTGAGTCAGGACTTAACAAAAGAGGCCAGTGGGGCAGAGAGGCCTCCTCACCAAAGGTGGAGGATGAGGGTGTGGAGAAATGTCAGACGCGCTAAGGAGACTCACACTCCAGGGATCTTTCCATGTTCTCTTTTCTGAGCTGGACATAGCATTTCTCTGTTTTAGACACAGATACATTCTTTCTACCTGCTAAATTGGATAAAAAATTTTAGTACAATTGCCCAGAGTGAGACTTTCCAAAAATTAAGTAGGTTTTTACATTGCAGTAGCCTTCTTTCTTTGGGAGGGGCTGTTCCAGCTAGTTCTGGTAATGAGGGGTAGCGATCACTTCCTTAGAGCCTTGGGACTGTGGGTCTTTGACGTAAGCAGTTGTCTACTGCTTATTCTTGTGATGAGGTTCTGGATACTGAGAGTAGGGTGGGGGTGTGGGGTAGCAGGGTCGTGAGCTGTGGTAGGAAAAGGAGTTTTAGCACTGGCAGTGAGATCCAGAAGTCTGCATTGGCGGCAGTGGGAGGTGTTGAGACTGAAGGGATATGCTTAGTCAGAAATGACGCCAGCACACTGTGATCTGGGTGCCAGCGTGGACCAGGAAAAATGCCCAAACCAGAATGAGCTAGGGATGGAAGCAAGGATCCATAGCCAGGAGTTTGGAATAAGGAGATGAAACAGAGTGAAAGAGAGCCAGGATCAAATGGAGGTGGCGGGTATAGGGGTGCTGGATGGAGAAGGGTTTCTGAATAAGTCCTTCAGGCTCCGCCTAGCATCCACAGGTTGGCAGGGACAAATGTGGTGGGGGTGGTGAGGGACCCTCCTTTAAGGGGCAGACTTGGGTCAGACAGCAAGAAAGATGCTACCTCAAAGTGTTTAGCTTCTAGTGCTGGTTAAAGCTGTGAAGCTATCCTCTCAGCTGAACTAATATTTGAATTGGCCATTAATCCTGTTGAGTAGAGGTTGAATTAGAAGATGACACTTCCACTGGGTGTGGTGGCTCATGCCTGTAATGCCAGCATTTTGGGTGGCTGAGGAGGGTGGATCACCTGAGGTTAAGAGTCCAAGACCAGCTTGGCCAACATGGTGAAACCCCGTCTCTACTAAAAATACAAATATTAGCCAGGTGTGGTGGCTGGCACCTGTAATCCCAGCTACTCTGGAAGCTGAGGCAGGAGAATCGCTTGAACCTGGGAGGTGGAGGTTGCAGTGAGCAGAGATCACATCGTTGCACTCCAGCCTGGGTGACAAGAGCAAAACTCGGTCTCAAAAAAAAAAAAAAAAAAATGACACTTCCATGTTAAGTTCAGTCCGGGGGCCTAATGGCTGCACCACTGGTGGGCCCATTCTGGATGATGGCCTAGTTGAGTCTCATGACGACTCCACCCCTCAGTCTTCCTGGAGACTGGTGACACCACGGTGCACTTTATTATCCTCTGAGACTGGAATGGTGAGGAACACAGAAATTGTATTGTGATACGTGCTCGGAGCTCCTGTGGCAAGGGTGCTGTTAAATAAAGGACGGTGTTCTGAGGATGATTTTCCTTTGGGCTTTGAAAATGAACGTCCCACAGCCCCACATTGTAGCATACATCTCTGCTACAGATTTTTGCCTTGGGCCATTGATTTTTGATGGAGCCCAGTGAATTGTGAAAAATACCTCTCACTGAGTAAGCTTAAATCTCAAATCAGCCGTAGAGCTTATTATATCCTTGTTAAGCATATCCCATGGTTTGTCATCAGCAGGATCATTTCTGGCCCCTGTTCCACGCCTCTTTGGTTACTGAAAATGGCTATTTAGCGCTTGTGAGCAAAAGCACTACAGACCCAGGCTCTTGATGAGCCAGAAAAACGGCACTGAGTGCTGTGGGCTTGGCGTGGAGGAGGGCTGCAGGGAGTGGGAGATCGGGATGGCTGAGAAGGGGGGTGCCGATGGAGAAGAGCTTCCAGATAAACTGCTGTGGCTCTCCAGGGGACCTTTGAGATGTCAGAGGGTCATCTCAGTGATGGAAGAAGGCCCACAGAAATGGTTATTCCAGAGTTAGGCCATCAAGACCAAGGTGCAGAAAATACCCTCAACTATGAGATCTAGCTGGGGTGTGCGGTAGAATGAGGATCCTGCCATCTCTCCCCAGAGGAGGCTGTGACAGAGGCACAGCAGAAAGCAAAGCGATGCTCATGTTCCTAAGGAAGCTGCCAAAATCTAATAGAATTATGCAAGGCCCTGAGCCTTGTGGGCAATGGGTAAAGAGGTTCCCTGGGCTTGGTCCTCGCTGACTATCCTTCTCTCCGCAGCTTCACCAGCACGCTGGCGCTCAATGACCCACTGCAGACCCTCTTCCAGCTCATGTCGGGGAGGATTCCACAGGCAGCCACGGTACCCCTATGACAGGATTCCTTTATCACCCAGGCATCCCAAGGGCTTGAGGGGGCGGGGACTGCTCAGGAGTGCACTGATGGCTTTCAGGAGCAAAAGTGATGATAATATTAATGGTTTGTTAATCACCATGTGCCAGGCCCTGTGCTAAGTGCTTTGATGCATATTATTTGGTTTAATGCATAGAGGTAGGAAACATTCTTTCTGCTTTGCAGATGTGGAAACTGAGCTCCAAAGGTGTAAGATGACCCAAGATCAGAGATAGTGAGTAGTGGGGTCAGGATCTGTCCAGGTCTGTCTGACTCTGAAGACCTTGGCCTTCCCAAAATGTCAAAGCTGCCTGCTCTGCTGTGAATGGCAAGAGGACCTGTGCCTGTTCTGCAGGCTTCCCCTGGCAGGGCTGCCCTTCTTTTCTCTGGAGGAATGTTTCCCACCACTGCACACTGGCACTTCAAAGCTGGACATACTCGATTTCAATCTTCTAGAGTTGATGTGGCTGAGAGTCTGAGGCTAGCTTGATAGTTTTCCCATTATAGGAGACTTGATCTTTTGGCCCCAAAGTATTCCTTCCTTACCTTTGACGTCCAGTCACTTTACTAGATTATGCTCTGGTGTTGACTGTCTGGATCGATTTTTTTCCTTGGGGTATATATAGCATGCCCTTTTAATATGTACATTCATATGTTAGAGTTCAGGGATATTTTCTTGGATTATATCCTTCAATATTTGTTTTGTTCCCATTATTTTGGTTTCCTTTTCAGGAATTCCATGTACACATATTTCATATATATACACGTATGAATTATATCTATAATTTTCTCTTTAATAATTTTTTATTCTCTTTTTTCCTCTCTTGCCCTCCTTTCCTTCCTTCCTTCCTCCCTCCCTCCCTCCTTTACATCCTCCCTCCCTGTCCTCCCTCCCCTCCCCTCCCTCCCTCCCTTCCTTCCTTCTTTCCTTCCCTCCTTCCCTCCCTCCCTCCTTTACATCCTCCTTTTCTTCCTTCCTTCCTTCTTTCCTTCCTTCCTCCTTCCTTCCTTCCCTCCTTTCTTTTTTCCTTCCTCTGTCCTTTACTGTGTTTTCACTGGTGTCTCTTACTTTTGTGCTCTTTTGTTTCTGTCTTTATTTCTTCAATTTCCCCCTACTTTTTTCCTGAGCTCTGAACATTACATTCATTTCCTGTTATCTACCATCTATTTCCTGAGCTCTAGTAACTCAGATTATGCTCTTGCTTCATAGATGCAATTGCTTCATTATTTTACTTAAATTCATGACAAAATGTTTGGTGATAATTTTTCATTTGTTTTGTGGTAACATTTTTGTAGTGAATGTTCTCTCTCCTCTCTATTTTTCATGTTACCTTCCTCTTTCTGTCTTAGGGTGTATTTGTATACATTCTGTGCTTGTTTTCTCATATTACATAACTTTAAAGGAGTTGACTCTTCCCTGGATTTTTATTTCCAGTTATTTATATTAGGTTTGTGCAGAGGATGGGCCAGGCCATATTCCAGGCCATCCGACATTTTCTGCAGGACCCAGTTTTCCATGTGAGCCTGAGTTGCCTTTGCTGCTCTCCAGCCAGTGGGGAGAGCTGTGGGGTCCTCTCCCTCGTGTCCTCTTGGCTTCCCGGGACATGGAGGCACGTCTGTCCAATCTCCATTACTTTTGGTAATGGAGCCTTTTCTCGTATCTTGAGGCTTGGGTTTTTGGTGAACACTAGTTTAAATAAAAATCGACCTCACACTTTTCATTTTTTTTTTTTATCCTTCTTATGGCTTGTGGCTAATTCCAAGAAAAGAGAAATGATTTTCATGCCCCATCATCAAATCAACCGGCTATTTTGTAGCACAGAGTGTGCCTCACAATTCAGTGGAATGGCCTGTGCTCCAGAATGGAATTGCATTATGTCACAAAGTACTAAATGCAGGAAATGATACAATTAGCTATGGTTCATTTTTTTTTTTTGTAATAGTAGAGTTAGCTTAATTTCCCCTATTTTTAGATGAGAAAACGGAGGAGCCAGAGGTGATGTGCCAATGCAGTATTTGATCTTAGGGAGTTTCCCAGCACTTTAGCATCTACTAAAAGGCTGGACTTCAGTTCCATGTGATGAATGGGGTGGTGGAAAAGCATGGCAACAGGACAACACAGACGTGGGTTTCACACAAGTTTAACCTGGACTCTATGTACATCTTTCTGCCAGGGGAACTTGGCTTTGTGTCTTAATTTCACAGAGCCTCAGTTTTTAATCTTTATGGGGATTTTGGTGCCCAGTAGAGTTATTGTGAAAATTAAGGGAGAGAGAACATCTGAACATATCAACCATCATGCTTGGCCCATTTTCGTTAATTAATAAATGTTGGTGCTTTCTCTCTCTCTCTCTCTCTCTACTGTGTCCCCTCCGCCTCTCCATTGATCTGATTTATAGTGATCTTTTCAAATCACCAGCGAGGAGACAGAATAATGACCTCTAAGTTTTTCTTTGTGTGTGTGTGTGTGTGTGTGTGTGTGTGTGTGTGTGTGTGTGTGTTTAGCAAGGGATTTCCTTCCCTTTTGCTGGTTTCTGTAGATCCAGCAAGAAGCAGTTTGGCTTACATGTTAAAATGCAGGTCATAATAGGACTTAGCACATGTGATTATTGGTAGGAGAAATGCTTAGCACAGGATATAGTTCATGGTTCGATGTGACACATGAGAACTGCTATTATTATGATTTATCATCACCATTATTGTTATCATCCTCTTCTCACTGCATTGACCAGATCAACAAGGACTGGGTATAAAATGGAGTTGAATAAAGCATCTTTTATTCCCTGGGATAATTACAAAGACCAAGTAATTATGAATGGTTTTAACTCCAAATCTTAGTTATTATTGGCAATCTTCTGCCCTACCTATCTATATAACAAATTGGAAGGTAGGCGGCTATGCAAATCACCTCTTTCCTCTGCTGAGCTTCCAACTGTGTGTGTGTGTGTGTGTGTGTGTGTGTATTTATACCTACATGTAATTGATTAAGTGCAAACCAAATGTGAAGCACCATGCGATGTGCTTTACACAACTATCTTATTTTATTATCAACAATAACCTGTTAGGTAGAAATTACGATCTCCATTTTAGGGATGAGAAAACAAAGGTTCAGAGACATTAAGAAACTTGCTCAAGGTAGGTAAGCTAGTAAGATGCAGGACTCGAGTTGGGGCCTGTGTTGTTTCCATGACATTATATTGTTTCTTTATTGATATTTTCTGCCTTGAAATTCTCCTTTATTTAGTAGGACAGCCTTAGGGAGAGATTGTGGGGAAAACACCATTGATGCGGGGCTTTGTACATTTCCACCACGCTGCTTACTCTTTTTTGCCCCCTGGTGGAATTCTGCTGCCTCTGCATCGTCCTAGCTGGGCCACTTGGCTTGATTTTCTTATTCTTAAAGTGGCAGTAGGAACTAGACTTCATAGGGTTCCTGTGAAGATTAAGAGGATGTGTGTGAATGGGCTTTGTAGAGCCAGAAAACATAGGCATTTGGTAAGACATTAAGCAGGCCCGTGTTCCCCCGACTTCTGTGACAGGCTGTGGCCTCTTCTACTCATAAGCCAAGGATGTTTGATCTTCCTTCTCCCACTGAAGCCTCAGGGTTTTTCTGAGTTTTGTCTCTAGCTATCTGGGGGTCAGGCACTGGGGAGAAATGTGAAAAATAGTAAGTGAGCAATGTCATTTTATTTATCCATTTTCCAATATCCCTGTGAATGTATGTATGTATGTATGCATGTACACGTATCTGTCTATCTGTGTCCTTCTGACAGTTTTACTTTTTTAAAGATGAGAGCTCTAAATCAATGAATGGCAGCATTGCAGGTGGTAGAGTGGGCATTCTCTGACCACTTCTGAACCAGGAAATAGACAACAGCCTTCTTTATGTACATCTGGCCATTCTTAAATGATTGTACATTTATTTTTTCTGGTGCTTTTCAGTGTTGTGGAGAAAAGCAGTGGGGAGACTGGAGGCCTCACTTGGCTGTGATTCTGTCGAATCAGGCTGGGGACCCAGAGCTGTATCAGCGTGCGATTGTTGCCATTGGGGACACCCTGGGTAAGCGACACCAGCATTTCCCCTCCGCTCCCCTCCCTGTCCCTTCCCTCCCCTCCCCTCCCTGTCCCTTTCCTCACCTCCCCTCCCCGTCCCTCTCCTCACCTCCCCTCCCTCTCCTCACCTCCCCTCCCCGTCCAGGTCAGCTTTAAACATCCTGCCCTTAGATTCTCAGGTTCTAGGTAGGGCCAGAGTCTATGCCCTAGGCTTTTCCTGGACCCAGGAGCCTCCATGTTTTGGGGAAAGAAACTCCAGGGAAACACGTGTCCTTCTTGCCTCTCTGTTTCACAGAATTTCTGCCGTGAGTGAATGCAGGCCAGGCCCCTGAGACTTGGTGTTCTGCTGCTGTAGGAGTCTCCTCTCAGCAGCTGATTTTCTAGCCCTGGGTCAGATTCCCCTGTGGATGGAGTTAACGCATAGGACACCTTGCCTCCTGTTGCTGTAAATTTCTCAGTGACCCAGTTCAATCAGATAGGAAATTCTGTTTTTGCCTGAACCACTCTGGGTTAACCCTGTAGTCTTTCTTGCTATCATCTCTCTGTGAATGTGGCCTTATAAACGCTTAGGGGGCTATTGAGTGTTCCAGATCAGTGGTTCTCAAATTTAGCCAAGAAGCAGAGCATCCAGAAATCATGGTGCTCCCATGAGGCTTTTTAAAATATTGCTCTGTTAAACTTTAATAGCTATGGGTTAGGTTGTGCCAAGTCAGATGGAGGCCATGCAGCACCCTGAGTGGAAGGGAACTAATGTTTGTTGAGCCCTTCTTGGGGGCCAGGCACTGTGCTAGGTATTGTATCTAGCTGAATTAACTCAATTTTGAGGCAGTGGAAAATGTATGGGAGAACATTTCAAAACATGTTGGTAATTAATATGATTTTTATGTTTGACTTCAGCAGGGAAAGCAATGCTGCCTCAGGAAGCCTAGTTTAAGAACGACCACTCTCAGTAGTCTCCTTCTTTGCTCAGGTGCAGGCATTTCAAACTCATTTTTCACCCTGAGGAAAGACTAAAACGTTTAGGGAATTCCTCGTAAAAAGTCCTTTAGGGAGAACGTGAAATTGTGCCTTATTCTGGCTGAAGAGAAATGTAACGTCTGAGGCCAAATGGGCTGTGGGAGGAGGAGTGGGGTTTAGGGGTCTGTGACTCACGCTATGAAAGGCTCATTCATTTAGTCCCATGTGGCTTCTCCCCTCTGACCCCCGAGGCCACTCTTCCATCTGTCTCCCATCCCACCCAGATGATGGCTCCCCATACGGGTGTGCTCCGTGATTGGGTCTTGTTCTCTTCCTCCCGCAGCTGGGAAGGGGCTTGTGGAGGCAGCTCACTTCTGCTATCTCATGGCTCACGTGCCCTTTGGCCACTACACCGTGAAGACAGACCATCTGGTCTTGCTGGGCAGCAGCCACAGGTATGCGACCTGGGAGAAAGGAAACAGTAAGGACATTTTCCAAGGGACTGTTTTAGCCCTTGTTGGGTTTTATGGATCCATTTTTCATTTTCTCATGTGAATTTCAGCTACCGCCGGCTCCCTTATTTGGGATTGTTATCTGTGCAGGTCTGTGCAAGGAGATGCCCCGTGGGCCCCACATTACAGCATTGGCGGGGGCCTCAGGCCACAGGTCCTCCTCTGCAAAGAGGTGGGCTGATGCCTTTGTGTGGTATTGTGCCCTTTGGCCACTGGGTGGCACCCTGGCTCCACAAGCTAACTTTGTTCCTTTAAAAAAACAACATTTTACATGTGGAGGCTTGTGGGTCCGTGTTAGGCAGCCCTGGGCCTGTTCTGAGAGCCTACCCAGGCAAAACTGGAAAATGGAAGAAGTTTATGTTTAGTCCCTCTTTGGGGCCCTAGCATCCCTACAATGACTTGGTGCACAAGCTACTTAGAGTCCCACTGGTGACATTCTCTGTTGGCCATAGCATTAGGCTTTTCCTGCAGGAGGCCCTCAATCAGCTCTCAGTGAATGAATGCATGGACAGAACGATTTGCTCCCTAGAGGCCCTCCCTGTTCTGTATCTCTCTATCCCCCTCCCCATACGTGTTAAGAGTCACTAAGCTCTTACGTTGTGCCAGGCATTTTCTTTGCACTATTTCCTTTAATTATTACACATTTACCCTATGAAGAAGTGAAGTGAAGCAAAGATTTTAATCGTCACTTATGGAGGAGGAAAACCAAGGCACAGGGAGATGAAATAACTTGTCTCAGATGGTACAGTGAGGGTGTGGGTGAGTTGGATTCGGAATCCAGGCAGTCAGCCTGCAAAGCCCTTTTAACTGTTGCACCACACTGCCTACCACTGAGGCAGTGTACCCAGCTCATTGCCTGTTCCTTCCAGGTTCCTGGTCTCTGATAGCACATGGCTAGCTTGTCAAAGAATCCCTTCTGTGCCAAATGTACAATAAGTGTGTATGGGCTAATATGTCTCCCCTCCTATGTTTACGTTGGTTTATGTTGAATGAGGAAATTCTTGGAAATAAAGTCCTACCCCCAGGAATAACCTGGTGATTGTGGTTTTTAAACACCATAGCAAGTTGTTGATGGGAGAAATTTTGGGTCACATGAGACTCTTGTGCCCACCACCTGCCCCAACCAGATCACATTCACTCAGTCCCCATCCTCACTGGTGGAATGAACATCCAATGTATGGACCCGTGTTTGATTTCTGGCTCAGCAGTCCTCACCTGCTCTGCCATGCCTTTTGGTCTCAGTGCTCCCGGAGTGTTACATGGCTCCCCTCTTTTGTGCGAGTTTGCTCAAACTAGGGGTGCCCTTCACAGGTACATGACAGGCTTTATGGGCATGGGGGCCAGCTCTCTGTGTGTCTAAGAGTAGGGCCCAGTGTCCTTCGAGGTAGCCTGCCTTGAGTTACCCTTCAGCAAGAAGGCAGGTGACCCCCCTTTTCTGCAGCCTCCGCCTCCCAGTGCCTCTGGTGCAGAGTTCTGTTTTGTTCCTTCCTCAGCCTCAAGGAGGGAGAGGGAGAGGAAGTGAAACACTCACTCTGGGAGCCCAGAGTCTCCTTCTTCTCTTGAAGCCGCCGCAGGCATCAGCCCAGGATGGAAACTCCCCCATGAAAGGCTGCAGCTGGTGTTTGGAGAGCCACTAGGATTTAACTCCTGCGTCCCCCACACCTCAATCTCTTTTATTGTTATTCTCTGGTTTTAGTCAAGAGTTTTTGAAATTTGCAACAACTGAGGCAATCCAGAGGACGGAAATCTTCGAGTACTGTCAGATGCTGGGCCGCCCCAAATCCTTCATCCCTTCTTTCCAGGTAACTGAGCCCAGATGAGGCCACCACCGTCACTGTCAGGCAGCTGCAGGCAGCTGTATTTGCAGCTTTGCTTTTTGGCACTTAGTACCTGGGGCTAAGTTATCTACTGAACTTTTCCTCATTAGCTTAAGCGTGGGAGGGTGTAGGATTTCTTTTTATGTCCCCTAAAGGTCTGTATTTTATAATATGAAGGCAAAACCTTGCAGAGGCCTCTCTGCTGGAGGCTCCTGCCTCACTGCTGATGTTTGAACGTCCTGCCTGCCGCCCCGGCCTGTGCCTCACTCCTGCTGTCAGCTCCTTCTCCCCATCTCTCCAGACAGCTCTCCCTTTCTTCTGAGCCTCCGCAGCTGTCCTGTGGGAGGGAGTGGGAGCGCAGGCCCAGCCCAGTGTCTGCTCACCCTCCCTCTGCTCCGCACTCCTTCTCCGGCCTCTTTTGAAATCCTCTGTCCTCTACCTCCGCCCTCACCCTTCTTCGTCCCACTCAGAGCATCAGCTGTGTGGGTGGTGTCCATACTGTGGTTTCCGCCCTCTTCTCAACGTTTCTACATGATGCTGTTGTCACCTTACATTCGTAAAGACCAGTGCTGACATCGTGTCCTCCTCCGTCTAAATCCTCTGTGAGCTCTGACGTCCAGCACCATCCCTTCCTCCATGCAGACTACCTGGGCCACACCTACGAGTATGACTGAGATGGCAGCCTTCAGTGGTCTCAGCTGTAAAATGGGATGAGAGTGGTGCCTTGTAATGGAGCTGGCATGAAATCGAGTTAGTTTCCTTAATGCTCGAGAACAGCGCCTGGCACACAGCAACTGCTTTCGGCGTTGACGTCATGGCAGGCACAGTGTGGCTCCCACAGCCGAATCCAGGGCCCCCCACTGACACTGAGCTCACGCTGCCTTGTGTTTTCTTGACTTTTATGCACAGGTATCTTATCTTCCTACCTTAGTTATCTTCTTTAGGTAGAGACATTTTCCAGCGATTCCTTGTTTCTCCTTCAGTGCTTGGTGTCGAGGGTACACACAGCAGCAGCAACAACAACAATTACAACAACATGCACACACAACACAAAGCCTTGAAAGTGAAATCCTGTGTCATAGAGAAATGGCCCAATTAGCTTCTTCTCTTTTTCTTTAAGTTCTGGGATGCATGTGCTGAATGTGCAGGTTTGTTACATAGGTATACATATGCCATGGTGGTTTGCTGCACCTATCAACCTGTCATCTAGGTTTTAAGCCCTGCATGCATTAGGCATTTGTCCTATAGCATCTTCTCTTTTTTAAGGGCTTTGCCAAAGACTCACCTTTTCCAGCAAAACCTTGCCCCATGAGCTCCTCTTTGCAGTTCCTCGACCGGCTCTTTGGTCTCTTTTTCTTTCCTTTCTTTATTCATCCCACCTGTCAGTTATTTTGGTGCTGCTTGGGGCTGATAGTAATGAGATTAGCTTCTGCGTGCCTGGCATTGTGGCATTACTCTTCTTGTGTATTGTTTCGAATCCTGTGAGGTAGGCATGATTAACTTCCTTTTACGAAAGAGAAAACGGAGGCCCGGAAGGGTAACATGCTATCGGCCCTCATCTCTTGCATGCGGTTTGTTCTCAGTACTTTACCTGAATTATCTCATTTAATCTCCATAACAACCAAGGGAGTAGGTAGTAGTAGTATTCCCATGTTGTAGAGAGGAAACCGAGGCACAGAGAGATGAGGTAACTAGCCCAATGTTTCACACCTCGCATGGAGCTTTTATTTGAACTTGGGTCTGTCTGATACCAAAGCCCTCACACTTGATCCTGCCCTGCCACTCATGCTTTCACGAGCGCTTACTTGTTTTTCTCAGTACTCTCCATTAGCTTGACGCCCTTTGCACTAGGGTCTAATTTTGCTTCTTTTTTTTTTTGAGACAGAGTCTCACTCTGTTGCCCAGGCTAGAGGGCAGTGGCATGATCTCGGCTCACTGGAACCTCCGCCTCCTGGGTTCAAGCAATTCTCCTGTCTCAGCCTTCCGAGTAGCTGGGACTACAGGTGCATGCCACCATGCCCAGCTAATTTTTGTATTTTTAGTAGAGACGGAGTTTTGTCATGTTGGCCAGGCTGGTCTCAAACTCCTGACCTCAAGTGATCCACCTGCGTCGGCCTCCCAAGGCATGAGCCAGCACACCTGGGCTATTTTTGCTTCTTTTAATGTCCGTCTTGTGCCTGGTGCTATGCCTCTACATCAGACTCTCTGGATATGTGGGGCTACCCAATAAATAAGGACTCCAGTGCACTTTGCATGGTGACCAGGACCTAGGAAGTTTGAGCGGATGGGACTCCTGTTCTTTTCTCTGTAATGCAGGAACTGCAGGCTGGATTTGGAGTTGTGCCCGTGCATAGATAAAATGCTCCAAATGGCACAAGCCTCTTGGTATTTGGATGCCAGAGTTAGCGGAAACTGACAGCTGACTTCCAAGAAGTCTTATCTATGTTTCTTTCTCCTTCTCTCCCTGCCTGGATGGACTAGTCACTGACTCTTTTCTCTTCACAGGTGTATAAGCTCCTTTATGCTTCCCGTCTGGCAGATTATGGCCTCGTGTCCCAGGCTTTGCATTACTGCGAAGCCATTGGTGCAGCTGTCTTGAGCCAGGGAGAGAGCAGTCACCCTGTGCTATTAGTGGAACTCATCAAGGTGAGCCTCTCAAAGGGTTCTGTGCAGTTGTTTTATCTTCACTATTCAGAGAAAGCCATCGTAGAGCAGCTTAGACTCTACATTTCATCTTCTTTGAACATGCCATAAAATTGGAGCCCACGGCCATCTTTGACCATGTATGCATGCCCAGATGCGATAAGCAGAGGCCCAACACTACACAAAGAAGGATCTTCTCTGGGCGGGTGGTGGTGGGATTGGAGACTGGAAACCATGTGTGTGTTACTCAAGAAATTCATTCTTGCATCTGCTTTTCTGGTACAGTAAAACTACATGCTACGGTGAACCATTCTAATTATAAAAGCTGGGCTTAGAAAATATATTTTAGTGATTAAAAGAGTAAATGATCCTTATTAAAATGCTTTTAAATGCATGGAATATTTTGTCACATGTGAGGTACATTTAAAATAGAAAACAAAAACATATCAACCTTTAGTTCCTAGGAAAGAAAACAACAATCAAGCAAATAGTTGTTTCAATTAATTGAAGAAAAATCCATTAGCTAGAGAGTAAAAAAGCAGCCTACCCTTAAATTTTTGCTTTGCCATAGATGAGGCCCAAGTGCTGGCTTCTTTAACGTATAAAATTTGTGGTGGTGAGCCTCCCCATACCCTGAAGTTTCTGCCAACAGGTTGATGGTTGCAAGGAGCTCAGGGATCCAGAATGAATTATTAGAAAAGTTTCAGTAACTAAAACTTGTTTATGGAATAAATCCTTGAAATACAAAGTAACATTAGCATCACCTGGGAGCTGGTTAAAAGTGCAGACTCTTAGGCCCTGCCCAGACGTATGGAATCAGAATTAGCATTTTAACAAGTTTACAATTAGAATTTTAACAAAATTCCTATGTATACCCTAAGTTTGAGAAACACTGTTACAGAGCAGACAGCTTTGCAGAGAAATGAAGCTGAGTAACTGTTTCTCCTCATATTTTATTTAGAATCTAGCACCCAAGACGGGTTGTTTATTTATGTTGCAATTTTGGGAGGATATCTGCTGAATTTGCTGTTTTTCGATTATTTTTTATAATGTAATTTACAAGTTAGTTAAGGCTCTCTTTCTCCTTTTTCCTTGTTTTCTCTTCCCCGTTGTCTTTCCATTTCTCTTCCCTCTCTCTCCTCTCCTCTCTTACTTTCTGCCCCTAACCCATCTGGAAACCTGGCACAGCTAGCAGAGAAACTGAAGCTGTCAGATCCTCTGGTTTTAGAAAGACGCAGTGGAGACAGGGACCTGGAGCCAGATTGGCTAGCGCAACTTCGGAGGCAGCTGGAGGTGAGTGGGATTGGAGCCAGGGCGTTGGGGGGACTGGCCTTTGTTTCCCTCTTCCCACCCCTAGACATGGAACAGGTAGGCACTGACATTAGCAAGTCCCTGGTCCCCATGCCTCACCCTGGTCTCTCCCATCACCCATGAGGCACAGTTGGTGTCTGCGCAAGGGGTGGGACTCAGCTTCCCTGCCACTGCTTGTCCCCTGTGTGGAAGCGTTTTCCTATGTTCGCATGTGACACGGTGGGGTGCTCTTCCCAGTCACTCTTGCCATCCTTCCCTGAGGCCCCAGAGAATATGTTTCATGACCATCAAAGCTTCCCCATCTCCGCTAGGAACAATGGATCACAGTGGACCAGTGTCACTTTCATGTAATGTGGGGCAATTGCTTAAAAGACTTCCGGGCCTTTTCCTTTTTGTTCTGACAATTGCAAAAGCTGCTGGTTGTAATTGGAACAGTAATTGGAACAGGGCCTCCTCCATTTTCTTTTTCCCATTCTGCTCTGAAGAAAAGACAGGGTGGATTTTTTAAAGCACACACAGCCTCTACCCCTTCTATCTGCTGCACGTGCTGAGGCCTACAGTTTAGTTCTTTCCATGCGCTCCTTCCTTCAGGGGAGGGTGGATGACTCTGGTCTCCAGCCATCTCTGCCTGCTCTGAGCAGAGCTGGGAGCCCTGTCCACGTGACCCCCCAGGCCCCTAAGCATACAAGCATTTCCCTTACCTTGTCTTTCCCACTGGAAGTTTCTTTTTGGCTTAAGTTTTGAATCACTTTGTTTCTCTGTTCTTGTTTTTCCTTTGTGCTGCTTAAAAGGAATTTTACTTTATTTTAAATAGCAAAAGGTAGCAGGAGACATTGGGGATCCTCATCCTACTCGCTCAGATATTTCGGGAGCCGGAGGAACAACAACAGGTACCCAAAATGATGAACTGAGCATATACATAGCTGACGCTCAGGATCTGATTCTACGAGACAAAGTAATTTATGAAAGCACTCGCCCTTTGCTTCCCAGGGTGCCTGCCTTGCCTGTGTAAGTCCGCCCCGTTGTCCAGGCGCCTTCTCCACCCAGCTCCTGCCAGCCTCACACATCCCTAACACTTCTAAGTTCCCTCAGTCTGAGCTTCTGCTTCATGATTCAGGTTTTTAAATATCTGAGTGTTTTTTGTGTTGCACTGTATTGTTAGCCAATTCTTTCTCCTATGTTAATAACTTCTCTCCAGCTGGATACATTTCTTGAGTCCAGAGATTGTGGTTCATCTGTATCTTATGTGAGTGCTGGGGATGTCAGAAGTCCTTAAGAGTTTTGAGCTAGTGATTGCCAGATGATTGTGGAATAAGTATGTTTCAATGTTTTCATGGCATCTCCACTCTTCCCTTGGGATGATTCCCAATGGTGTGTTGGCAGGCACCATATCCCTGGTTAACTGTGTACCCTTTCCCCAAGTTCCCCCTGCAGTAGGGCCGGGAAAGGGCCCCCGTCTCTTCCCAGCCCTGTGTCCTTCCTCAGGCGTGAGCAAAGGGAAGGGTGGGCAGGGCAGGCCTTGGCTTCTGTTTCTCACTGTGTAGCAGGATCTGTAAAGGTGGGGGGTGGAGGAGAGCCCGGCTGGGTGCCTGTGGATTGTGCTTCCCCACAGCCCTGCCTCCTGATGCCTTGGTGCCCAGTGGAGCAGGCGGGTTGGCCACCCATGCCAGTCCTGTGACCAATCTTGTTATAGGTCCACACCTTAGTTTATGTTACCAGTCAGGTCTTTTCCAGGGCAAATGTACTCTGATTCCTTAAGAACAGAGCCATGATTTCTGTGGTCTGATTTGGGTTTTTAGCTGGAAGCTTTCTAAGTTTTAAATACCCATGTCCATCAGGAAGTCCTTAAAGAAGAAATAATTTATCAAAAAATAAAAAGGTGTGGAGTTAGATAGGATGGTAATTTCAGCCCTCCCAACCCACTGGCTAGAGGCTCAGGGATCATACAAGGCAGTGTTAACTTAAAAAAAAAGTCATACAATGTGTACATTTGGAAAGGAGACTTTATTTCTTACAAAGGGTTCCATCCTGCAAGGTGGCCATCCCGCAGGCTGGGAAGTATAGCCAGGCACTTTGAGGGAAGGAGAGGTAAGACAAGAATTTAAGTTGAATGGGTTGATCAAACATACATATTTAACAGGTTATAGGAGGAGCTGTGACTGTTCACAAAGGAGGTCCTCACACATGGATAATGAACTAATGTGCGTGTAACACATGACCCATGTTCACCTTGGGGTGGAGACTTATCCTTTAAGTGTATTACAGTTAGGCCCTATGCGTCAAAAGATCTTTTCGGGACACAGAAGCACTGAAGTGGGGAGCCTCTGTAAACTGGCCAGACCCAGTTCATGGTTGGTGGTCTTCTTATCTGGAGAAAGTTACTGATATCAGTCTTGTCCAATCAAAGCTGTGGTCATGGCTGATGGAACGGAGGCTCATTTAGTCAGCATTTGTGAATGGAATGAGTTGTAATTGTTCTAACATTGCTCATCTTGAGGCCAGTGCTTGTTGAGCTGCCAGAGAAAAAAAACCTTGTGGCCGTGAGAACGCAGTTTTTTCTTAAGGTGTAGGGGTGCGGGACTTAACCATTGCCTGGCAGGGCTTTAGGTTCTGTGTATAGTTTGGTATCTTATGGCCACCAAGAGTCTTTTCTGTTAGTCTTAAGATCTCTGTTTTAACATTAATGCTGGTCAGTTGTGTCTAAACTGCAAAAGAGAGGGGGTATAATGAGGGGTGTCTCACCTCCCATCCTGTCATGGCTGGGAACTCAGTTTTTAAGGTTTTTCTGGGGTCCCCTTGGCCAAAAGGGAGTCTGTTAAGTCAATGGAGGAGCTTAGGATTTTATTTTTAGGGTACACTAGTGAAGAAAAAAACAAACAAACAAAATTCTGTAAACAGCAATGAGGATGTTACAATCACTGTGTTTTACTTGTCATCATGTTACTGGAAGCCGCATTAGACAGCTCGTCCTTGTGACTGCTTTCCAAAGAAGACATAAGCAGGAATGTTTCTGGTGTGATCAGTATGCAAATGCCGCATTTCAGGTCTGACTTCTTTACCTTTGTTCCACGTCCTTAGAAAACACTTTCTACCAGGACTTTTCTGGATGTCAAGGCTACTCTGAAGCCCCTGGGTACCGCTCAGCTCTGTGGCTGACACCTGAGCAGACCTGCCTGCTCCAGCCCAGCCCACAGCAGCCCTTTCCCCTCCAGCCGGGCTCCTACCCAGCAGGAGGGGGTGCAGGGCAGACAGGGACACCGAGGCCTTTTTACTCAGTTCCTGAGACCCATCTACCAGGGACTGGCAGCAGCGTGGCAGTGACAGAGGCCACTGGAGGAACAGTCTGGGAGGAAATGCTGCAGACACACCTGGGCCCTGGTAAGACCTGGCCGCTAGGGTGGCCACATTGAATGTAGGGTCTGGGTGGGGAGGAAGCAGGAAAGGGAGGTGGTGGGACCAGTCAGAGGAGGTAGGGTTGGAGCTGGGAAAGACACAGATGCGTGGATGTGTGCCCGTTACGGAGGGCCTGCTAGTTTTCAGCCACTGTATTGGTGCTTTGCATACATCTGAAGGAGATTGCTATCTTCCAGCCCAGTCCATCTCTCCACTGGGTACAGCAGGGCAAATGGAGCCACTCCTGCCATCCAAATGATTACATAGTTTCTAGGAGAGAGATTACAGGGTGGAAAAATATAGGCCAAGTTCTCTTTCTCCAATCATCCTGCACTCAAGAGCTTACTATCAGGCTCTCCAGCAGAAACCCATGTTTCTGTCTTGGTCCCGAGTTTCTTCAGGCCCATCAGACCTTCGACAACAAGGGCTGAGTATGGGTAAGCAATGCTGAGTGATGCCAGGGAGATGGTGGAAGCCATCTAGAATGATTAGCTCTTAGACCTTCCAGGATTAGGTCCTGTCCAAGATGGAGGCTCAGATGGAGAGGAGTGGTGGAGGATCCCTGTGACCTAGCTTGATGTTGCTCTGATTTCCAAGATTCCTGAAGAGTGGCTTTGGAAGTAGAGGATGAGTTGAACAGCATGTCCTGGGGTGGCTGGGATTGAGATGAGCTACGTGAGCATTCTTTGTATTTGCTGTGATTGGCTTGGGCTTATGGGCTCCGAGCTTCTGCTGCAGTTAAGAAAGCTGATTGTGTCCCAGTTACCCTTCTTCAGGATAGATGGGAAAAGCACAACTTCCAATTGCTATTTCCATTTCTGTTTGTGATGCAGGAGAGAACACAGTGTCTCAAGAAACTTCCCAGCCTCCTGATGGCCAAGAGGTCATTTCCAAACCACAGGTGAGAGCGCACAGCATAAAAGATGCCACTGCCCACTCAAATGCTTCTGGTTTTTACCAGTTGCCTTGGTTTCCCAGCCACATGCAAGCTCCTCCTCAGTGTTGCAGCAGCTTTCTCTTCCACATCTCGCCTTGCCTTTTCCTATTCCAACTCCTGGGAGCTGGGCGGGAGGCTGTGTTCTTGTTTACGCTCAGCCCCACAAACCTGTGTCCATGGGGAGAGAGGGAGCAACTGAGCTGATTCGTTTTGGCCTCTCAGATCTCTGTTACCTCTGACATCTTCTCAGTGCTGCACAAAACGCTTGCCCTACCCTGTCCTGCCATGGAAGACTGTTGATATTTCCTTGTTTTAATTTTTACCTGGCTTTATTTCAAAGAAAGATCTGTGGTAGCTGTGACAGTGCCTGCCTGTCTTTTCTCCTCAGTTAGGCTGTAAGGTCCTCATGTCTGGTGAATCATTCCATCTAGCTCTGATTGGACACACCCCTGCCCTCAGCAATGGGCAGTGTTGGTCCCAAACCTGAGGCGTTCTTCAGCTTCTCCTGGTTGGAGGGTTACATCCTATAACTTTTTAAAGTAGAAAAACAGGGGTACAGGTCTTAACAAACTTTAATGTTTTTCCGTTTTTTTTTTTTTCCTGACTGAAGTGGTACATTATTGTTATAGAAAAATCTAATAGTGAAGTATCATATAAAGAATCAAATATCATTCAATCCAACAGTCAGAATATTTTTCTTTTCTTATACTATTTTTCTATATATACACACATATACTCACATATATGTATATCTGTATATACATTATACACATATACATGTTTTTAAATGGCTAAGAACATATGTATGCAAAGCTTTATTTCATATCTGTTACTTAACACTCTATGAGATTTTTCTATGTCATTCATAAATATGATTTTTAATATTGGCATGACGAAATTGATTTTATGAAAGTAGCGCTATTCATTCATTTATTTGAAATATTCACTGAGTTCCTACAATGTGCCAGACCCTGTCACAGGGGCTGGGGAGGCATCAGCACATCAGACCAAGCCTAACCTCAGGCGCTCAAGTCTAGTGGAAGTGACTAAAAATAGACAACTATACGCGCCAGGCATCTCACTTCAGAGGGGTGGCCAAGGAAGGTGTCTCTGAGGAGGCCTTCAAGTGGAGATCAGGGTGGAGCATGGAAATGAGCCAGGTGAATATCTGGGGGAAAGGTGTTTGAGGCAGAGAAACAGCAGGACTGGAGGCCCTGCAGTGGCTCCCTTGGTGTAGTTAAGGGAGAGCAAGGGAGCCACTGTGCCCTGAGAGTGGGGAGCAGTAGGGAGGAGGGCTGAGAAACAAGGCTGGAGGGCAGCAGAGGTAAACTTATGGGGCCTCCACGACCATGGTAAGGAGCTCGCATTCTGGTGGATCATTCCCATGTTGTCGTTAATCATTGTGAGTGTTGCGTCCTTTCCCCTCCCTCCCTCCATTCCTCCTTCCTTTTCTCACTCATATATAACACACAGTGCTGGTCATCCTAGTATATAAGCCCTTGTCTATGTCTTGAATCATTCACTTAGAAGAAATTCCTAGAAGGAAAGCCAGACAGCCTACTTTTAACCTTTGCTGTGCCATTTATGAGCTGTGTGACCCGACACAGGTTGCTTAACCTTTCTGTGCCTTAGTTTTCTTATATATAAAATGAGATAATAATAGCACCTAGCTCACAGGACTATTGTAAGGATTAAATGAATCACTACATATAAAGCCCTTAAAACAGTGCCCGGCACAAAGTCAACACTATATTCATTTGAATAAAAAATAAAGTTTTTTTCTTTATTTTCCTAAAGTATTTCCAAAGGTTTGTATCAATTGTGCTCTATTGAGAGTAAAAAATGTAAATATAACAGAAGAGGGCAATATGTCATATGACTCCACCTACGTGAGATACATAGAATAGGCAAATTCAGAGACATAAAGTGGAATGGCAGTGACCAGGGCCTGGGGGAAGGGGAGATGGGGAGTTAGGTAATGGGGATGATGAAAAAGTTCTGGAGATGGCTAGTGGTGATGGTTGTACGACACTGTGTGTATACTTACTGCCACTGAATTGTACATTTAAAAATAGTTAAAATGGCAAGCTTTATCCTGTATCTATCTTACCACAAAAAAAAAAAAAGTTAATGTAAAGGGATGTGGGTGTATTTTACCCCCCTTTGGTGCATATGTTCACAGTTGAGCTTGAGCAAGTCTGTTAGGAAATGAGCTCTAAGATGAGTTATGTTTGGTGGTTGCTACATTCTCTGTTTTTTTTTTTTTGGGGGGAGCTTGTGGGCCTCTGTGGGTTGTTTTCTGGCCCTCTTCATCTCCAGCAGTAGCAGTCCATACCCCCTACTCCAGGCCTTGGCATAGTTCTGAAAACTGTCTGTTTCTGGAGAGGTGGCACACCAGACAAAGGTCTGTAGAATTAGGGATAACATGGGCTTGGGCTCTGTCCTTATCCTGCGACCTTCAGTGAGTCATTTTTCATGGCTGAGCCTTCCTTCCTCTTCAGTACAATATGATCCTGAGACAACAGTCCCACTGCCTTCTGAGCAGGTCAGGTGAGGGAGTATGTGCAAATGTGTTTGGTAACCTGTCAAGTGCCATGCAAATGTGAGTTATTTCTTTAATTCCAGACACCATTGGCTGCTAGACCACGAAGTATTTCTGAGAGTTCCGCCAGTTCAGCCAAGGAGGATGAGAAGGAGTCCTCTGATGAGGCTGATAAAAACTCTCCCCGAAATACTGCCCAGAGAGGCAAGCTCGGAGATGGGAAGGAGCATACAAAGGTGGAGGGACTTGTTCTTCTCTCCCCTGCCTTCCTTCCCCTGCCATTCCCTTCCTCGAGGGTGGTGCAGACTTGGAAGTCTGGGCTCTGATGGTTACATGGGGGCGGGTTAACCTCATAGTTGGGGAAGAAGCCAACCTGCAGGTCATAAAATGTCCTCTTCCCCTTCCAGAGCTCAGGGTTTGGCTGGTTCAGCTGGTTTCGATCGAAGCCCACCAAGAACGCATCCCCCGCTGGAGACGAGGACTCCTCAGACAGCCCTGACTCTGAGGTAGGCTCTGTGGGAGGGGGAGGATGCCCCTCTCTGTGGGTCTTTCAGAGGGAGCTGCCTCAGCACCTAGGAGCTCTCAGAGCTGGCACCTGAGTCTACCCCAGGCCACATGAGACAGAGGTTTTGTGATGGGATATGGTGGGAAATGAATGGGTCCTGTGAGGGCAAAGGCAGATTAAAAAAGCTTTAAAAAGTTTGGATGAAGAAATGTAACTTTAGAGGGTCAGCAGTAGGGAGCTAGTGTGGATTGTTGAGCAGAAGAGTGGGATGAGGAGGGGGGTTTTGGGGAGTGCCCAGCAGCAGTTTGTGGCAAGGCCGCCATCGTGAGTGTGGGAACACAAATTGGCGGGCATCAATTTGTTAACTGCCAATGTTGCCAATGCTGCCTTTCTTTCTCCACAAAGCAGGAGACCCCCAGAGCATCTTCTCCCCACCAGGCTGGCCTGGGCCTCTCACTGACACCTTCCCCTGAGTCCCCACCTCTGCCGGATGTTAGTGCCTTCTCCAGGGGCAGAGGTACCGTCACCTCACGTCCTCTGGGCCATGGGTGGTCCCCTCAGCACTCCCAAGGGTTGGGGTGCCTTCTGGGAGTGGGGACCCCCAGTCCTGAGCAGAGGAAACAGCTCTGCCTCATTACTTTCCAGGTGGGGGTGAAGGCCGAGGATCCGCATCCAGCGGGGGAGCAGCTGCGGGCGCTGGGGTTGGAGGCTTGTCTGGACCAGAGGTAAGCGGCCCCCCTGGGCTGGAGCCTCGGACCCCAGCAGATGCCTGTGTGTGAGGACTGAACCTTCAGTGTGGGCAGTGCTGACTCCTGGCGAACCTGAAGAATGCTTCTCTGCTGTGTTAGTTTGCTCAGGCTGTCATAACAAAGTACCACAGAACAGAGGCTCAGACCACAGAAACCGAATTTCTCACAGTTCTCCAGGCTGAAAGCTGAGGTCCAGGTTTCAGCAGGGTTGTGTCTTTTGAGACCTCTTTCCTTGGCTTGTGCCCGGCCATCTTCTTTCCACGTCTTCACATGGCCTTTCCTCTGAGCGTGTCTGTGTTCAGATTTCTTCCTCTTATAGGGACATCAGTCATACTGGAATGGGCTACCAATATGACCTCCATTTATGTTAATTGCCTCTTTAAAGACCCCATCTCCAAATGTTGTATTTTTATGTTTCTCCAAACATATGTTTTCTGAGGTACTGGGGGTTAGGGCTTCAACACGTGATTTTTTTTTTTTCTGGGAACACAGTTCAACCTATAACAGCTTCCTCGGGGGAAGCCTGGGGACTTGCCTTTTTCCCTGTCCCAGGAGGAGGTGGAGTTCACTGGAGACCTTGGCCAGGGCTGTGACAAATTCTTGATGAGTTGTCCACATCAGTATGGATTTCATATCTATTGCTAGGAAAACATTTTTATTTCTTTAAGTCTGGTTAGATAACTCTTGTAGAGTTTTAGGCCTTTTGAAGGCTATATTACTTTTTATGATGGTATCAATATAATTTATTGAGGCTTTTTCTTCTTGTCAGTATTGCCACTCCAGACCCAGGGGTTGGTTGTTTCCACTTGAACCATGTTTGCTTGCTTGAGATTCCCTGAGTTCTATTAAGAAACCCTTCTGATATGGTTCTCTTTGAAAACATTTCAGTAGCTTTTGGGGCACAAGTGGTTTTTGGTTAATAGATGAATTATATAGTGGTGAATTCTGACATTTTAGTGCACCCACCAGCCAAGTAGTGTTGGCGTGGATGTGGGTTGTACCTAATATGTAGTTTTTTTTATCCCTGACCCTCCTCCCACCCTTCCTCTTCTGAATCTCTAAAGTCCATTATGTCACTCTGTGTGTCTTCACATACTCATAGCTCCCCACTTATAAGTGAGAACATATGGTTTTCGGTTTTCCACTCCTGTGTACTTCACTTAGAATAATGGACTCCGGCTTCATCCAAGTTGCTGCAAAAGACATTATTTTGTTCATTTTAATGGCTGAGTGTATTCCATCGTATACGTATACCGCATTTTCTTTATGTACTCATTAGTCGATGGGCACTTAGGTTGGTTCCACGTTTTGCAATTGTGAATTGTGCTGCTATAAACATACTTGTGCAAGTGTATTTTTCAAGTAATGACTTCTTTCCTTTTGGGCCGATACCCAGTAGTGGGATTGCTGGATCAAATGGTAGTTCTACTTTTAGCTCTTTAAGGAATCTTCATACTGTTTTTCATAGAGGTTGTACTAATTTACATTCCCACCAGCGGTGTATAAGTGTCCCCTTTTGCCAACATCTATTATTTTTTGACATTTTAGTTATGGTCATTTTTGCAGGAGTAAGATGGTATCTCATTGTGGCTTTAATTTGCATTTCCCTGATGATTATTGATGTTGAACATTTTTTTCATTTGTTTATTGGCCATTTCTTCTTTTGAGAAATGCATATTCATGTCCTTTGGAGAGTCGATAAGGAACTTAAAGAAATCACTGAGAAAAAAACAAATAATCCTGATATGCTTCTTGAAGGCCTCGACATTCTGGAATCTGGGAGGCAGGCACTGATGGGATTTTCCATGCTTTTCCATCACAGAGTGTTTCCTTTGAGCTCTGCTCCAACCCTGGTGTTCTTCTTCCTCCACCTGCCTTAAAAGGGGCTGTTCCTCTTTACAACCCATCTCAGGTGCCTCAGGTAAGGAAGCCCTCAGGGGGAGGGGCTGGCCAGGAGTACAGGTTTTGGATTAAGGAGACCTAGGTTTATCATCCCAGTTTACCATTTATGATATGTGAGTTCTTGAGCAATTATTTAGCCTCTCCAAGTCTCAGTTTCTGCATCTGTAAAGTGGGATTAGTAGTAGCTAGCTCAGAGATATGTATATGAAGGGCCTGGAACCCAGAAAATGGTCAATAAATGTAGTTACTATTAATATCATGTTTAAATTTTAATAGCTCTTGAGATGTGGGAGACACAGTTGGTGTTGGTATCAGTAGTGTGGGTGCAGTGTCACTCTGTCCTGGGGATGAAGGGATCATTGGAAACTTTGAGAGAAGCTAAGTTCCCTGTTCCTCAGCAATCTGGGTAGACTTAGCTCTGCTAATGTCTCATTTGGCCTCCTCTCTTTATAAAAATCAAATTTCTTTTACCACAGTTAGGTGAAGGGTTGGGTGGAGGTACGCAATTAGAACACAACCTTGGGAAATGTTCTACACAGAGGCTCAGGGTGCCCTAGCTCCATCTGTCCAATCAACCCCGGGCAGAGTCATGTTTGGGGCTGTACTCAGTGTAATATTTGTTCTTCTTTTCCAGCTGCCCACGGCCACTAGCCTGAATCGGCCAAATCGCCTAGCTCAGCGTCGCTATCCCACCCAGCCATGCTGAGAATAAACACACGTCCCAGGCTCATCTCCCAGGACTGAAACTTTCTTGCTCTCTTTTTCTCAATCTCCCAGCCCCTCTCTACCATATTGGGACCCTCAAGAGGTTTGTGCTAGCCCGATGCCTCCACCGGGCACTTAGAAGGCAAGAGGACAGGATCTCTCAAGACACAGCACAATTCAGTCTCTTAAGATTAGCTTCACAATGATGGAAATTATTTCATCAGGTGGAAAGTCTGGGTCTAATAGCAGACTGCACATGAGCAGAGTGACATGGTGGTGGCACTTATGGTGGTGGCTTGAGAGCCTTGGGGAAATTAGGGCCCTAACAGCTAGAATCAAAGATGATACCGCAGGGCCCTGTAGCAAGAAATGGGAAGCAGGGGGAGGGGCAGGGGCTCAGAACAATATTCTAGACCAACTTTGACTACTTCCTGTCTTAGTAATAGACCAATACATGGCTCTATTTAGCAAAGTTTTTATACTGAAACTTGATTATTGCTGCCCTTTATAATTTCCTCTTCAATGATATTTCAGCAGTTTCCCTCTTGGTCCTAGTTTTGTGCACATTTTTTTGAATGTGGTTCAGATTAATTATATTTCTCTCACTTTCTTAGCTGGTCCTATTTTTTCACATTCTGGCATGTGGCTATCAAGTTAGATTGCTGTAGGCATCATATTGTCATGGTAACTACTGAACCTAATGATGCAGATGGATGGCACATCAGTATAATAAATGATGGAAAACGGTTCCTAAAAATTCATCCCTTTCATAAGAGGGGAAGAATGAGTGCCTGATATTGTTAATACCTCCCTTTCTACCTCAGGCCTTTGCAAATTGATGTTCAGAGGGTCACTGGAGTGAGAGGGAGGAGGGGGGCGTCTTGGAAATTTCCATTTCTCTTTTCAAACCCAAAATAGGAATGACTCTTGCTGTTTGTCAGATTTGCTGAAAATTGCTCCTCACAAAGAACATTTTTTTTTGTACATGTAATTGTAAATACAGGTTTAGTACGTTAATGTTCTATAGTTCTGATATTGATAATAATTAAACCCAGATAATTTTATAGCAAATGCTTGTCTCTGGCTGATTTTTACAGAGGAAGAAAGTACATTGGTGGTCTCTTCCCTGAAGTCTTTCTAATAATGGTTTTATTGTGTGATCAAGTGTGAATAGCTGGAAAGAGCCCTTTGTTAATGAGGAATCTAGGGACAGATCCTCTTAACTTCTAAGTCTACTCTAATTTTATTATTTTTCCAATTTAAAAAATATGAACAAAAAGCTCCTCTGATGCAAGTCAGTCACTTTACTAACTGAACTAAGTGTTGTATATTTTGTTCCATAAAAAGTTGTTTTTAACCTCTTAGATTAAATTAGAAAATGTATGCATAAATGTTTTGCACCTGGAAGGCCCTCAGTAAATGCTGTTCCGCTTTTTTCCTTAAAAGGCTGCTGCTCCTTCAATTTGGTATGCTGACATCCAGTGGTGGTGCTGTGGCATTAGTGTGTGAGTTTCACAGGAGCCACACTGCTTAGTCTTGCATCCTGGCTCATCCGTAGCTCACCCTGTAACTTTGGGCAAGGTTACCTCACTGTCTTGTATTTCAGTTTTCTCATCTATAAAATTAAGATGATAATAATCATAGTACCTGCCCTACAGGGACATTGCAAAAATTAAATGAGTTAGGCCCTTAGAAATGGGCCTGGTATATGCTAGGTACAGTTGGCCCTTGAACAAAATGAGTTTGAACTGTGTGGGTCCACTTATACTTGGATTTTATTCTGCCTCTGCCTGTCCAAGACAGTAAGACCAACCCCTCTTCTTCCTCCTCCGCAGCCTACTGAATGTGAAGACTATGAAGATGAAGACCTTTATGATGATCCACTTTCACTTAATGAAGGGTCAATATATTTTCTCTTTCTTATGATTTTCTTAATCATGTTTTTTCTCTAGCTTACTTTAAGAATACAGTGTATAATACATATAACATATACAATATGTGTTAATTGACTGTTTATATTATCAATAAGGCTTCCAGTCAACAGTGGGCTATCAGCAGCTGAGTTTTTGGGGAGTCAAAAATCATATGTGGATTTTTGACTTTGCAGGGCTCAGTGCCCATCATGTCCACATTGTTCAAAGCTCAACTGTACTTTATTACAGTGTCTTTTATTGTTAATTTGCAATCTAATAAGATCTGGACTGTTTTTTTTGGGCCTACCAGATCTGACTATAGATTTTTTGTTCTTGATACCTGTATAGGACAGGAATGATGATTAAAACATACTTCTCAATATGTGTCATTGCCAAGTCAGTTTCTCTTCCTGCATCCCTTCTAACACCAACATTAGGCCATGAGGCTTTGTGCCCATGGGAGCAATGGCGTAGGGGAGGTCCTGTCCAAGAAATAAAGCACTTTAGGGGAGGAGATTGCAGACCAAAGAGGAAGGCACAGATGTCGGATGCCTGTGTCCTCATGTCCTCCTCCCGTTAAGAGAATTCATGGAATACCAGTGGCTACTGTCATGCTCAACAAAGCAAGCACTGAGTTTAGTTACCTCCCAGGCCAAAGGAATACAGAGCAATGAATATACTTTCTGAAGAGGAAGAGTCAGGGGTTTCTGTGCACTAGGAAGGGAGGAGGTTCTTGGTGTTTATGGTGATTCATAATTGAAAGATTTTACTCTGGCAAAGTCCGAATGTGTCGTTAATCTGTGTATGCTTGGTTAAAACAAGCCCAGTTGCTCATTGGTTAGGAATGTTAGGTCCAGTAAGGGTCTGAGGAACTGGGGTCACTCCCAGTTCTTAGTTGCCCATCTGTGTTCTTTGGGTAGTGGTGGTGGTATTGCTAAAGGTCATGGTTATTTTACAACTTCAACTGGTTAAAATCTGTTGTAGTGAAACAAAGCAAGTGCAGCTGTCAGAAGAAAATATTGTTTTCTCCTTTGATAAGGTGGAGGCTTGGGAAGGAGGCTTGGGAAATAGAGCAGGTTGTGACAGATATACACTGCTATGAAAGGGAGCATACTGGGCTAGTGGCCCTTTCCTCTAGCTCCCCTGGTAATCTTGGGAAGGGAGGCTGCAAGACTTGAGGAGAAGCTGGCTTTGGCTTGGCAGTGTGTCCAATGTGTCTGGGGAGCCATAGCAGCTTGGCTTTGGGGATCTGAGGCAGAGCTCCGAGCTCCCTGAAGCCTGCTGTAGTGTAGACTCTAGCAGAGAATAATTGCATAATGACCCCAAAGGCCAGATGGGACAAGTAGTATCCCAAAAGGCAAAAGGTCAGGAGTGGGCCAGACCAGCCACCAGCAATGAATAGGCCACACTGTGAAGGTCATAGCCCTCTTTTCCATCACCATGAGCTGTTTGGGGAGAGAGAATGAACAGAATTCTCTTTCTCTCTCAAAAAATGAAAGATCAAAAGACATGGTATGAAAGGGAAGAGCCTGAGATAATATTAATTGGCAAGTTTGTTTTTTCACCTGCTTCTTAACAGGATCCAAGCTTGGAGGAAAAATAGATCAGTCATAGGAAATGAGCCACACTTTCCTTGAAAAGCTGAGTAGTAGTGTGCAAATTTATGATTCTGCTATATACATATAATTCAATATTTATATGAAAACATTTAAACTTAATGTTCTATAATTTGAAAGTGAACAAACCACTAAATTCCATTTCAGGGTCTTTATCACATGTTACCATTCCAGCCCTCTGTCTAATCCCCTCATGTGGCTATAGAGCTGTAAATGAGCCGTGAGTCCTCAGTGACCTGTGTGTCCTCTCTGTTCAGCCCTCTCGCAGGCTTCAGGTTGCTCAGGATCAAAGCCTCTGCTAGCTTTGTTTTCCCCTAGAAAGTCTCTTTCTTTTTGGTCTCTTCCTCTGAGTAACCAAGAAGAGGAGCAAGAGACTGCATCTACTTCTTCACTAAAATCAGAAGATTTTCTACCCAAGAGGGAATGTGCAAAACCCTCTTTCTTCTTGAAAAGAATAATAGGTGTGTAATTTGGGTCTCTCCAATCACATGAGTTTCTCTCTCACTTTTTCCCCCAAAGAGTGGAATGGAAGTGACTTTTTCCCTCTTCTGTTTGCTGTCTTAAGCTGAAAATTGCATGAAGCATGATCTGCAAGCAACAGAATGTTAGGTACTTAACTGAGGTTGTCCCTAAATGTGGCCTCAACAACGGCCTGTTTTCATTTCGTTAATTGGCCATACTTATACCAGGCATCATTCATTCGGGTCCTTTAGAAATGGTTTCTTAATGAGATTTAAAGTTATTCTGAACAAGGATTAACAGCATATGAAAATGTTTTCTTTACAATCGCACTAGGTAGAGGAATCTTGTTCCCATACTTTCTTTCTTTTTGTATATTCCTGTTTCCAGATAATCAGGGTCAACAGCAGTTTAACTCAAACTCAACTGACCTTTGCAAACTGCTTGTTATTTTACTGTGAGATGTTTTCCTGGCCCTTACCTACCTTAGAGAGAGCCAGTTAACCTACCCAATTTTTAAAGAATTCTCAATAGAGCAGGATTCCATGGCTTCCTTTGAGGTTTCAGCCTGTGGTTCCTCAAACGTTAGGAAGCTATTTCTAATACTTTATACTCCAATCACTCATGTGGCTCTTTAAGACTCTTAGCTGGTCCTCAGCAGAGATGGAAAACAGCTGCTCCCCACCACCTGTGCCTGGGAACTCGTTCACATTTTGGAAGGCCATTGAATCATGCCTCAGCTTATGAAATGAAGTCTTACAAAATGGGGTTTTAGGAGATTAAACCAGATAAATGCTTGGAGTCTTTTGGTAGCTACAGTGGTCAGACATCCTGAATTTCAATAATAATAGTGTAACATTTATTGAGTATTTTGTGTCAGACACATGCATTCTATGTATGTATACTTTCTATGCAGTATATAGTATTGTGATTTCAACATATATTAGGAATAAAAAACTGAATAGAGAGGTGAGGTAACTTGTCCAAACATACACAGCTAGTAAGGATGGAGCTGGAATTAGAATCCAGGTAGTCTGATCTCAGAATCTGGGCCCTTAGCCACATTATCCCTGGGCATGTGTACATTTGTTCACTGATTTATCAAATATTAATTGAATGGCACGTCAGGCATTGCTGTTTTCCCAACAAAAATGGTTCCGACACTTAAAATACTTACAGTCTAGTGGGAGAGACAGACATGTAAACATAGAAATTTCTGCATAATGTGAGAACTGTTCTAAATATATGTACAAATAACTTTGTAGCTTCAATCCCTTAATAATATAGGAATTTCACATATTTAATTTTGAGGGAAGTATATAATATGTTCAAATTATATCATCCCTATAGGCTAAGATGAAAGTGAAGTTCACTGCTAGCTGTGTAGAGTAGCATACCTGTTGGCCAAGTTTAAAGTGGCCTTAAGATGTGGTGGATGCAGACAAAGTCTGGATAAACAAGGGTAATAGTGTACTGTGATCACAAATACCACCATGATCTATGAAAGGACGATGATCTGATTTAGACTTGCCAAATTGCCGTTGCAGAAATTCTTCCTGCTTCTCCATGCTCTTGATTTGGAGGCAGGAAAGGACTGTGAATGTTGCAATGGAATGCGTTTGAAGGCAAGGGCCCCAGGTGAGGAGTGTATATGGTTTTGTGTGTTGCACATATGTGGGTGCCATCCCATGAAGCTCATTTTGGAATGTCTCTTTTCCCCAGTCTCCACTCCTAGCCTCTTTCACTTCCCCTTCCTCGCAATTACTCTTTATTGCCAAGAGAAGATTACGCAGAAGACAGCCTCTCCATGAAGCATCTTCCAAGTGGCTGATACTACGAAGACTCCATAAAGTCCCACTTACCAGCACAGGATGGAACAGATCCTATGTCAATACATCCAGACTTTTGGCTAGAAAATTTTAGCTAATTTTTGTGTTTCCCCAAACTGGTTCTTAGAAATCCAAGGCCTTGACTTTTAAAACTTGTCTCTGAGTTTTAAGGGCTCATTTTGGAATGTAAAAGATAATCACTGTTTTTCATTGTTTTGGTGTTCTACAATCATGATTTGGGATCATGAGAAAACCTCATTGTCCTGGAGTGAAAATAATTTGAGTTTTGTGCTTCAAGATTTCATTCCACTTCTTTGAGTATTTGGATAAATGCCCATGAATTAAGTAAGAACCAATGAGAGCCTTAGAGTCATGATTTCTTTATTTAATTTTTCAGCTGCTTCTCTTTGCAAACAACAACAACAAACCAACCCCAAGCCCACAGATGGCGTTAGTCATCCTAATAATACACATCAATTAAAACTGTGAGTCGGGATCCAGCCTCATTTGCTTTGAGCAACAGGTATATTACTGACGAGTTGCAGATACATTGACATTTTCTAAATCAAATTAATTTTTAAAGGCACTGGAGTAGCTTGCAATTTAAAGGTAATTGTTATTAACCCCCTGAAATAAAGAGTTATTTGTAAAGAAAACAATCGTTCCCAATTTCTCACTTTGTAGATGCTGACTTTGTAGTCTTGGGGGAAGATACTGTAGTAAGAAGGAGAAGACTTTCAGTTCCAGGCTCACATTTTCTGCTAGCTAGATGGTTGGCTTTAAGTATGTCAATTGAATCTCTCAGTGCCCCCAAACATCTCAGCTAAAATCTTGGGACTTGCTGAATCAACAAACATTTATTTAGGACCTTCTATGGGATACAGAGGTGAGATCAAAGTCCTAGCCCTCAAAGCACTCACAGATGAATTAGGAAACTAGTAAGTGACCCAGAGCAACCCAGGATAGTCGTTTCTCCAGGTGCTCTTTGTGTGTTATTGTGGCCCCCGACTTTGCCTACCAGGGAAGGAGGTTGTCAGGAAGGCTCCGCAGGAGGGGGCTCTATCAGTGAAAAAACCATGGTCCAGAGAGGTTAATCAATTTTCCTAAATCCTCTTCAAGTTCAGATTTCCAGGCTGATGGTGTTTTTCTTCAAATAGGAGAACATAATTTAAAATGTAAAGCTTTTTAATTATTACATTGAGGGTATATTTGTGGTTAATAAAAACATCAATATAATAACTGATATTTTGTGCCAGGCATTTTATATAAGAGGTTACATGTGTTTATTCATTAAATTCTCTTAATGGCCCTAGGAAGTAGATATTTGGAAGATGCTAAGGCACAGTGTTCAAATAACTCATCCAACGTTACACAGCTAATGATGGAACTGGGAGAGCATCGAGGCAGGTGCTTTATATATGTTGTCTTTAATCCTTAAAACAACTTGGAGAGGGGGTTTGATTAGCTCACTTTATAGATCAGGAAATGGAGGCACAGAAAATATAAGTAACTACCCCAGAACCACACATAGAAAGTGGAGGACCTGGCATTTGAACTTATGCAGTCTTGCCTGTACCCTTATCTCTTGTTCACTTAATTTAAAGTGGGTGAACCTGTACTGCAATACCAAGCAGGACCACTGAACTTTATTTCGAGTCTTGTGCTGTCTCAGCTAGGTGATTCTGTGTGCCTCTCTTTCCGAAGTACGACCAAGGGATATTACTTGTTGTCTCAAGTGTTTATGTGTATGCCTATTTTTTCCCACTAGACTTATGACTTTCAGGGACTGGGATGATATTATAACTTACTTATTTTTGTATTTCTGGCACCTTGCACAGTACCCATGCCTAATAAGGGCTCAATATTCAAAACAGAACTGAGTGAATAATTTTCCATCGTGAGAACTTCAGGAGAACTTGCAAAAAATGTCCACAAATTATATTTGGTCTAGAGATTATCATGTGAGCTCATTCTCTTGTTAGTTTGATCCTTTTCTGCGTCTTTAGAAGCTGATACAGGTCTTGGCGTATGGTAAGTGCTCAAACAAAATCTGTGAAGGGATGAGTGGCTTAGTAGGGCAGGTAAAATGAAAGGATCATCACAGCTTCTGAGAAACTGTCCATGAAAGAGATAATGGAGTTCTAGGGAAGAGGGAATCTAGTGCTTCGTCCCCAGGCCAGTGACATTTGTGGCAGCTGAGAGAAGGGAAGCGCCCTACTTGAGGTCAAGGCAAGTGATGTCCTGCATTTACAATTCCTCATTTGACCCTCAGGGGCGCTTATTTCTGGCAAAAGCATTTCTTGGTTTTAAAAGGTACTTCACCCCTTTACAACCTGTGTAATTGCTATTGGAATGCTTTGCCCCGCTAGTGTCTTAATTAGGTCAAATTTTATACCAAAGGCTTTAAGTTAATGCTGTATTTGCAATTCTAAGGCCCCCTTCTCTCAGCACTGCCAGGAAGCACTCACATTTTTTTTAGAGATGGAGACACCCTGAGAAGCTGGTTTGGGCACTCTTCTAAGGGAGTAGGATGGAAATGGGGGTCCAGGGGAACTAGGCCAAAGGAGATGTGTGTGCCAGGAGCGTCATCTAAATGCTTCTAGAAAGAAAATCCAGTCTCTAAGTTACCCTGTTCCAAGCATTGCTTGGATAATTGCAGGATCCAAGGCTCTTTGCATTTGGTTAAATTATATAGTTCTGCTGTCTCTGTGTTAAAAAAAACCCACCTTTTTATTATCTGCCTTTTATCAAGCAGACCATACCCCTAGAGTTACACCCTTCCTCTCTCCCGCATGCCACCCCAATAATGAGATAACCATCTGCCAAGAAAATAAACATAATATAAAAATTATACAAATACATAATCCCCGACCCAGAAGGAAGGGAGCAGCTGCCACCTGGTACCAAACAGCAAACAGCATATTTATCCAGAGCAGAGGGTTCCCCCAACAGGCTGTAATTCCTCTATTGGGTAGGGCAGGGGGTGAGGGGTCAAGGGGAGGTCAGTGATGAAAATCACCTCCATAGGCCTGGTCTAAATAGGTAAGCAGGTGGAAATCAATTCGGTGAGCTCAATGTTTCTGTTCCCTGTCTCAGGACACACTCAGGAGGCACCTGAGGAGCCCATCAATCTGTCACTGGAAAGGGGAGAGGTGGTGGGAGAAAGGAGGTAATTGGATTGTGCTTCAGTGGGACTTTTTCTTTAGCTGGAAGCGTAGCTGGAGAAATACGAAGCAGAGCCATCCCTGAGGTCAGGTAAATTGGGACTTTTGCTCCTGGAGCTGGAAAGTAGTGCCCTTGAGGTTTGAAAATCTGCTCTGGCTGTAACATTTTGGGTAAGCCTCTTTTCTAACCTTTGGGCTGGTCTTGGATTAGGATAAAATTTTACTCCCCTTGCCTAAGAACTGCACTTTCCATGGCCTCAGTGAACTCAGGGCTTGCACTGATTCATATATAACTAGTATTTAATTTCTTAATCAAATGCTCTCTGAGCAAGTAGAAATTCAGTTGTTAGAAACTGTGCAATGCATGGAAGCTAGTCAATCTTCTGTTTTATTGATAAATTGGAATGTTAAAGCAATGTTGCTAGTCAACATGACAGTTCTTCCTAATAAAGAGGCAGTTTACAGAGCTGTGTAAAACAAAGTGTCCTTAAACTGTGGTTGGGGAGACATGATATGGCAAAATGTCTACCAATAAAGTGGAGCATTATAGCAAATTACCCAGTTTATACATGCAGGCAAAGCTTCGTTTCTTACGCCATGTTGGAGAGCCAATAAAGCTTGCAAATGTGATGGGAGCCACTATTTCTGCCTCTGTGCAGCTGTTTATCAGCAGCTTTTTAACACATTTTCACATATTAATGAGGTGGCATAGCAGTTCCAGAATTAGAACAGTGGGATGTATCATTGTCTGCTTATCTGAAGATATGCCTGCTGTCAGCTCAGCATCATTACCGGGGTATGTATAATGAAAGATGTACTTTTTGGTGGCGGGTGGCATGTACATGCTATCCCACCCTCCCCATGCCCCAAACCCCCTCACCTTCTGATCATCATAGCTGGATGGGCTCCGGCACCGCTTTTGTAGGTTTTCCTGCAACTTTGTCTCCTTGTTTCATGATTTGTGTGTCAGTAGGGCTTGGAAATTCCTTTTTGCGTCTCCATTTCCCAATATAGTCCTTGATAGTCAATAGGTACTTATTAAATGATGAATGAATGAATGAATGAGTAGATAGGTGAATGTATAAAAGTGTTCCCTCAGGAACTGTCCTCTGCAGGCACAGTCTGTCACTGTGGCTTGAAGGAACAAGATAGATATGTGGCATGGCTTTCCTTGAATTTGTATGAAAAGGTAAAATGGCAAATGGGATCTTATAAAATAAGGGCTGTAAGAGACCTCAGGAAGCATTCACCCCGGTGGTTTCCAAATGCAGGTATGCAGTTGGTGCCAGAACACTGCAAAATTTTCACCCGTCTGCAATGAGATGAAAAAAAAAATAGAGTGAGCTTTTCGTTAAGCCAAATGTATTATCTGTTAGAATTCTGAGATTAGGTCCTTTTACTCTATTTGGTGTTAAAGTTTCTTCTTTAAAAATAAAATGAGGTAATAGTAGATAATAGCTGCTGCTTTTCTTCTCTCTCAAGTCCCTTTATTTGGTAAAATAACAAATTCCTAATTTTTTTTACAGGTTCCTGAATCACTCACATTTTTTTGAGAGGGAGAGGAGAGGATGTTTCGTGGGTCTATAAAATCCCAAAGTCTGGAACCACTGACTTAATTCATCTCTGTCTTATCTGAAAAAAATTCACTGACATCCCCTGTTGGCCTTAAGTGAGACACTGGGCTCCTTAAAAGAAGTAGCACATTTCAGCAAATGATAAGATGCTTCAAGTCATACAAGTTCCTTTCTGCGTTGTCTCTTCAGAGCAGGGATCCAGGCTGGGTCACAGGCTTGTAGCAATGCCATAACTAAGACATAGGAGATTTCTTAAATCCAGGTCAGTCAATAACAGGGGCACAGAGGCCCGATTTACCAGTGTCTAATGTGCTCTCTTTTGCTGTGGATGTAGTCGCTGTTTTGTCTTTAGGTAGAACGTATATGTGTTCTGTGTAATACAGAGCACCTCTCTGAGAATGACAATTCTAGTTGATATAAACCATGGGAAAAAGAGAACTCCACGGGGACACACCTCCTCAATCACCTCTCCTTTCTCTGAATTGCTGCAGCTCTATTGTCTGTGCCATACAACGTAGCTGTTGGATTTTACATTGTTTTCTGTTTTCTGTTTATTAGTCACAAATCTTATCTCTCCTAAAGAATGGGAACAATCCACTTAAATCCTGTTATTAATTGATAAGCTTTTTCTTTTTTAACTCAATCTTCTCTGGAGGCCGTTGGCCCTTACTGGTCCTATGTATGTTGGAAAGATCTGAGGTTCTGCCGACCTGGTTTCCAGCCCTGACTCTGTGACTGATGGATGACAAGTTGATGAGTGAGGGCTGAATCTCATGGCACCTGGATGGCTGTTGCTCAGAGAGAAGAACGGTACTGACCTGCCTCACCAAGAGAAGTGGCAGATGCATTAACTGCCTAATGATGCTGATGTTCTTTGAGAATATAAACGTGAAACATGATCATTATGGTTTATAGTATTTGGATTAAATTTTTTTTTCCTCAAAGAGGAGACGAAGAAAGATTATTTAAGGAAATAGTGAATAGAGGGCCCCAGTTTGTTCTTAATTCATGATTGACTTTGATCAGAATGGCATAAGCAGTGGGAATGCAGTTTTAAAATCTGGAAGGTAATTATCTCTACTTCAGGGCATGAAGTCTTCTCTTTCTCCTCCTCCCACTGGGGAAAAAATAAAAAAAGAAAAAGCTAGGGAAGCAAATGCTCTTAAAAAATAAGATGATTTCTCTATGTCAGGTCTGAAAATAGTATTTCCTAAAGCTACTGCTGTATAAGAGGCCAAGCAAAGTGGAAGAGAACTGGCCCAGGGCTGGCCTCAGCCTCCAACATCTTGCTATGGAAGAAGCCAGAAGCAGGCGGGGCTGTGATGAATTTTTTTTTTTGTTTTTTTCACTTTTTTAAAAATTTTATTATTATTATACTTTAAGTTTTAGGGTACATGTGCACAATGTGCAGGTTAGTTACATATGTACACATGTGCCATGCTGGTGTGCTGCACCCATTAACTCGTCATTTAGCATTAGGTATATCTCCTAATGCTATCCCTCCCCCCTCCCCCCACCCCACAACAGTCCCCAGAGTGTGACGTTCCCCTTCCTGTGTCCATGTGTTCTCATTGTTCAATTCCCACCTATGAGTGAGAACATGCGGTGTTTGGTTTTTTGTCCTTGTGATAGTTTACTGAGAATGATGATTTCCAATTTCATCCATGTCCCTACAAAGGACATGAATTCATCATTTTTTATGGCTGCATAGTATGCTGTGATGAATTTTTATTAAAGCCCCTGTTTATTAAAAGTTGAGTGAAAGTCTTCCTAATATCTAATAGGCCTTTTCCAATGCTTTTCTACTTGTGATGGACATCATTGGTTCCCCAGCTGTATCAGTTTCCTATGGCTGCTGTAACAAATTGCCACACTTAGTGATTTCATGCAACATGCCTTTATCACCTTACAGTTCTGGAGGCCAGAAGTCTGAAATGAGGCCTGCAGGAGTAAGATCCAGGTGTCTGCAGTGCTGGTTCCTACTGGAGGCTCCAGGGGAGAAACTGTTCCCTGCTTCCTCCACCTTCTGGTGGCTCGTGGCCGCACCACTCCAATCGCCACTTCCTTCATCACATGGCCTTCTTCTCTTCCCTTTCAAATTTCCCTCTGTTTCCCTCTTTTAAGAAGGCTTTTGATTACATTGGCTGTGCCTGGATAATCCAGGTTTATCTCCCCATCTCAAGATCCTTGATTCAATCACATCTGTAAAGTCCTTTTGCCACATAAGGCAACATTTGTAGGCCCCAGGGAGGAGGAACTAGATGTCTCCCAGGCTGTTATTCATTCTGTCACAAACAGACAATAGCTCTTCTTCCCCTCTTCCTTCCTAACAGAACCCTAATTTGGCTCAGGCATCCTAAGACACTGGTTTCAGGGGACAGTGGTCCTTCCCAGCCCTTGTATAAATCTTGATTAAGCCAAGATTGTCACAGCTTTCCCATTCCCTTGCCAGGCACTGGTTAGGAATGGGCATGGGATTAAACTCTGCCAATGGTATGGAAGGAGAAATCTGCTCTGTGATTTCTGGAGAGCTCCCCTCACTCTTAAAGTGGTGCTGGGAAAGGAATGCTCTCTCTTAAATAGTCTCTGGATGATGGGGATTGCTAGTTGAGGATGTAATGCTTGAAGCCACCATAGCTGCCTTGTGACCATAAGGGGACAGGTCTGAGGACAAAACAAAAAATGCTGAGAATGTCTGAACAGAAAGATGGAAAAAACTGGGTCCACAGTGTTATCAGTGAGCTGCTAAATTAGCCGTCTCTGGAACCTTTCTCTCTATGCTTATTGGTGGACACAAAGAACTGCGTTAATGTTCTAGTCCCTTTGAGTTGGGTTTGCTGTGACTTGAAGCTACTAGACATGACCAGAGACCCACTATTTATTTATGCTTCCAATAACGTAAGTGTGTATATAAACATATGCAAGCCCCGGATCTGCCCTAGCTCTGGACTTCATCCATGACTGTCTTGAATCATTATAAGAACCTCTTTGGTGGTCTTTGATGGTGTCTCTGACTCTAGACATGCACCTTCTTGATCTAGACATTACAAAATAGCACTGTGTATACTTCTGTGCTTATTCACCATACATATTTATTGAGCACTTACTATGTGCCAGCCACCATGCTAGTCACAGAGATACATCTGTGAATACAACAGTCTTTGCTGTCATAGAGCTTACATTCTAGTGGAAGGAGATATGTGAAAAACAAAGTATAATACATCAGGTGGCAATAAATGTTACAAAGAAAAATACAGCAAGGTAAGGGGAAAAGAGTGATTGCTGTAGGAATTTGTTTTTCACATGTGAAGGTCAGGGAATGGTCTCTTTGACAAGGAGGTGATTGAGTAGAGCCCTGGCTGGAGTGACAGAGTGAGGTGTGCAGGTACCTGAGAGCAACGAGCCAGGCCAAGGGAGCAGCGCGTGTAAAGGCCCTGAGGCAGAGCATGCTTGGTGAATGAGTAAGAGCAAGGAGGCCAGCATGTGGGGGTGAGGCAGGAGGAGGGAGTGGTAGGAGAAGAGCTCAGAGAGGATGGTAGGGACAGGTCTTGTTGGACACAGAGGCCAAGGTAAGGACTTTGGCCATTACTCTGAGTTAGGGGAAGCCACTGAAGGGTTTTGAGCAGAGAAGTGACTGTGACATGATTTAACTTACATTTTTCAAGGATCACTCTGGCTTCTGAGTAGAGGTTAGACTCTGGGTGGCAGACAAGAAGCTCTTGTAATAACTCAGGCTGGGCAGGGTAACTCACACCTGTAATCCCAGCACTTTGGGAGGCCGAGGCGGGTGAATCACGAGGTCAGGAGTTCAAGACCAGCCTGGCCAACATGGTGAAATCCCATCTCTACTAAAAATACAAAAAATTAGCTGGGTGTGATTGTGGCCACCTGTAATCCCAGCTACTCAGAAGGCTGAGGCAGGAGAATCGCTTGAACTCAGGAGGCGGAGGCTGCAGTGAGCCAAGATCGCACCACTGCACTTCAGCCTGGGTGACAGAGCAAGACTCCATCTGAAAAACAAACAAACAAACAAACAAACATACATCAGGCAATAGATAATAGTGATTGGACCAAGGTGGTAACCATAGGGATGGTGGTAGAAAGTGGTTGGATTCAGCATATATTTTCAGGGTAAAGCTATTAGAATTTGCTGATGAATTGGCTATGGAGTGTGACAGAAAGAAAGGAATATAACCTGACTCCTAGGTTTCTGGCTCAAGCAGCAGAAAGGTGGGGAAGACTTCAAGAAGAGTAGATTTGGAGAGAAAAGGAAGAGTTTGGTTTGGACACATTAAGTTTGAGATATGTGTGACCACGACAAGTACAGGCATGCCAAGCCCATGAGCTGGATTTGCTAGTCCAGAGTTCAAGGGAGAGGTAGGGAAGTTTTCAGAAAATAAATACTCCAAACCTATAGTATCTGCTTACTTGTTAAAGGACAAAAGCCGAGTCATGTAACATGGAGCCTTTCCTGCACCCAGTGTGTCAACCATTGATATCCGTCTGAGTCGAAACTGCACACCCTTTCATGCGTCATAGTCTCTACTCACGTGTTCCCTTGACCTGGACTGCACTTCCCTTCCTTGCCATCAGAATCCGATTCATCCTTCAAGGCCTGTAAAACCTCTTCTAATGTTTTCACTGACATCCATCATGACCTCTTTTGTGTTCCCAGGGCACAGACTACCTTTTTTCTGACTACTTGTCAGAAATCTATGTCTCCACTAGATTGTATGCTCCTCGAAGGAAGGGAAGGACCATGGGTCGTTGATCTTTGTATCTTTAACATGGAGATGGACATGGGTGAGATCCTGAAAACCAGACTCCTCACTCAGTCCCAGTTCACCACTACTGGTTTTGAGGTGAAAATGCATGAAGACAAGGTCAGACAATTGCATGCTATTTATTACTACAGAGTATTGGCTAAAAGCCCCACATAGAACTCATAGCCTGGACGAGCTGGCTTCACCATGTATGTGTCACAGCATTCTCTTTGCATCCTGAGGAGTTCAAGAACTGGACTAAAATCTGGCTTCCTTTGTCTTTTTGTCTGAGGCCCATCCTCAGGTTTTGATCACTCTGGTGGTAGGAAGGATGAGGACAGCTGAATCTAATGGGGAGATGGTCTAGGGAAGTATAGACTAGAGCACAGCTGGCCTAAATTATAACCCTGAGGCATTGGGATGTGGGGGTTGGTAGGGAGCTGAAGGCTTAATTTACCACACTAACCAAATATGAGGACATGATCTGGAAAGGAAGGCAGTGACTAAACAAGGCAGGCAGAGAGCAGATCAAGGATGCAAGAAGATTTAACTTCTTGCTCATTGCACAGAACATCCCACCCAGCATTATGGCCAGTGGGTCCCCAAGCACCTTCTCCTTGGGGGTGAGCTGCAACGAGGAGAGCCCTGACTCCTGCCACCAGATGGAGCTGGCCCTGCATCTAGTCCTGATTTTCACCTAGCACGTGCTGAATAAGGCTTCATTTAACTTACTGAATTGGATAAATACTCAGGAACATGCATATATCCCAGTGGAGAGATTGAGGGGTTACTCTGTGTCAGTGAGAGCATGTGAGATACAAACTACGAGGATTTCCCTGGGATCTTAACACAAGACATGGTATAGTATATGCTTAAGAGTGAGAGTTCCGGAGTTGCGTGATCTTGGATAAGTTCTAGCTATTTTATGATTTAGGATAGCTGTAGAGGGGCAAAGAGAAGCTATGTCAGTGGTCATGTCTAGGTCTTTGTGTCCAAGAAGGTTTGAAATTCCCCGGAAAGAAATACATAGACTATCACATTCTCTGCTTCTTTTACCTGAATATTTCTTCCTGCCTCACGGCGCATATCCTGGCTGCACCAGTGACCCTTCTTATCCAGAGGGGAAATCTTAGTGGAGCTGGTTATGGTCCTGTTATTCAGGCAGCTGCTTTTTGGTGTGATCCCGAGTGAAACGTTTGAGCTGGCTGTTCCCTCAGGCTTGGAAGTCACCTGGCTAGTGTAAACTTTGATGGTCCTGGGATGCTCAGCTGGAATTTCTGGCTTGTGTTGCACCAGGCAGGTGGTTTGGGACCAAAGGGCACAGCAGTTGGCAACAATGGTTGTTGGAAGGTTACCAAGGCCTGGGAACATTCTCATCAGTTATGTGCATAAGCGTGAGTGTGTGTGTGTGTGTGTGTGTGGTCTCTCCAGATGGGTAAAAAGGTCTTACTAGGAATCTTTGAAGTAGCATTTTCTTCCAAACCTGCCTGGTGTTCATTGTTCAGGATTTCAGATTTCTGTTGGCAGTTTGAGGGTCTTTTGCAGTGCAGCCTTCTGCTCTATTCACAATCCTATTTTGCCTGACCAATTAGAACTCTGACTTGGGAGTTCTATGTGCCTTTTGATGGTGTTCTTTTAACTCTTTTATTTTTATTTACCTTTTCAACTGAATTTCACCCCCATTTCTATGGGGATCATCCCTGAAAAGTGAAATCTCTTCCTCCTAAAAAGCATCTGGCAGAGGCCAAGGGACTCTTGGGAAAATAAAGATTTTTGTTTTGATCCCTGATTAATGTAACTCCCTCTTCCCCCATATTCCTGTGTCAACAACTCTTGTCACTTTCTGAATTCCAAGAGGAGGATTTGCTTTTGGAATTAGGAAAAAAAACCAATGCTTTAAGGCTTCTCTTCTTTGAATTCTATTTTGTTGAATCATTTGTAATTTTTTATTGCCCCTGATAGATTTTACATAAGAGTATTCAGTCAACAAATACTTACTAAGTATATGTTGGGGGCAAAGACCAGTTCTAGACATTGAAAGGGAATGTAAAATATATACATCTCTAGACCTATATCTTTTTGTTTGTTTCTCCTCCTCCTCGTCCTCCTCCTCCTCCTCCTCCTCCTCCTCCTCCTTCTTCTTCTTCTTCTTCTTCTACTTCTTCTTTTTTTTTTTTTTGAGATGGAGTCTCGCTCTGTTGCCCAGGCTGCAGTGCAGTGGTACAATCTTGGCTCACTGCACCCTCCGCCTCCCAGGTTCAAGTGATTCTTGTGCCTCAATCACCCGAGTAGCTGGGATTACAGGTACCTGCCACCATGCCTGGCTAATTTTTGTGTTTTTAGTAAGGATGGGGTTTTGCCATGTTGGCCAGGCTGGTCTCGAACTCCTGACCTCAAATAATCCACCACCTTGGCCTCACTAAGTGTTGGGATTACAGACGTGAGGCACCGTGCCCAGCCTCTAGCTCTATATCTACATCTAAAATATAGATTATAATCTAGAAAGGGAGACACACCATAAGCAAAAGTGAATGCAATAGTGATTATGATACAAGGCAGTATAGTGCCACAAAAATGATAAAACTTGAATGTTTTGAGAGGTGGGAGGGTTTACTTCTGATTGAATGGAGGGAAGAGTTGGTGAGAGCTTCCTGGAAGAGGTGGTATTACAGTTGTGGCTTGAAGGATAAGTCTTCTTGTAGCTTATCTGGTTCTAAGAATGCAAACGAGCTGCTTCAGACATCAATGTTCCCCAAATAACGCCTCCGACTACTGTGGGTGCTTCTTCTTGCTGTTTTGTGAGCAACACCAGTGCAAGCTTCCTGAATGGAGTCGAGTATGTTGGTGTTGATTTGCAAGGTTGTCTCTCTGCCTCACTTTTCCTGGGCCCAGGCATCTCAGGCACTACTGCTGCAAGCCATTTGTTATTGCCACATGTGTGGTTGGGAAAACTTCTGCATGTTTCTAACCTGCTGTGGAGCCTGTTTTGAGCAGGGCATTGGGCTGGATCTTGATCAGCATCTTTTGCTGAGATACGCCAGGGCTAGATTTGACCGAACACTCTTGAGAGGGTATCAGGACCTGCCTTCTTGTCCATTTGCCATTAACAAGGCCACTCTGTTGTTGGCTGAGTCACTTCCCTCTGTACTCCACTTTCCTCTTTGTAAAATAGGAAGGTTAGTTAGGGAGAATTGAGGATCCTCCCTGTCCTAATTCCCTGGGTTTTTTGACGTGAGTGTGGCCATGCCTCAGCATGCTCTTGCAGGGGCATGCAAGGCCTACCTTCCTGGGAGTCCTGTACCTTAGGGTAGGGGCATTATGGACACTAATGTGGAGGTGGGGTCCTGCCAGACTTGAATGGGTTGAGCCAGCTTCAGCTGGAGTCCCATCCTGCAGACCCTCTGCCACAAATAAGGCTACTTTTACTCTACCTCACTCCTAGCTTCCTGTGTTTCTTGACTTCAATTGAGCTTCCCCTTCTCTTTGATGAGACAATTTAGAGTAAGTCCCACCACTTTTCAGGAGGGAAAATGACTGTGAGGTGCTCTGGTCTGAAGCCCACAGCAAATTCTGTGGAATGAATGAAAGAACTGCTGACCCTGACTTGCTGTAGGACGTGCGTTTTCAGTGGGACCCAAGTTCATGCTTTCTGGGGTGTAGGGAGGGAAGGGCAGCAAAAAATCTTATTCTTTTTATGTATAAAGCACAGATATATCCATATATATCCATATATATATAATATACAGTATATATGTGGTATTAAAATTTCATGATTAGGAAAATAGTATCTAAAAAGGCTGCTTTAGGGGGACCATAGTGAAAAAAAAATTGAGAAACTGCTCTAGGACTACATGACTTTCACTCAATTTGCTATAAAGAAAGTCCTTGTTCCTCTTTCCACAGTAAAGAACATTTTGATGCCATTGAAATGTGTAAAGATTCCTTCCTCCCTCTCGGTGTACTCATTCCAAGGGCATAGCCCACAGTTAAGCTTTTCCCAGGGCACTGTTGCTCATTGCCCATGGAGCCGTTTGGCATGGACTCTGTGGCCACCAGCAGGGTCCCGTGCCATCTTCTGAGAAGAGGCAGCTTAGTATGAAGCAGACTCAGTGTATTACTCTGTTTTCACACTGTTGATAAAGACATACCCAAGACTGGGAAGAAGAAGAGGTTTAATGGATCTACACAGTTCCATGTGGCTGGGGAAGCCTCACAATCATGGTAGAAGGCAAGGCAGAGCAAGTCAAATCTTACATGGATGGTGGCAGGCAAAGAGAGAGAGAACTTGTGCAGGGAAACTCCTTTTTTTAAAACCATCAGATCTTGTGAGACTTATTCACTATCACGCGAACAGCACAGGAAAGACCAGCCCCCATGATTCAATTACCTCCCACCAGGTTTCTCCCACAACATGTGGGAATTGTGGGAGTTACAATTCAACAGGAGATTTGGGTGGAGACACAGCCAAACTATATCACCCAGGTTCCAATTTCAGCTCCTCTGCTTGCTGCTTGTGTTTTGGTAGTCACTTAACTTCTTTGAACAGTGATTTCATCATCTGCAAAACAGATAGTGTAGCACCTACTTCATGATGTACAAATTAAAATGAAATCATATGTTACCATGTACCCTACATGGTACATAGAATACCATGGATCATATGTACCATACATGGCACACAGAAGATGGGCAGTCAGTGAAAATTCTCTTTGTTCTTACACCAAAATTTACTTTTTCTTTCCCTCCCCTCCCCTCCCCTCCCCTCCCCTCCCCTTCTTTTCCCTTCCCTCCCTCTTGCAGTGATGGTGAATGCCTGAATTGTTTCCATTAGTCGTTTTGGGGTCCAGGCACAACTGAGATTAATATCAGTCAGAACTTGAGCATCGTTGCCAAATCCTCAACTCCTTATGCTGACACATGGACCACATGAAGGGACTTGTCTCAGTGCTAGGTGATGCTAATTACCATCTGATCTGAAGCCAGAGTTGCTTTCCTTTGTTTAATCATTTATATCTTCTCTGAGAACACTGAGCTAAAGTTTAATATTACAGAAAGGGATGATTGATCTAAATGCCAACAAAGCTAAACTGCAGGAAAATCACCCAAAGCCCCTTTGTGGGCTGCCACTCACAGGCAACCTAAAGCACCAGGTGGCATTTGAGGGAGTGTGCTCAAGAAACAGTAGGAGAGTTCAGCTTCTGAGATGTGAGGTCTGGGTCAAGCCTCTCTCCCTGGGTGTCACCAGCTCCTGCTGGCTGAGAGGCATGGCAGGGCTCCTGGAAGCGAGCACAATACAGCATCATGCTCCAGTGTATGGTACTCTACTTTATTTTTCATTTATTCCTTCATCAACCATTTACTGAATATCTACAATGTGCCAAGTGCTCTGCTGGGCAGTGTGCATAGTCACAGAGCTGGAGATTGTGACTCTGAAGCTGCTCACAGTCTGGTGCAGAACATACACATTAACAGCCAGTTGTCTCTTTCCTCCCCATCTCCACCCATGCTCCCCAAATAGTGACAGCATAAAAGCCCCTCCAGTATTTTTCCTCCTCTGTAGCATTTTGGAAGGGTGGGGTTTGGGGAAAGTGAAGGGGGAAGACTGAAATCACAGTAATAACCATTAAAAACAGTTATGATGTGCCAGGTGATAGGCTAGGCATTTTCCAGATATCTCATTTAATTGATATGCCCACAGAAAAAAGAGGTTTGTGATACATAGACAGAAACAGATCTGGAATTTTCATAAGTGTTATTCCTTATCAGGCTGAGAAACCCAGTTTCATCTTATAGACACAGCTTAGTTAATGAAGGGCTGGTGCTCTTTGACTGCTTTGATTCTGTGGAAGAATGCACCCTCAAGTGACTTCTACCACCCAGGTGCTGAAGGAAACGCTCGCCATTTCAGTATGGCTGTGACAGATGCCCCCGAGGTGCTGTAGTAAAAACAAGCTGAATCTGGCACTTTCTCTTTCCTCTAACTGGAAGGCTCTTCTCCCTACGGCCACGTGGCTGGCTCCATCACTTCTTTGGGCTTCCTGGAAATATCACCTTTTTAGGCAGGTTGTCCCTCTCCACTCTATTTATAACTGAGCCTCCCCCGCTCCTTGAGCACTCAAAACAGTACCTGGCCCAGAGCAGGTGATCAAAAAATATTTGTCAAAGGAATTAATGACCTGATGCTGTTAGGAAGAAATGACTCCGTGTAGCCTGAGGATGGTAGGAGTAGAGAATGTATACTTATTCATCGAGTTATTGATTTATTAGGTATTTATTATGCAGCCAAATTGTGTCTGGCACAGTGCTGGGCTTTGGGGTACCAAATATAATAAGACACAGTTCCTGCTTCTAGAGAACTCAGTCTATGGAGGAAAATAGACACATGTAATACTCATAGTAGTTGTAATGATAGCTCACATTTAATGGGGTGTACTGCATGCCAGGTGCTGTTCTAAGCATGTTTATGTATATTAACTCTTTCACAACAAAATGAGATGTTACTCTTATGCCCATTTTGTGGATGAGGAAACACGCACAGAGGCAGGAAGCCTACACACCTAGACGCAATACAGTGCGATCAGTGTTGGGGTGTGTGAAAGCAGCTTCTGTTTTGGCTGGGCACTTTATTCCTTAGAGCAGGGAGGGGAAATGGCAGCTTCAATAGGCCTGTTTGAAATCATTGCTGTCCTGCCCACACCCCATTGACTGGCTCTTTTAGCTGCTGTACATGTTTACCCTCCCTCCCTCCAATCCTTTGCTGCTCTGGATCTGGTCTCCCCTAAGCTCAAAGTGGCAGTGGGTGAGCTCTTGCTCTGGCCCACATGACTACTTGACATTTTGGTCCTGGGTCTGCAGGTCCCTCCAGTGTTCTATGGTAGGCAAGACGGCTCAACTCAGGCATCCAAATTCCCCACTCCCCTCTCTCAAACCTGTGGTCTCAGACATCCCATTTTGAGTCCTGCTGTCCTCAGTGAGAGGGGAGAGACAGTGAACAGCTCCCAGGCTCCACAACTGCTCACTTTGTAGGGGTTGAAAGGATCTTTTGCGAGCCTCCACAAGGAGAAAATATGACACCTTCAACCCTCTCACCTTGTCTACTCCTCCCTCAGTCCCTTTTGGGTCTTGGGTGACCACACTTTGTGCTTCAAAACTCTAGGAGGTCACTTGTCTTCCTCACCTAACGATGTGTTACAGAAAACAAGCTTCCATTACTTGCAAAAGTGTGATGGGAACATGAATATTAATAACTCCCACGGGTTCCCTGCAAACATCCATCACCATAGCTTAGAAGTCTTGTTCTGACTTGCCTGGCATGGGGGTAACTGTTCAGCAGAACAATAATAAAGCATTCATGAACCCAGCTTAGGCGGAGCTCTTCCCCGGGCTTTGAACTCCCGTGCTCCTGCAGGGCTGAGATGGGAATGTGCTCTCCTCCACCTGGGTTCTCACAGGAAGATGTATGACTTTGGTCAGGGACAGGACCTGGCAGATGTGCCAGGATCCAGTGGAACTGGAGTAGGGACATCTCTTTATCAAAAAGAAAGTGATCCTGGGTGACAGCATCTTGGTGATCAGCATTAGATCTAGGCTAAGCATGTTGGAGAGATGCTGGAACCTATACCTGGAGAGCTGGTCCAGCACAGAATCATACAACCTCAGGGCTCAGAGATCAGCATTTTGGGTAAACTGAGTCCATAAAAGGAAGAAAAGTAGTAGCAAATCAGCAGCAGGGCCAGGAGTAGAGAATCTGGAAATGATTGTTTATCTTGGAAAGCCCTAGGGCAAGAACATTAGGATAATGTTGCCCTTGTCCTTTATTCAGGATTTCCATTGAAATCTGCTGACATATTCGTCTCATTGAAAATTGTTTTCTTCTGAAAATCTCCTGTTATATGACATCCTCTGTTTCCTGGGCCCCAGAATCTCACAGGGTGGACCCAGGCTGGGATAGAGGTTGGGAGGCTCATAGAATTTCCATCTTAGGCAGTACTGCTCTAGTAAAAAGTGCTCCCAGGATCTGAAGGGCATTCCTGGCAGGCCTGCAGAATGGATAGAATACAAGGGGATTGGAGCTTCTGAGGTTGAGAAATGTGTCGGCCCTGTCTCTTGGGTTCTGTTGTTCCAGGATTCCCAGGTGATCTTTGAGGGTTGAGCTCCTGGTTTGATGGCTCTTTAAGAACACAACAGCCTGGGTCCTCTGGCTGAAAGGTCATTGTTGACATTTATTTTAATGTGTAATGTACCTGCTTTTTCCACTTTTCTCTTTTTTTTCCTATTTAGAATTTTAAAAACACCCGTATCTCTAGCTCACAAAAGTAGAATTAAAAATCTTTTGGATTTTCTAGAGAAAAACATCTTGGGTAATTTCAATGTGATCAAGGTATCATCTCTTTTGCTCAACTTTAGTTAATTCATTAAAGCTATAGTGGGAAATAAAAATGCTTTTTTATTTTCTTGGGCAGCAGCATGCAAAATCCCTCTGTTGTACAATTAACAGTGGTGGGGAAATCTGTGCCATTTGTTCTAGCTGTAAGATTTTCTTGTAGTTGGAATTCCAATGTCTTGCATTAGAGAAGGCCATGCAGATGAAAGTCATTGAAACATTTGTAGCTTTCTCCATATAAGACTTTTTTGCAGGAGGTCACCCCCCACAGAGCTCTGTTGGAGGATGTTCCAGAAGATCTGCAGCTGGAAGACCTGTGAAGTGAATCCTGGCCTTGAGCTGTGTGATTCTGCCCTTTCTGAGCTTCAGTGTTCCCACCACTAAAATGAAAATAAAAATAATAACTATTCTTTCTACTGTACAGAATTGTCCTGAGGATAACATAAAACCCGTTATGGGAAATAATTTTAAAGACTGTGTGTGCGTTGCTGAAGAGTTGTTGTTTTTGTTGGATGTTGTATAGAAATAGTAACTATTTCTAAGCATATCAAAAATGTTCTTTGAAAATATCCTTGCCAGTTATTGGTTACTGAATATGTTCAAAAAAGCTTGTAATACCAGAAGGCTGTGTCTTAAAAAAGGGAAAAATTACATGGTGATTCTAACAGATAATGTTGGCTATCTATTCAACACCTATTTTTCCATCACTCCTTTCTCCTTCATAAAAGAACCCCTGTGTTGTTCATCCACCCTCCTTTATCATGACCACATGTTTCAAGGGAGGCAGGCTTTCACCCACAAGCAGGTCTTGATTGGTTTAACCCAGTGGTTCCCCAACTTTAATGTGCCTTGGAATCAATCACCTTGGAATCAACCAACAATTACTGGGACCCACCAGTAATGTCTGAGTTAGTAGATCGAGATGGAGTCAGAGAATTTGTATTTCTAACTTCCTAGGTGATGCGGATACTGCCGGTCTGAGGACCATGTTTTGAGCATCACTGGCCTAAGCTAATCAAAGTGGTCCCATTTGTATTGCCAGTTATTGTTTAGATATAGATACATGATGCAGTTCTGGCCCATGAGATGTGATCACTATGCTGAGGGCTTATGAGAAATGTTGTCCCACTCTTCCACGGAGACCCAGGGAGAAGAGAGTTCCCTTTCTGCTTCTTGACATTATCTCTGAATGGGCCCCCTGGAACTGCTGCAGATATTTTGGGACTATGAAGGGAAAAATCCTAAGGGCAAAGTGGATACATTAAGAATGATCAGACAAAAGATAAAAAGCATTTAGGTCCTTGGTTATTTCACTGAGTTGCCAAGTTAACCGTGGTGCTGGCCACCTCTTATTTATAGGCCATTTGGAGTTGGAGCTCTCTGTTACTTTCAGTCAAAGGGAACCTAATAGATAAAATGACATGGCAAAAATTCTTTTTCCTTCATGGGGACATGGAGGTAGGGTATGTGACAGGAGCCCTGAGCCTTATAGAGGAAATGAGAGATACCTGGTCTTAGAGACTGTCCTTAGTCGTAAACTATGCACCTAAGTTAAGGTCTATCAGGAGAAGAACCAGGAAGGGACCAATTTTAGAAAGAGCTGGAGGTGGAGGGTTGGGATATGAGTAAAGAGTTCATGACCTGGGAGACGTGACCACAGTGGAAAAGGTTGGAAGCACCTGGGTGAATGGAAAGGTATGTTGGGTGATTTAAGAATAGCAAAAAAGGAAAGAACAGACTGAAAAGTAGAAAAAGTAGTGGCAAAGGGACCTGGGGACCTGTGTGCTGATGGAGATGTGATGCCCTCAAATGATACATTAAAGAAAAAACTGGTTTTGACTCCAGTAAAGCTTTTCTCAGTTAAAAGACAACATGGGGTCCTGAAATGGTCTCTATCCAGTGGTATATAAGCTATTAGGGACAGCCTGTGATTTCATAACAATTACTAGAATTTACTTTTATTCAAACTCTGTGACTTGTTGTAAGTGTGTTCATCTATCACCTGTGGGCCTGATCTGTGACTTTCTAGTGTTTGTCCTATGTTCCTATGCTCCTGAGTATCTTCAATGGGCCAGTGCCTAGCAACCCCACTTGTAAGCATTACTTACTGACTCTGTCCCCATTACAAGGTCTCCAGGAGCTCTGTTCTCAATGTTGGTGATGCAGCAATGAAAAGGCATGAACCTCGATCCCAAGATGCTCACAGGTTAGGGTAGCACTGTCCGATAGAAATACAATACAAGCCACAAAGGCAAGCCACATGTGTAAGTTTAGGTTCTTCAGTAACTACCTTAAAAAAGTAAAATGAACTCCATCTCAAAAAAAAAAAAGTAAAATGAAATAGTAATGTTAATTTTAATAGTATATATTTTTGTCCTGGTGGTTCTCAACCAGGGGAGATATTGCTCCCCAGGAGTCATTTGCTGATATCTAAAAATGTCACTTGGCAATGTCACTGGGCAATTTCTGATTGTCACAACTAGGAGGGCATTAGTGGTATTTAGTGGATGGGATGCTGGTCAACATCCTACAATGCATTGGGAGACAGCCTCCCACAACAAAGTAATATCTGGCCTAGATGTCAATCAACAGTGCTAAGGTTGAGAAACTCTGATTTAACCCAATACATCCAAAATATCATTTCAATATGTAATCAAATAGAAAAAAACTGAAAATCTGTTTTTTTACATTTAAAAATTTAAGGTCTGGTGGTTATTTTACACTTATAGTGTATCTTCATTCACGCTAGCCATATTTCAACTGTTCAGTTGCCACATGTAGCTAGCAGCTACTGTATTAGACACTACAGGAGTATGGAGTGTATAGTTAATGTCCAGAAAGCTCTCTGTACCCCTCATATTTCCTGAGCACAGCAAATATGGTGGGATACAAAGTCTTTACCTTTGAGAGACCCACATGATAAGGAATCGGGATAAAAGGATTGCATGGGGACTCTCTGATTATTAAACTGGATAAGAATACAGATACGTTTAAGACAATATCTATTTAACCTTTGCATTATTTCCCGGCAAAATGCCACCAAGAGGACCTATGTAGTTTCTTATTCTCTTGAGGCAAAGGTCAAATACCCCATTGGGAAGATTACTGAGAGGGAGTTGGCTTCAGTGCAGCACTGAAGATTTAGATATTGATCACTAAAGCTTTCATGTAGTTAAACAACCAAGCAGCACCCTTTGCCTCCTCCAAAGAGCTCTAAAATTTTTTGCTATTGAAAAATGAAAATTAAAGGGTTTCAGGTTAAAAAGAAGGTGATCGTGTAGTAATCAGAGCTTTAGAACAATTCAGACCGACCTTGGTACAACATGCTGCAGTTTGTAATCCCCAATTTGAAGGCTTCGCAGCATCTCATTAGTCTGGAGTCTTGGTACAGATAATTCTGTATTGAATGAGTAATTAAATGTGACATAGAAGCAGGCGGATGGATTAGTGACACACCCAGGGGTCCCTCTAAGGGGGCCTTTCCTCTCTCTGCCCATGAGGGAAGGTGGCGAGAGGCTTAGCAGAGATCCTGCAAGGCAAAATGCCATGCAAAGGCAAGACAAGATTTTGTACATTATCTGTGGGCCAGGGCAATGCGCCAGTAAGTGTGGGGACAAGGACCTTATGGAAGGACCTTGATGGAAGCCCAGCTCTGTGCATGAAGTAATAGGGTCACCTCTGTGGTGCAGCTGATCCTTTCTGTGCTGATGCTGGCAATCGGTCCTCAGCTTTCCGGAGTAAGCTGCTCATTCTGTCCTCTGTGGGATGAGAGCCTGTCTGTATTTACTTTAAGTCAGAGTGGAGAAGGCTGCCTATTATGCCAGAGCCCTCTGCAACCAGAGCATATGTGACAAAGCCAGGCTTTGTCTAAAATGAAGGAAGCCGAAAAGAGGTTTTCTCATTTTTACAGTGTCAGTAAGGTACTTGTTTTCATATAGTCAAAGGCTTGGACAGGGACTCACATGATTTACCTTTTTGTTTCCAGAAAGGTTCTTACTCTGCTTTCCACACACTTGGAAATCTACCCTATATTTCAAAGTCCACCAGGGAAGGAGGTTATACAATCTTTTTGGAAACAAATTCAATTTCTTGTCAGCCCTCAATTGACATAGATTGAGCACTGGCTCTGCACAAGGAATTAGGAGCCAAGAGAATAAAGAAAAGGAGCTGCAGTTTCTGTTTTCAAGGAGCTCATGAGGGACATGAAAAGACCGGGTGTGACAAGGGCTAACCGAAAAGCACACACATTAAGGCCTGTAGGAGTCGAGAAGAGGAAGTTTGGGGCTGCATTGGAGAGGAAAGATGTCCTTCAGTAGGTGAAATTTATCTGGTCTTCTGGGGTTGGGTAGTGGGGAGGGCCTGGTGTTGGGAAATCCCACCTCACGCTCTCCCTTCCTCTGCACCCCATCTTTGAGTTCACTGACTACAGCGTTTCAGCATAATACAAGGCACCACAGTTACAAAGATGAGTCAGGCTTGGTCCCAGCCTCTAGGAATTCGCAAGGGACTTATACCAATTGCCAGAGAGTTGTTCTTCCATGGAGATATGGCTTGTAACTCACTCACTCATTCAACAAGGACCTACTGAACATCTGTTCTGTGCCTAGTCCTGCTCTTGATGCTAAGAATACAATGGGCCACAAGGCAGATATAGCCCTGCCTTTATAAAGGTCATGGTCTAGAGGGGCAGGAGACAGTAAACACATAATTACAAGTGTGATAAGAGTTATGAAAAAGGAACAACAGTGTGCTAAGGGGCAGATAGCAAGGCATTCAACCTGGTCTGGGAGAGAGAGGCTTCTTTTCAGATGTGATGCTTAAGCCGACACTGAAATGCCGAATGGAGTTATCCAGGTGAAGGGGGAGAGGAGAGTGAGGGGAGAAGAATATGCCCATGAGAAGGAAGACACAGTGCAAAAGTCCAAAGTGGAGAGAATATGGCACCTTTGAGGAGCTAAAACATGTCCAAGAGGGCTGCAGCAGGAATGGGGCTGAAGTCCAAGAGCTAGGGCTGGCCCTTCTGGGCTGGAAAGTGACCACTTTCCACATAAAGTGGAAAAGTAATTGTCTGCTGGGCTCAATGGTCAAAACAAATCGAAGCTAAAGCAAATATTCTCTCTTCTCTTCCATTTTGTGCAGGAAAGCAGGCTCCCTTCTTGCACAGTTGCAGAGGGATAGTGTAGACCATGTGCATCCTCACTAAGAGGGTCCCTGCCCTGATCCTTGTACCCGTCATCTCACCTCTACTCAATCAGCCTTCAGTGCAGGACCCATGGACACCCTCCATCTACAAGCTCTGTCCCACCAGTCCCTGCTAGTCCTCGAGGACAGGAGTCTGCCTTCTTTGTCTCTGTTTCTGCAGCATCAACACAGTGCCTGGCACCCAGGGTGCTCAATGAGTGCACAACTCCACTGTGCCAGGGGAAGTCTTATGATGGGCTGAGTCCTGAATACCTGAGGAAGCTCCAAGAGGTAGTCTTCTGTTTTTTTGTTTTGTTTTGTTTTGAGACGGAGTCTCACTCTGTCGCCCAGGCTTGAATGCAGTGACACGATCTCGGCTCACAGCAAGCTCCACCTCCCAGGTTCACACCATTCTCCTGCCTCAGCCTCCCAAGTAGCTGGGACTACAGGCACCTGCCACCACACCCGGCTAATTTTTTGTGTTTTTAGTAGAAACTGGGTTTCACCGTGTTAGCCAGGATTGTCGCGATCTCCTGACCTCGTGATCCACCCACCTCAGCCTCCCAAAGTGCTGGGATTACAGCCACTGGGTTGGTTCACAATTGGGCTTCTGCCTCAGTTTCTCTGCTTAATATTCCAGTGACCTGATGAGGCTGGAGTTGTGCCTGGAAACTCTAGCCACTGATGTTTATGGAGTACCTGCTGAGTGTAGAGACAGTGTCAGATGCTGTTGAGGATGGTATATAACACCATTTGTGATTAAAAAATACACTAGAAGACATGACCCCTGATCACATGCATCTAAGCATTTGCAATAATTAAGTATGCTGGGTTTTCATTAGTACTTTGAAAATGTGAAAATCATCTTGTTTCATTACTTCAAAGAATAAGGTGATTCTGACTGTAAATATGACACTTAAGTAATCTCATGTTTTAAAAAAATTGGTCTTTGTAGCTTTGTAGGTGCCAACACTTACTTCCTCCTTTTTCCAGTTGACAGCTGTTTTACATTCATTACATCTTTGTGTTATGAAATCTACATGAGGTAAAAAGTAGCACTGGTTTCAGAGATGGAATAGAGTTCAAAGGTCTTTGACATTTAAAGCCTTTCACCATCTTACCCCAACCTCCTTCCACTGTTCCTTTTCATATTCTCTTTCATGAAGACGTCTTTTTTTCCATTTGTGCTTGCTTTCCCTCTTCCTCCTCCATCTCTGACTTCTTCCTCTCTTCCTGGTTCCTCATTTTCCATGTTCTTTCTCGTCTTTCACCTGGTGCCCTGATCAGACCCATATTCTCATACATCAGCTGTGTATAGCTAACAATTTTTGATGGCTAACTTAGAAAGCTAACCAAAAATGTCCTCCTGATTGTACAATTAAAACAATTCATTTTCAAATTTGGGAAATATGGAAAGTATAAAGGACAGAAGGGTCACTGCTGACTGTGGAGGAGTGGTCAAGAGCACAGGCTTCGAGCCTCAGCTTTGGTGCCTTGTAACCTTGGGTAAGTTACCCTCTCTGAGCCTCAGTATTCTCATCTGTGAAACGGAAAAGACAAACCCCATCTCATGGGCTTACCATAAATATCATGAAAATTACCTATAAAATGCTTAGTACTGTTTCTGGCAAGTAATAAGCACTCAATACTTGATACTATTAATACTTAATACTAGTGTTATTATAATAACCATTAAACATTTTCAGACTACTATTTATAATTTCTATTAAAAATACTTTGCGAATGCCAACCAACAATCTTACAAGCAAAATTTGGACCCATTCTGTTATCAAGCTGTGGACTGCTTCTCCTTCCCAGAGTGGAAAAGTGATTTGCCTTACATTACAGAAGAGTTCACAGGTGCCACCAGGAAATGGAACAAGCATACTTGACTCCCTTATCTGTGCCATAAGACTGTGTCATGCAGGTAAACACAGTCATGTTGGTGTGAAACCAGCAGAAGGCAGGTGTTGGAGGCTGAGTCATCACTATGTGCTGAGAGTGCATGCTATGTTTTTTTTTTTTTTTGTTAGACGGAGTCTCGCTCTGTCACCAGGCTGGAGTGCAGTGGCGCGATCTCGGCTCACTGCAAGCTCCGCCTCCCAGGTTCACGCTATTCTCCTGCCTCAGCCTCCCAAGTAGCTGGGACTACAGGTGCCCGCCACCACGCCCGGCTAATTTTTTGTATTTTTAGTAGAGACGAGGTTTCACTGTGTTAGCCAGGATGGTCTCGATCTCCTGACCTCATGATCCGCCCACCTTGGCCTCCCAAAGTGCTGGGATTACAGGCATGAGCCACCGTGCCTGGCCAAGTGCATGCCATGTTATGTCCCAATGGTAGACATGGCCTTTGATTCAGACAATGCAGTAGAACACCCTGGATTGGGCATGGGCTCCTTCTTATCCTGCCCAACCTGCCTCCCTGTGCCACTAAGCCTGTCAAGATAACTGGCTCACATCCCATTAGGAAGAATTACCATGATCACTAATGGGTAGTTAGGGACAGCGTTCCAGTTTAAAGGCTTTCATGGGCCGTGAAAGCTGGTGAGTAAATAATCGTTTATCAACCAGTCACTTAAAGGACACCACACAGAACGATGTTCTAGGACTTCCAAACATATAGAAGCCGTATATCATAATGGAGCATAAAAGTTATGTGTGAATAGACTGTAAAACCGAACAACTGTTTACCTTTGTGAAGGTTTTATTTACTCGCCCTGCAATAGATACTTAGATGTGCTTCATACGAAGGCTGCCGATCCCAGCTGCAAGCAGAGCTCAACTAGATGGCCATGCATCGGTTAGATGCCAACAGCAGCGTGCTTTCAGGGGCCCAGGGAAAGCTTCTCACACTCCTTGCAAAACTCAGTTTGCCTGCCTGATGCTTCAAGTTTCTTGAATGAGAAACTAAAGCTTTATTTCTATGAGTCCAGAAAATTCAATTTAACAATTTCAACATTGGATTCAACATGGAATAGTGCTTAATGCACAAATAGCCAACATTTATAAAGCTACATTCTTTACAGAGAACTTCCGTATGTGTGCTCTTCTTTATCCTCAAATGCTCCAATAAATTTAACCATTGCTCCCAATTATGAGGAGGGATCTGTGACTTGAAGGAGTTAAATGCCTTGCCTGAGGGCGCATTCTGGGCATGGCAGGGCTGGGACTGGAGTCTGGTGCTTCTGATGAGGCCGCCTTGTCAGTGATCTTTCTACGAGGGTGGGGGCTTGCATTAACTGCCATACAGGAGCCAGTTTTGAAAGGCAGTAGATGCGAACTGGAGAGGGGTGCCAGCACTCCCCAGTTGGGGCATGTCCGGAGGGCCCCTTCTCTGCAGTGCTCCCTGCTCACTCCTGGTTGATCCTGCCCAGGGCCATGGTGTTCTGATGAGCCTGCACGTGTTTCCTCTAAGCTTGCTGAGTTGACCCCATTCGACACTCGCATTCCCTGTTGGGATTGAAACCCCATTCCGATCCCCAGCCTCCTTGGCTGAAGTCCTGGAAACCTGCTACTTCCTTGCCAGCCCTGTCCTCCAGGAAGCTGAGCTCTGTTCCCCATGCTCCCTTCCCCAGCTGGGGTTTTGTTCCTGTGGACAGACCTGCCAGAACTGAATGCTGATTGCTGTTCTTTTCCCTTGGTCTCCTGCTATTTCAGGGAACTGCCATTTGTTCATTTTTATTTCTATCATTATATGCATTTTTATTGAGCATCTACTATATATAAGACACAATCCAGGATTGACCCCCTTAGGCTCTCAAGGTCACCCTAATGGAACTAGTTTGCCACACACCTATAGAAGTTCTACTTTGTGTTACTGTGGTCTATCTCACAGGAGGCCTTAAAGTTGGGCTTTGGTTCTCTACGCGTCCCCCAGCTGGTCAACACACAGTAAGTGGTAGCTTAGGGGAGACACCAGAGGTAAGGGTGGGTCACGGTTGGGAACAGAACATGGGAAATGGGTTTTAGGAGACTTTTAAGACAACATAGGGATTCCTGAATATTACCAAGGCCTGACTGGCCCTGGCTCCAGGTGAGTCAGTGAGCGAGTGACTCTGCTGAGTGACAGTCAATGAGCCAAAGAAGAGGTGGGATCATTTATAGAAAAGGGTAACAAGGAATGACCTTCAGTGTCATTGTTTAATGACATTACCTTCCCAAGCTGCAATCCTTTAGTTTCACAGGTATCAGTGGCAATATTTGAATGAATTTGATCTGAATTTCTACTCTATTTATTTCCCCACCAGCTTCATTTTGAAAATCACCTTTTCTGAATGACAACTCAATCAATTCAATAACATGCAATTTTACACAGTAGGAACCTATTCCCGTATCCCACTTCATACTTGTAACTGTTGGCTGCTTTTCTGAATAGCAGGCATATGTTTCAAAGCCACTTTATTTTCATCTCCACACTCTGAGGAGATGGACACAACTCTGATTTGAGGCTGAAGACTCTCCTCTTCCTCCTCTGTTTTCTCATGCCTCTCTTTTTTGTCACAGCCAGAGCTGCCAGCCTGCATTCAGTGTCCCATCAGTTCAGTTGTGTGAAGAAATCATTGGCTTGATCAGCTTCATTTTAGAAGCTTTCTGATATGCTGGGATTTTTTTTTATGTTGTTTCCTGAGCTTTTGGAATCCTGACAAGGTAAATGAAGTTGAAATGAACACGTATATTTTGGCTTTGTTTTCCAGGGCTAGGTAAAATGATGGACAGGATTGTATTACTCGAGGAATTAGGAGGAGATGGGCTGCACACATTGGTTGATCCACAGAGTCTTTGGGTAATGAGCTGGAAAAAAGAAAACTAAAAACTGCTGATTGAAAATTAGAATCATTAAAAGCTTTGAAATCAACATCTTCTTTCAGAATTTCAATCTTCTATGATTTGCTTAGAGTCAGTGGTCTGAGCCACAGGCCAAATTGTCAATCAGAATGAGTGGGGTTTGCTCATAGCCTCCGTTATTTCAGAGATTATATTAAACACTTTAAAAAGCTGCAGTAACTCTTCCAGGGCAGCGGAGTGGTCATCAGGGTACAGTACTCCCTGGACTTCCATTGATTTAGAATTTGCATTTCTCATTATTTGCAAATGACCCTCCATGTTTAAAATATATTATAATTTGTATTTTTGCTGAAGCATGAATTAGAATTTCACTTGCCGGCTGGGATGCTGGAGTGTAGTGGTGGGTTGCACAGCTAGTAAATGAGTCAGGCATCTTGCCCCTAGGCACCCAAAGAAAAAATGTTGTTTTCACTCATTGTATATGCATATTATGGGGGAAATTATGTGCCATAGTGGTAATTTGTGAATTGGAGGGATTCATAAAGGTCTTGGAAAGAATTACTCTTGAGTGTCAGGCTGTACTGTAGGTATATCTTATTATAATGAAACTCAGTACAGCATTGCTTTGCTTGTGTGAACATGACTTACTGGCCATTAAGAGATGACTTATTTTGTAATCAGTATGTAAAGAAAAAGGGCTGCTGAGCAGACAATATAGATGTTCCACATTTATCCACACGAAAATTCATGCTCTTAACTCAAAGGTGATCTCCTCAGACCTTCATCCAGAGCCACTTTCTCCCTTTTTTCTTTAGTGTGGATCTCAGGTACAAATTGAAGTCATCATCCTAAGGAGCTTGTGGCATCTACCTGCTCATGGTCTTGCCCATGTGTTAGTTCATTTTCATATTTTCCCCTTTCATGCCCCAATCCCAATGCCTATTCTCTCCCTTGATATATTATAAACATGCATACTAATGTGTTGAGAATATGCCATTAAAATGTATGACATTTAAGTTTATATAAATGGTATTTCAGTAAATATATACGCATATATATGTATATTTGCTTTTTACTGTTTCCATTTGGCATAATTTTCCAGGATTTATCCATTTGGCGAATGTGCATCTGGGTAATTCTGTTGTATCGTGTCCAGAGTGTATCCACCATGTGATTCTTACAGCCCCAGTAACAGGCACCATTGTTGGCTCAAGGCTTTGCTGCTACAATCAACACCGTGAGGACCATTCTTTTCCATGTCCCTATACCATCATGGGTGAGTGTTTCTGGGGTGTTAGATCTAGAGTAGGCTTACAGGTTGCGGGGTGGTCCCATGCTTAACGGGTAGTACTGCCAAGGTACTCTCCAGAGTGCCTGTTCCACTTTCCTCTCCTATCAGGAGTGAACTAGGTTTTCCATTTCATCATAACTTTTTTCCTCAAACTGAGTCATGGAAATATGCTTCTTGATTTTATTTAGCACATTTCTTGTTATTTGTGAGGTAGAACATCTCTTCATATATTTATTAGTCTTTTGGATTTCTCTTCCTGGGAATTGTCTATTCACTGCCTTGTCCATTTTACAGTTGGTTTTCTTGTCTTTCTTATTAATTTATTGGCATTCCATGTATATTTCAGACATTTATTTTTGTCAACTTTAGTCGGTGCAAGTTTCTTCTTGTATCTTTTTGTTGAAGAGAAATTCTTTTATATATGGCAAATGTTTTATTTTGGAATAATTTTAGATTTACAGAAAAGTTTTAAAGATACTACAGAGAGTTTTCTCTTCACCAAGGTTCCCTTAATGTTAATGTCTTACCTAACTTGGCACATTTTTAAAAACTTACAAATTAACATTGGTATAATACTATTAACTAAACCACAGATTATTCAGGTTTTACCAGTTTTCGCATTGATATCCGTTTACTCTTCCAAGATCCAATCCAGGATGCTACATTGCATTTGGTTGCTGTATCTCTTTAGTCTTTTGATCTGTGAAAGTTACTCTCTTTTTCCTTAGTTTTTATGATCGTCTCAGTTTGAGGAGTACTGGTCAAGCATTTTCTAGACTGTCCCTCAATTTGGGTTTGTCTGATATTTTCTTTTTTTAAAAAAAAATTTCAATTTTTATTTTAGATTCCAGGTGCACATGTGTAGGTTTGTTAAATGGGTGTATTGTGTGATGCTGAGGTTTGGGATATGAGTGATTCTACCACCCAGATAGTGAGCATAGTGCCCAATAGGTAGTTTTTTAACCCTTGTCCCTTCCCTCCCTCCCCCTTCAAGTACTTCCCAATGTCTATTGTTGCCATCTTTATGTCCATGAGTACCCAATGTTTAGCTCCCACTTATAAGTGAAAATGTGGTATTTGTTTTTCTGTTTTTGCATTAATTTCCTTAGGATAATGTTCTCCAGCTCCAGCCATGTTGCTGCAAATGATGTGATTTTGTTCTTTTTTATGGCTTTGTAGTATTCCATGGTGCATATGTACCACATTTTCTTTATCCAATCCATAACTGATGGGCACCTAGGTTGATTCCATGTCTTTGCTATAGTGAGTAGTGCCATGATGAGCATATGAGTACAAGTGTCTTTTGGGTAGAGCTATTTATTTTCTTTTAAATATATAACTAGCAATGGGATTGCTGGGTCAAATGGTAGTTCCATTTTAAGTTATTTGAGAAATCTCCAAACTGCTTTCCACAGTGGCTGAACTAATTTACATTCCCAACAGTGTATAAGCATTCCCTTTTCTCCACAGCCTTGCCAGCATCTGTTTTTTGACTTTTTGGTAACAGCCATTCTAATTGGTGTGAGATGTTGTCTCATTGCGGTCTTGATTTGCATTTCTCTGATGATTAGTGATGTTGAGCATTTTTAAATGTTTGCTGGCTACTTGTATGTCTTCTTTTGAGAAGTGTCTGTTCATGTCTTCTGCCCACTTATTTTTTTGAGTGAGTCTCACTCTGTTGCCCAGGCTGGAGTGCAGTGGTGTGACATCAGCTCATTGCAACCTCTGCCTCCTAGATTCCAGCAATTCTCCTGCCTCAGCCTCCCAAGTAGCTGGGATTACAGGGTCACCATGCCTGGCTAATTTTTGTATTTTTAATAGAGATGGGGTTTCACCATGTTGGCCAGGTCGGTCATGAATTTGCTCACTTTTTAATGGGTTTATTTTGTTTTTGCTTGTTGAATTGTTTAAATTCCTTATAGATTCTGGATATTAGACCCTTGTCTGCTGCATAGTTTGTGAATGTTTTCTTTCATCTTGTAGGTTGCCTGTCCTCTCTGTTGACGTTTTCTTTTGCTGTGCAGAAGCTGTTTAGTTTAATTAGGTCCCACTTACAATTTTTGTTTTTTCTGCCATTGCTTTTGAGGACTTAATCATAAATTCTTTCCCAAGGTTGATGTCCAGAATGGTATTTCCTAGGTTTTCTTCTAAGATTCTTATGGTTTGAGGTCTTATATTTAAATCTTTAATCCATCATCAGTGAATTTTTGTATATAGTGAAAGGTTGGGGTCCAGTTTCATTCTTCGGCATATGGCTAGCCAGCTATTCCAGCACCATTTATTGACTAAGGAGTCTTTCCCCATTGCTTATTTTTGTTGACTTTAAATTAGATGGCTGTGAGTATACAGCTTTATTCCTGGGTTCTCTATTCTGTTCTGTTAGTGTATGTATCTGTTTCTGTACCAGAACCATGCTGTTTAGGTTACTGTAGCCTTGTAGTATAGTTTGCAATTGGGTAATGTACTGCCTCTGGCTTTTTTCTTTTTGCTTAGGATTGCTTTGGCTGTTCAGGCTCTGTATTGAAACAACTCATATTGGTTCAATATGCATTTTAGAATAGTTTTTTTCTAATTCTTTGAAAAATGACAGTAGTTTATGACATTAGTAGGAGTAGCATTGAATCTTTAGGTGCACAATTTCTAAACTCCTGTTGCAGAAGAGTGGGTGCTTCAGATGTCAGAAGATCTCCCTGGGCATAAGCAGAGAAGGCCCTGGTGAAACACAATCTCTGCACAGGAAGAGGGGTGTGGTTCAGGCTACCAATCTATGTGAGCAGGTGCTTTACATGCCTGGAGATCTGCCTGGGCATGGAGCAGAGAGGGCCCCACTGAACCACAATCTATGCCCGGGAAGGGTGGGGTGGCTCAGGCTGCTGAATCAGGTGAGCCAGTGCTCCAAGTTCCAGGAGATCTGCCTGGGCATGAAGTGGAAAGGGCTCCCCTGCAACAAGATCTCTGCACAGGAAGAGTGGGGCAGCTCAGGCTGCTCATCCAGGTGAGGGAGTGCTCTGGATGCCTGGAGATCTGCCTGGTGTGGAATGGAGAGGGCCCTACTGCACCATGATCTATGCTCAGGGAGGTCTAGGTGGCTCAGGCTGCTGGTCTAGGCAAGCATGTACTCTGAATTCCTGGAGTTCTGCCTGGGGGTGGAGTGGAGAGGGCTCTGCTTCACTGTGATCTCAGGGGAGCAGGCGGGGGCACCCAGCAATGACACACACAAAGTGATTCCAGGTTGCCAAGCTGGCTGTGGGCTGCAAGTCTCATTGTTCAGGAGAAACTGCAGCTGTAGCAGCTCTCCTGCTGCTCCAGGCCTGTGATGGGGAAAAGCACAGTTCCAGCACCTACTAGTGAGGTGCTGTCCATAGTTCTGGCTGTGGAGGCCCCTACCCTGCTCCAGAGCAAGTGCTCCAATATCTGGCCTGAGATTAAAATACCTGCATGGTCACTCTGCTAGGCTGCCAAAGAATGACTGACTTTGTTTGTAGCTGGATTAAAAATGGAATCCTGCTCTCAATACCAGTCTGGGAAAATGCCTGCAGCTTCTCCCAGTATCTTTCTTTCTTGGTGCCTCCAACCCTTTCCCCAAGTTAGCTCTAGAGGTTGGGAGAAACACAATGCTCTCCCCTGTCCTGGGTTGCTAGGTGAGTTACAAGGAAGGCTGCTTTCCCCTCTCACGTACTGGGGCTTCACTCACTTTTATCAGCCGGTCACCTTCACAGGAGCTGTTTGCCTGTGTTCTCCTCCTCAGGATCTGGGGTGTCCTTCATGATTATAGTGGGTTCTCATTTTCCTTCTTGAATTAAAGCTCACAGAGTCGATCTATTTTTCTTTTTCTTTCTGTCTCTTTTTTTTTTTTTTTTGAGACAGGGTCTCACTCTGTCACCCAGGCTGGAGTGCAGTGGCATGATCTTGGCTCACTGAGGTTTCACCATATTGGCTAGGCTGGTCTCTCTAACTCCTGACCTCAAGTGGTCCACCAGCCTCAGCCTCCCAAAGTGTTAGGATTACAGGTGTGAGCCACCGTACCCAGCCACAGAGTTGATCTTTATGCACTAGGTTGCTATTTCCAAGTGGCCAAGGAATGTTAAAAGCCTTTAATCCACCATCTTGGGAAAAAAAATAAGTGTGTGATGTTTGCTTATGATTAAACTGGGCTTATGCATTTTTTGGAAGAAGATCACAGAAGTAAAGTGCTCTTTTTATCACACCACATCAAAGGGTACATAATATTAACATAACTTATCTCTGGTGATACTAACTTTGAACACTTGGTTAAGGTGGTGTCTGCTGTTTCTCCACTGAAAAGCTATATTTTTTTCTTTTTCATATTCTGTTCTTTGGATATGGCTCACTAGGTTCAGCCCACAGTCAAAGGGAGGGGAATTAAGCTTCACCTTTTTGACGGAGGAGTATTTACATGTATTATTTGGAATTTCCTTAGGAAGAATAAATCCTTAATTTTGATGTAATTGAAGTTGCTAATTTTTCATCTTATTTTAAATTTTGATCCAGGGTCAGTTGGACATCAGGGATCATATTTTGCATTTGGTTGTCTTCAACTTGTTTTTTATGAGGTCAGTCCAATTGTCCTAATATTTTGCAATATGGATTTTTCAGATTTTTTTTATTAGAGTCAAAGTTATGTTGTTCCCATTGTATTACATGAGGAGGCACATAATGTCAGCTTGTTCCATTATTGGTAACTTGGTTTAGGCGGTGTGTATTAGATCTCTTTGTTGTAAATGTATATTTTTTTTTCACTGTGGAATCAATAAGTAGTCCGTGGGATGATATGTTAAGATTGTGTAAATATTGTGTTTTCAATAATCTTTTGCCCAATGGCTTTATCATATATTAATGATCCTCGCCTGAATCAAGAATTACATTGTTAGTTACAGATGGTGATTTTCTCCTGCTACTGCGTCCTCCACATTTATTAGTTGTTCTGTAAATGAGCACTCTTTCCCTCTTTTTTGGATATGACTGTAGATTCAAGGATTTCTTTCGTGTGTGCTTGATTTAATAGATTTTGGAAGATGCATCTAAAAATTTTAACTATAGTTATTGTTTTTTTCTCCCCTTATTTTTGTTAGTTATTGCCTTGTATTTCAGAACTTTATTGTTGATGCATTTGTATTTTTGGTTATTACTTATATTTGTGCCTCAGTTGCCTCATGTGTAAGATGTAGATAACAATGTAACTTATGTCATGGGCTTATCGTGAAGATTAAATGAGCTAGTACCTGAAAAGATCTTAGATTAGGATTTAGAATGGTGCTCAGTCCTCAATAAATGTTCATACTACTTTTTAAAATAATATATATTTTGGATCCATTACTGCTTTTATCAATATATAATGTCTCTGTTCCTTGTTGTTTCTTGCACTTTGATTTCCAATTTGTCTGAAATGTAGATTGCTACTCCAGTTCTCTTTGGTTTATAATTGCCTAGCATAAATATGTTTTTTACATCCTTTCTACTTTCAGAAAACTTGTGTTTAAAATGTGGTTCTCAGAAGTATCTTATTTCATGGTGATTATGTTCTCATCCAGTCTGAGAGTCTCTTCCTTTAATCAGTGAATTCAATTCATTTACATTTTAAAATTACTGATACATTAGGAATTATTTTTACCAACTTAATTTATGTTTTCCATGTATCGTATTTTTGTCCCCCCTGCACTTTCTACTTTTCACTGGATATTTATTAAGACCTTTAATCACCTTTTACATATTTCATGGTATCCATGTAGACTACTTTCTTTTCTTTGGGAGTTAGGGAATGTTTTTAATAGCACAGGAAGCGTTCTGAAGCCTTATACAAGCAAGAGTATTTTTATTTTATTTTCTAATTTAAATAACAGTTTAGTTAGCTATGAAAATCCAGGTTTGAATTAATTTTTCTACAACACTTAAAAATAGTTATCTATTGAATTCTTGTCTCCAGTATTGCTGTTCGGAAGTTAGATGCCAATTTTGTCTTTGTTTCTTTGTAGGTGTTTTCCTTTTGTTTCTCTCTGAAAGCCTTTGAAATTTTCTTTTTGACTTTATGAATCATAATTTACTATAATAGGTTTAGATTTTTAAAATCTAATTTATTAATATATAAAGCCTTTAATTTCATGGCTTATATCTTTAATTTTTGGAAAATTGTAGTCATTATTTTGCTAAATACATTCACCTCTCTGCATATATTTTCTCTCCATTGGAAAGTCCAGTAATATAAATTCCAGTGATATGAATGTCTATGCCTAGCCTCCATATCTTTTAAATAAATATAGACTCTATAGAGAGACACATACACATATGCTCTATAATTGTAACTGTATATAGTTGTATCTCTATAGTGTTTTTATATACATATGTATACAGATGCTTCTTGACTTACAGTGGGGTTATATCCTGATAATCTCTGCATAAACTGAAAATATCATAAGTTGAAAATGCATTTAGTACCCCTAGCTTACTGAACATCATAACTTAGCTTAACCTACTTTAAATGTGCTCAGAACACTCACTTACCTTAGCCCACAGTTGGGCAAATCATCTAACACAAAGTCTATTTTATAATAAAGTGTTGAACTTATTAATGTAATTTATTAAATATTGTACTAAAAGTGAAAAACAGAATTGTTATATGGGTGCTTGCCATTAGTGTACACAGCTGAATGCACACTGGGCCTGAATAATGTTTGAAGCATTGAACTACAATTAATTACTGGGTGATGGTGATGCTATAATGACAGGATCAACAATTCTTCTTAGCCCAGGAAAATATCAAAATTCAAAATTCAAAGTACAGACTAAATGCATATCATTTTCACACCTTCATAAAGTTGAAAAATCAAGTCGGGACATCATTAAGTTGGGGACTGTCTATATTTAGATGACCCATTAATCCCGTATTATATCTCGTAGGTTGATCAGTTCATTGTATTTCTTTTATAGTTGTTTCACTTTTCTGATATCTTGTTAATTTTACCTAAAACTTATATTCTCCCGGGGTGATTATTCATCTCAGGTGATAGTGTGTCTCTGAAAAGAGGAAATAAATCTGTATTCCCTCTTTGTGTATGTGTTGCCTCAGGGTAGCATGTTTCTGGTGATACAGTCGCTCAGAATTTCTTTAATTTGGGGAACTTTAAAAAAATTACCAATATGGTTGTATGGTTATATGGCTTGATGGTCCACAGTCAATTGGAAGAAACAAATTAAAAGAGAGGTAGCTGCTAAGGATAAGCACATACTATGGTAGCAAGAAATGATAGGTGACATCTTAAAGGGTGGCGAATCCCAAAAATGTGTGCATCCACAGATAGGAGTACAACAAGCAAAATGGTCTGGGACCATCCAATGTAAATTGTCCAGTAGTTTTTGGTACTCCCTCAGGTCATTACTGTATAGTACTTTAGGATAGCATTTTTATTAATAATGCCATCAAGGGAAAGTTAAATACAGAATTCAAATATTATGTTGATGCTGATGAATGAATGAAGGAAATGTATATATACACAACGTCATACTATTCAGCCATAAATCAGAATGAAATTCTGTCATTTGAAGCAACAGGGGATGGAAATGGAGGACATTATGTTAACTGAAATAAGTCAGGTATAGAAAGATAAATACCACATGTTCTCCCTTATATATGGGAGATTTAAAAAGCTGAGCTCCTAGAAGCAGAGTGTAGAATTTGGTTCTTATAGAACAGGAAGGGCAGTGGGGAGGGGAGGACACGGAATTGGTTAATGAATAGACTATTATAGCTAGATAGGTGGAATAAGTTCTACTGTTTTACAGCACTGCAAGATGAATGTTGTTAACATAATTTACTGTATATTTTTAAAAAGCTAGAAGAAAGGATTTTAAATGTTTTCAACAGAAAGAAATGACAAATGTTTGAGGTGAAGGTGAATGCTTGAATGCTAATTACCTTGATTTGAGCATTACACATTATACATGAATAAAAACATCATGCTGTATCCCATAAGTATGTACAATTATTGCATGTCAATGAAAAATAAAAGGAAAAAACCCCAAATATTATGTTGATGTTACAGCATAGATGTATGTATAATAGAGTTTAGAACGATTACCATAAAAATGATTATATTAAATAAAAGGTTTTATGTGTAAAGAGGTAAGCATCAATTATCTGAAAAATTAGTGATATATTTTAGCTTATTCTTTGATGATTCTGGATAAATGAATAAAAAAGAGAACAGATTTCTTGACAATTTCTAAAGAGTTTAAATTAAGGTAGTTTTCCATTAAATGTGACTGTGATTAAAAAGACCTCTTTAAAGATATTTAGCACTTAAATAATGCAGTGTAGCAAACCATCCCAAAACTTAGTGCCTTAAAACAATACTCATGAGTCTGTAGGCAGCTGGGTGGCTCTGCTGTTCTGGGGCAAACTTGGTTGATCTTGGCTGGGCCTGCTTGTGCAGGTCCACGAGGGATTTCCTGGTCTAGTATGTCTGATTCCAATATCTGGCAGTTAATTGCTGTTGGCCGAGATGTTAGGGAGGATTAGGCCATGTGAAGTTCATCATCCAGCTGGCTAATGGGCTTGCTTTACCCTTTCTTTGCTGGGCAAGTTTCATGAGAATAAGTAACAACATCCAGCTTCCCTTGAGGCCTGTCCTTGGAACAGGCACATGGTCACATCTGATATATTCTACTGACCAAAGTAACTCACAATACTAGATTCAAGGGGATGGGAAAATAGACTCCACATCTTGATTGGGAGAAGAATCAAAGTTACGCTGCAAAGGTCAGGGTCATAGAGAGGAGTGAGGAATTATGACAATTATTGCAGTCAATGTACCACATTCCCACTGTGTAAGTAATCAGCTCTATTTAACATAGTAAATTTCTGGATGGAAGAGAGATGAAGGGAGTGGCAGGTGTGAAGTTAGGGACTACTTAGTCATGAAAGAAATATCCATGGCTTGGACATGGGCATTGGTGGAAGGAAGCTAATTGCAGCAGGAGCATCATAGAGGCTGACTACTGCAAAGTACAGTAATGTTTTATGAAGATTAAAAAAATAGTAAACCACTGGGTGGAGACTACAATTTCCAACAAGCACAACTTTGTATACCATGGAACTAACTACCAACTTGTTCACCAATTCATCAGTAAATATTTACTAAGTAATTACCGCAGGCCAAGCACTGTCCTTGTGCCTGGAGGAATACAAAGAATAAGATAGTTTGCTTCAAGATACTTTCTATCTATTAGAAAGATATGATATTCCCCTAAAGAAGGCCAGTGATACAAGTAATAAAATATAACAGACACCAAAATGCAGCCCATAGAGATGGCAATAAAACATTCAGTTCTTTTAAAAGATTTTTGAAAATATGAATATATATATATCTTCAATAATATAATGAAAACCAGGGGAGAAGGAGATTCTCTTTTCATAATTAGGCCACCAAAGTATTTAAATTCCAAAAGTAAGCAATGTTTATATTGAAATTCAGTCACAAATAGTGCCCTACTAAGTGAATTTTCTAGAGATTTGAAAGAATTATTGTGACTTTGAAAATAGCTTCCCAAAGTGTGACTCCATGAATTAAATGTAAGAGACATGACCTAGTTGCCAAATCTTTCGTACTTGAGTCTCTTCACTTGCAAACCACTAACAACAAACTCAATTCATGTGTTGACATGAGAATTAGTTAATAGAAACCATTGCAAATCACTATGGAAATCTTAGGTGCTATGGAACTAGGTCAATAATGAATGCTGGCTTTCTTCCAGTTGCTTCTGAAAGGGAGAAGGAGTTTGATGACAGTTGAATGACCATTTAACCTGCTAATCAGGTGGCTGGAGGGATGCCTGGTGATAAATAGAAGAAGAAAATTTACAGAAGACAGAGATGGGGCAGCAAAAGGGATCAGATGCCATGTTTCCTAACAGGGGCACTGCTGGCATTTTGGGCAGGATGAGCCTTTGTTGTACAGGACTGCCCAGTGTGTTGAGACTATTTGGCATCACTGGCCCCTGTGAGACTAAATGCCAGTACCCCCTCTTCCCTAACTTGTGAAAACAGCAAGAACCCCAATAAGAAATGCAAATTCATTTCCAAACCCTGTGCCTCCTCTGGTTGAAAATCACTGAGACAGAAAGCTAGAAGCCTTTAGCAAACAATTTGCCAGGGGTTTAGAGTGAGTGAGTATGATGATGCAACAATAGGGGAAAGTGGAAGGTCTAATTAGAATGACTGCAATACTTTAGTATTGAGTAGATTTTAGCCAAGTTGATTCATTTTGCACAAGGTTGTTAGATTCTTCTTGAACATTTGTTTTAATCTCATATGGCTCTACTCAAAAGCCTTCAATGACTCCCTCTTGCTTACAAATGTAGACTACATTCCTAGGCCTAACATTTATCTTCCCACCAAAACTCATTTCCCACCCCCCATCTTCCATTTTCTTCTATAGACTTCTGGTTCCAGGTAATGATGACTAACAAAAGAACCTTTAACGATCTAGAATGACAAACACTGAAAATGAAATAATGTTGAATTATTTATAATTGAAGATTGTAAAGAAGAGTTTCAAATGAGGTCAATTCCAAGGCATAGTCTTTGTTGTTCTGATGGTGGCACTTGGGGGTACTCCTACAGCAGTAGCCCCCTCAAGTTGCAGCAGTCCACATTCCCTTTGCAGTTGTCTAACTTAAAATCACCTCGGTAATGTTTTTCTGATCATAGTCCTCCTATCTGGACCACGTACATTTGTTCTGTACCTAAAAGTCTTTGTTTCTGTCTGTTTCTCCATTCATTCCACCTAGTCTTCTCTGCATGAGCTGTCAGTGCAAGGAGACTGAATGCAGTAGTAGATTCTTAATTGAATTCAAGATCTGTTGCTGCTTAAAAAATTTGTCCATCAGAGGTTTCAGGGTCTTTCTTTGTTATCCAGTTGGTATGATTAAAATTCTAGTTAGTATTGTCTTAAAATGAAAAATACCTAAAATATTACACAGAAAATGTACAAATCTAAATACTCTTAGGATTTCTAAGTCATAAATTGAAGCTTGACTTTCTATTCATGGTGGAAATCTGGGACTTATCCATCTCTGTCTCCTTTCCGTAACTAGTTTCCACATCCTGATGATCTAACCTCGTAAATAGTTCTGAAATGTCTTCATTTCTTTTAATCCTACTTAGTTTAGGTTCTTAGTTAAATCTTAGTTTAGGTTCTTACCATCTCTCACTTGGATTGTTACAAATCCAGGTTTATCACCAAATGATCTCTGCTTCTGGACCCTCCTCCCCTCCACCAGAAAACCGTCTTCTACCCAAATGCAAAATTTACCATGTTACTTCCTTGCTTAGAACACTTTGTTGTTTCTCCTTTCATCCCATGGTAAGCTATAAAAGACTTGACGAAGCATGAAGTCCTTTCAAGGTCTGGTACCTGCTTATTTTTCCATTCTCATTCCCATCCCTCCCCGTTACTCTGTTCCCTCTAGTGCTGCCAGAAGACCATTGTTCCAAAATCGCATTATATTTTTTCATGCCTGTATGCTTTTCAATGCTATTCCTTTGTGAATGACTACCCATCCTTTAAGACCTATCTCTGAGGTCACCTCTTCCTGGCAGCCTTTCCTGATCAACCCATCTGGGTTGGATGCCCCTTCTCTATTCTCTATAAGCTCCCTGTGCATTTCTGACTTAGCATCATCACACTGCATTGAAGTGATGTGTCCAGCTGCCTGTTTATCCCTCTTGACTGTGACCTGGAAGCCAAAGACTGTCTCTGATTCATCCTTACATCTGCAGCCCCCAGAACAGTACCTGACATAAAATTGATGCTCAATAAATGTTTCCCGAAAGGTTATATTAAAACTTATAAACTTTATGAATGAGAGAGGCCATAAGGTTGAGAAATATCTGGTGCTTTGTGTTAACATGGACGTTTCAGACATTTTAGACCAAAAGACACATTTTTAATGGTCTCTCTACAGAGGAGTAGACCAAAAGATTCCACGGGCCCTCTGATCTCCCCCCTGCTCAGTAGAGAGAATTGAAGGCAATTCCCTGAGGAAAGCATGTCTAGGATACTGCTGAGGACTTTGCTTCATTAAGAGGTGGTGAGCATTGGTGTTGTTGAAGCCTCCCGGAAATGATTCTTCTCTAGACGTGAGGTACTGCTGAGGGGTGTGTGTGTGTGTGTGTGTGTGTGTGTGTGTGTGTGTGTGTACATGTGCACACAGTGGTGGTGACAACAAGCAGGGTGTTGAAACAGTCCCTGGGCAAACAGAGAGCTGTCTCAATCAATCACTCTGATTGTAATGTGCCTGGGACCTAAATGATTGAGGACTTGATTCATTAATTATGACAGCAAACACTTATTGAGAAGCTACTATGTGCCAAGCAGTATTCTAAGCGCTTTGTGTGCATCAACTCATTTGATCTTCACAAAAACCCCATGAGGCAGGTCCTATTATTGTCTTCATATTATAGATGAGGAAACCAAGGCACAGAGAAGGTAAGCAGTGTGCACAAGATCACCCAGCTAAGAAATGGCAGAGGGAGGAACAATTCCAGGCAGTCTGACTCAACAGCCCAGGTTAAGGTTAACCTGCCATAACCATCATTCTTTCCTGCCTCTTATGTACTGTCATGGTCCTGAGTCAGTGCTGTTCACTCTCTGGGACCTTAAGACTGTACCTGGTCACTAGGAATGGTAAGGAGGTATAACTCTTTGAGGAGAAGTGAAGCCCCCCACACCTGGAGGTCTCTGAGTACTGGGGCAGCCATGGGGAACACCTGCAGACCTGTAATCCTTGGAGGAAAATCTGTAATCGCTGTAATCACTGGCCAGACAGCAGGCTCCCATTGCACTCTCTAGCCCAGGTTAGAAGTCGGAACAGTACTGCAGAAGGCTGGTAGAGTAACCCTGCTAGTCAAGAGAGAGTGGACCAACCCTGTGAGAACCCTTGGAGTGGAATGGAACCTACTGGGGCTGGAGGTGGTAGTGGAGTAATACAGCAAGACCGAGAGGCTAAGTGCCAGGGTCTGTGCTGGAACTCTACATATATTGACTATAATTCTTAGATCAACCCTGCAAGTTGGATATTTGCCCTATTTTACTGAGAAGAAAGCAGTATCAGAAAGGCTAAGTAGCATGCCCAAGTTACAGCATTAGTAAGTCTCTGGAATCCAGTCTACTTACTCCAAAGCCTATCTTTTTAACCTATACCCTTTGCCCCTCCTATATAATGTTTTTGCTTTTCTGTTTTATTTTACTGAATAGAAATTCCTTCTGAATTTCTCAGGGAAAGCTGGGGCCTGACTTGTGGATTACACAGTGGGCATACTTTTCCAGGATCTGAAGAGGGTGTGAGAATCAGATGCATTGTGACATTCCCCATAAAAAAGCAGTGTAGAATGAACTTTTAACCCCTTGGTGTCTGCACTAAGAATTCATCTCAGATTCTTTCTTCCTTTTTCAACGTCTTCACATGCTTAGGAAGTCATTGTGAGCAAAAACAGAGTCCAAGGCCCAGAGTGCCTCCTGCAGGGCCAGAGGGAGGATTCAGGACAGCGGCAGGATGCACAGTCAGCTGTGGGGCTGTGAGGTGGGGCCCTGGAGACCTTCCCATCAGTGAGGGTTTACAGGCTAATCCTGTAGGCAAAGGGCACTCATGGAGCATTGTTGAGGAGGGATGTGATGAAATCAAGATGGTTTAGGTGGATTATTCTGCAGGCATGTGCATGGTGGGTGGGGTGGGGGAGAGACTGAAGGATAGGAGGTATTGCAGGAATAGAGACAATGTGATATGGGGCTGAAATTAGACAATAGAGTGAGAATGGAAGCCAGGGACAGATGGGAAAGGCATTAAGATGCTACAAAGGGAGTAACGAGACTTACTTGATTGTGAAGAATGACAAAAAGTGCCATAAGAGGAGGAAAATAAAGCATCCTAGCAGAACTAGGGGAATCAGAAATGAGAACTTATTTGGGGAGAAAAAGGGTTTACTTTTTTAAACAGTTTTAGCATCTTGGATTTTGGGGGCATATTTTGAAAAGGACTAAATAGGAATTGTTTTTGCTGCAGAGACCATCCCATCCCTTGCCTTTCAGAGACACCATCATGTAGGAAATGTGAATCTTTTACCCATCTCTTCAGGACTCCCGAAGACAGAGATGAGCCTTCTGTTCCCAGTGATCACAGGGCCCCAGGATGAAGCTAGCCTCAAGATAATAAATCAGGTAATTATTTCCATCCTTCCTATGACAATAATGGTGTCGAGGCAGGCAAAAATTCATCAGAGGAAGCTTTGCAAGTCCCCAGGGAGACTCACGATAAAGAGGTTGATTGTCAGAATCTGCCTCTGCAGCATCACACCAGGGCTCTGTAATGACGGCCGAGGGCCACAATGTGCCTCCAGAGTAAAGAATCGTGAAGATGAAAAAGAGAAAGACACCTACATCCTAGCCCAGTGCCCCTCCGAGTCTGTGTGGATGGTCTGGATCAGTAATTAGAAACACAGCACAATAAATATTGAAAGAAGCTCTATAAACATTCTAGAGGACAATGAAATTAGAAATAATAAGCAGATGGGCTTTTATTCAAAGCAAATCATGCCAGATGGACTCAGTACCTCTTTCTTTTTTGCAGTAAAAGTACAAAGTTGGTAGATAAAGGAAAATGGTATGCTTGATGTCATATGTTTGAAGACTGTTAAAACATTTGAGTCTTCCAAGAAGTTTGATTTGCAGAATTGGCTCAGAATGCCTGGAATAGAAGCACATACCTGATAAAAAAAAAAAGCTGGATAAATGCTGCTAATTGGGCAATAGAAAGTACTGGAACAATGGGCTGTTGGGACAGCCTCAGGAGAGGTCTTCTAAGAGACTGCAGAGATCATCAGTTCCAACCCTCTCAGTTAAGAGTAAAGAAGCTCAATCAAAAGGAGACAACGACTTCACAAAAGCAAGGCTAGAAAAAAGGTTACTTGACAATTAGTTGTGCAGTGTGAGTGCTTGGTCTCCTCTTTACCTGGTGTCTCTATTATCTAGGAAAGGAAATAGATATGGTCAAGTCTAGTTTTGAAAGGATCCTAAATACAGAGATACAATAATCGGACCCTGGCCACCAAACCCCATATCAATCATGTCTTCTAAAGAGTGTGGGGCTTCAGACAAAGTGGAGATGGGAGTTGAGAAACAATTGGGAAGTTTTGCCACAGGCTGAGCTCCTGAGGTCCCTGTGAAGTTTTCCAGCCACTTTCAAGGGTATTAATTCATTCTTGCTGTGAAGCACATGTTGCCCATTTTGCAGTGAGAAAATGGCAAAACTCAGGGAGATTTGGAGACTACTCCAATGAAGCCTAAAGCCAGCAAGTACCAGAGTTGGGATTAAAGCACAGGTCCTCTGATTCCAGTTACTTCTATCTCACTCAAATTACACTTTGGTAAAATTCTGTTTTAGGCCCAGACGTCCTTCCTGCCCCTCTATCTCCCCAGAAGTCTCTCCTCTCTCTTGGCTGGGCCCTTATACAGTTTCCAAACGCCTGGCATTTCTAACTGTAAGGCCTTGCCCTCTCAGGAATACTCCACGACCTTCTCCCATTCCCTCCCCATTCTTCCTCAAAACAAATTGATTTCTTTTCCTGTTTCTGCTCAGCTCTTATATATAAACTTTGTCACCCTAAAAAGCATAAACTTCCTATAAACAAATTTCCACTATTGCCTCTACGGATGATCGTTTCACCTTCAGGAAATCATTGCACTTCCCAAGGCTGCTTCTTCATTTAAAAAACAAAAACCAGCCATGATGTCTAGTTTGTGACTTACATTGAAGGAACATATGTAAATCCCATCTAGTCAATGCCTAACATGGAGTGGATGCTCAATATGTATTTATTAAGAGAAATTTAGGCTGAGATCTTTTCTTAAGGCACCTCTCCATAGTTTTTCCTTTCTTATGCAGAGCAATGTATTGCCCCCAAACCCATATCTAAACACCCCACTTTACCCATTAAACAGGGGACCCTCCGGTTGTCAGGATCTAGTCTTTTGAGTGGCTGGCAGTTTGAAGTTGGAGGTTGATTGTTAATAAATGATTTTGTTCCTTTCACACATAATTTTTTTTTCACTGTCAGAGAGTAAAAGAACTTTGCAACAGGCAGATCTGGAAAGGGGAGTCATTGAAGCATAGGAAAAAAATGGAAGCCCACCTTCATTTCTTTTTCCTGCTAAAAAATAGCTCATTGGTCTTCATTGGTCCAAGTTTTCTGCTCTGGGTGACTTCTGGGACAACACTGTTAAATAAAACTCTTGAACTTACTATTGTCTCTTTTTTTCTTTTTGTAACAACCCTAGATGCAGTCTTAGTAGGAAATACCTTGTTTACCATCTGATGACTGTATTATTATTATTATTTTAGTTTATTTATTTTCTACAGAAGGAGCATAGCAGCTAAAGAAATACCTATTTTGGCTGGACGTGGTGGCTCACGCCTGTAATCCCAGCACTTTGGGAGGCTGAGGCGGGAGGAACACTTGAGGTCAGGAGTTCAAGACCAGCCTGGCCAACATGGCGAAACCCCGTCTCTACTAAAAATACAAAAATTAGCCAGGCATGGTGGTGTGCACCTGTAATCCCAGCTACTCGGGAGGCTGAGGCAGGAGAATTGCTTGAACCCGGGAGGCAGAGTTTGCGTTGAGCCGAGATAGTGCCACTGCACTCCAGCCTGGGCAACAGGGAAAGACTCCGTCTCAAGAGAAAAAAAAAAAAAAAAAAGCTTATTTTTCCCCTCTCCTCACAACAGGAATAAATTTAGTAAATATTTGAGAATCATAACTCTAAATGTTGCTGAAACACATTGTCGCGCAGACATCTATCACTAAGAAATATCATTGCACAGAGTGCAAAAATATATGACTTACATTGCTATCTAATCACATAAGAACTCTGAAAATGGCAGCTATTATTATCACTATTTTGCAGATAAGAAAACTGAGGTGCAGAAGAGATTAAGTGACTGACCTCTTGCCTAGTTGGTAGCAAAGTCAGGATTTGAACTCAGGTCTGTCTGCTTCTGTTTTTCTGTTAATCTGTATTCAGGATCTATGCTTCTCATGTAATACTTTATCATTATATAAGGCTTTTGACTTTTAAAATATAGCAGAGAAAAGACTTCTTTGCTCTAAGATAGAGTAAGAAGAAGTCACAGATTCTGAAAAGAAAGTGCCAATGGTCATTGATTGGTGAGGGGTAAAATGTTGTCCTTGAGATGTTTTTCTCCAGGACTGTCCTTCTAGGTCCCCTTCCTCCCCCAGTACTTGACCTGGTTTACCTTGACTAGTGTGCTATTTCAGGGTTTATGCTCCTGGTTTCAGATGCTCCATTTTTTCCCCTATCCAGCTAGAGACTTAAACCAAGTCAGCACAGTTACTGGGTTCCCACATTGTGCTGGTGCTGAGGATATCCTGTGAACAGGAAAATCCTTTCCCTTTCCTTCTAGGAACTTATGGTCTAGCAGCAGAGATGAAGGAGTAAACAGACAATTTCCATTAAGTGGTGATCACGGGGAGCAGCACAAGCACATAGGTCACATAACACAGCCTTGGGAGCTGGGGAACACAGGCTAAGGAAGTGGCCTGTGCAGAGGCTAAAGGAGGAGTAGGCTAGCCTGGAGAAAGCCAGGGTAGGGCAGAGGCTACAAAGCCTCAGAGGCTATAGAAAGCATTTTAGATGTAGAGAATGACTTTAGTGTTTTTTCTTCTGATTTAGAGCTGGAATATTCCAGAAAAAAGTTCATCCCTCCCCATACCCTAGTGTATCGGTCCGTTTTCACACTGCTGATAAAGACATACCCGATACTGGGCAATTTACAAAAGAAAGAGGTTTAATGGATTCACAGTTCCACGTGGCTGGGGAGGCCTCACAATTGTGGCAGGAGGCAAAAGGCACATCTCACATGGCGGCAGACAAGAGAAGAGAATCAGAGCCAAGCAAAAGGGGTTTCCCCTTATAAAACCATCAGATCTCATGAGCCTTATTCACTACTACCACGAGAACAGTATGGGGGAACTGCTCCCATGATCCAATTATCTCCCACTGGGTCTCTCCCACAACATGAGGGAATTATGGGAGCTATAATTCAAGATGAGATTTGGGTGGGGACACAGCCAGACCATATCACTGCACATAGGCCACTGCACATATTCTCTGGTTCTAAGATTAGATAGATCTCCTCTCCTGCCCCTGCTGGTAGTGTTTGCTGGGGTCCAGCCTCCTCCCCACTGCCCAGGTGCTGATTCCTACAATGAGGCCATTTTAGTACTTTAGTAACTGAAGAGCTCTGTGCCACATTTGCTTCATCTAGAATTCAGCTCAAAACAAGTACTATTACATCTGGGAACTGCCAGTGTCTTTATCTGGCATATATCTTTACTCAGTGATGAGGAGGTACTTAGACAATGGGGTAGGCTGTGAGTCTCAGTTTATATGACTTTTTTTAAATAAAGAACATCCAAAGTGGCTTTTAGTCACTTAATTATCATGTTTTTTCTTAAGTTTCCCATGGCTAATAGTAAGCAAATTCTGTGTATATTTTTTTTCTCTGTAATCTTTCACTGCAATCCCAAGTTGAAAGTTTTTCCTTCCCTTTTTTTTGTGCTTCTTGGATAGATTGCATTAATTCTTTAGAAAAGGAAAAGATTAGGTTTTTGTATCCCATAATTAGCATTACGCCGAGGGAGGCAGAAGCTGGAGCTTATGGAAGAAGGCCTGGGACAATGGCTTCATGCTCATGTGTGACCTGCACACCCACTCTGAGCCAAGGCGGTGGGGCAGCCTTGCTTGGCTTGAATCTTCAAGTCTGTCATATTAGTATCTTTGCACTAAAGATAGAAATTTTTATATTTTCCTATATGCTAGGACAGGTCTCTCCAAGTGTCCTACCTATTGTCCCTAAAGCAAAAATATTCTTTACAATATGAAATATGGCATGCACAACTTTTTCTGGTTCTCTTTGTCTCCCCCCACCCCCCCAAGATTTAACAAAGTAACTCTGAAATCAACTTTCGCAGTGAAATGAATCTGCCCAAGGAATATTTTTTACCCTGAAGAATAATAACTCCCCTAAGAGTGGAACACTTTCCATTTGCAGAGCTTTATTATTGTTATTCGGGACTGATGGACTGTCAGCGGTTTCTGCCAGAAACAGAAATGCTAATCAGGGCCTTCAGCAGGGTGGCACTGGGGGTTCACACTTCTACACTTTGTTTAGGCTCATGGGGATGATGGTTTTGCTGACTCTTGTTTTTGCAAGCCCTTCTGGAGTTGTGGCCTGTAAGAAACTCTGGCAATCGAGAGAATGGAGTTCTGATAGATGTAGTGCATTTTCTACCAAATTACATTAGCATATAAAACTTGGATTATTGATTCTTTCTTTACTTGTTGTGATTTCTGGGCAAAAGTCCAGTTTATAGAAGGAAAGAGAATATACACACACTTGAGAGTAGTTTATTTTTTCTTGATTTTAGAGACTGGTGCCATGACTCAGAAAGGTAGTGTGATTTTGCACTGTGATGCACTCTAACATCTGCATTAGGCTGTGCTCAAGCCTTCCGTGGTACCGTCCTTTCATTTTGGATCCAAACTGGACAGGAAGGAAAGGGCAGCACACCATCTGCCAGGGGCAACAGAGTACCTACTACTTGTTTAAGCACCTGCTGGTGTCAGGCAGTTGATGGCACTGTACTGAAAGTATCTCCTTTGGTACATAATATCCTCATTTTGCAGATGAGGAAACTGAGGCTCAGTGAGGTTAAGTGACTTTTGTTTCAGGTCACCTAGAAGAAAGTGCAAGATTAGTAGCTATTAGCTTTGGAAAATAATTTGAAAATGCCTCAAAAGGTGAAACAGAGTTACAGGATGACCTCGCAATTCTACTCCCATATATATATATACATACCTAAGATAATTAAAAACATAGGTCCACACAAAGATTTGTACACAGGTGTTCATAGCAGCATTATTTATTTTAAGACAAGGTCTCGCTCTGTTGCCCAGGCTGGAGTGCAGTGATGCAATCATAGCTCACTGTAGCCTCAAACTCTTGGGCTCACAGGATCCTCCCACCTCAGCCTCATGAGTAGCTAGGACTACAGACATCTGCCACCATGCTCAGCTGATTTTTGTATTTTTTTGTGGAGATGGGGTGTTGCTATGTTGCCCAGGCTGGTCTCTAACTCTTGGCCTCATGTGATCCTCCTGCCTTGGCCTCCCAAGGCACTGGGATTATACGCATGCAGAATTATTAATAATAGCCAAAAAGGAGAAACAACTCAAATATCCACCAACTAATAAAAGGCAAAATAAAATAAGGCTATCCGTACCATGGAATATTATTCAGCAATAATGAGAAATGAAGTATTGGCACATGCTAAGCTTAGATGAACTTTGAAACCATCATGCTAAGTAAAACAAGTCACTCACAAAGACCACATATCGTATGGTTCCACTTATATGAAATGTTCAGGACACACAGAAAATAGATTAGTGATTGCCAGGGGCGTGGATGGGAGGAGAGCTTGGGGCAAATGGGGAGTAATGGCTATGGGGTTTCTTTTTTGGGTGATAAAAACATCTCCCAAAATTGATTCTAAGTTTGGTTCTAAACTGGTTTCTAAATACTAAATTGGTTCTAAAATTGATTGTACAGCTCTGAATATACTAAAAAACATTCATTGTACATTTGTAATGGGTGAATGCTATGGTATGTGAATTATGTCTAAATAAAATTATAAAAAAATTTAATGGCTGCTACCCACTGCTTTTATACAGGGAGGCAGTGGCCACTTAGATTGGGGAGTAACTTGAGATGCTCCTAATGTACCCATGTACCAAATAACAGCAGCAGCAGCATCTAACTTTTGTAAAGCATTTAATAAATGCCTGGCACTGTGCCATGCACTTTACAGACATCATCTAACGTCATCATCATTGTTCTTACCCTTATTTTCTAGAAGAGTTTTAGATCTAGAAGAGGTTTAGAGCAGTTTAACAGTTTTTTTTTAAGGTCACATAGCTAGTAAGTGCTAAGCTGTCTTCTACGGAATAAAAACCTTGGAGACAGGTGTGTTTATTTGTCTAAGTCTCAGCATCATATAGTAGCAGCAAAGAGAATAGGATCTATGGCTAGATGGCCTGGCTTTGAATCAGGATTCTGCTTCAGCAGCCTTGTGTAAATGTGAGCAAGTTGCTCAAACTCTGTACTCCAGTTTTGTCATCTGTATAATGGGATAATAAAGGCATTAAACTCACAGAGTTGAGTGAAATTCAGAGATAACATGTGGAAAGCATCTAGAACAGTGCCTGGCATATACAGTAAGTGCTCAACAGCTGTGAACTGTTATATACCATCTCTGTTGGAGGATGGGAGTACAGGAATGAATGAGTCACAGACTGTAATCAGCTGCAGACAAGGAGGAAGACAGATGGAGACATCATTGAAATAGGGAGCCACGGGGAAGGCAGGCGGGAGGCAGAGTAGCACACAGGCGGGGTGACTAATGATGAATTAGGGCCACTCCTGTGGTCCCAGATCTTTGGTCTTTCAGGCTCTCGTTTGCCGTGGCAGGATTTTCTTCCCTTTCCCTCAAGGGTTCAGGCATACACAAGAGTTATGAAATCTGGTTGTGGAGTTTCAGGATTGTGTTTTTCCTGACAGTTGGGTCAGGAAATTAAACACTTGAAAGCACAGAGCAGAGAGAGTAGAAAAAGTCTTTTATTTGCGTTTCTTGAATATTTAACGGTAGTTAAGTCCCGAGGCAAATATAATAGAAACTTGATTAGGAGATAAAAATCATGAAAGAAGAGAGCATGAGGTGTGTTCATACGCAGGATGAGTGCTTTCTCATATTCTAATTACACTGAGCCTTAGGAATGTGTAGGAGATTAGCTACTGCTGCACAAGATCTGTAAGATTTATAAGTATATGTATTTGGGTACATGCATCATATATAAAAGTTGAGATGGAGCAGAGAGAGGGAAAAAAAGAGGGAGAGAGAGAGATTGAATTTGAAACAGGAAACCAAGTTTCCAAATCTGAAGGGGCAGAAGGGAGCACAAAATACGTGGAGGAAATGTTTGATGTACATGCTCACGTCTTAGTTCCCAGCACAGCGTCTGGTCCATAATAGGCATTCAGCAAATATTTGCTCAATCTGAATAAATAGACGGTGTTTATTCTAGTTGGTACATTGAGGATAACCTCAATGACCTTCAGATTCTGAACTTAGGTATCCCCTCTGAGAATTTATCAGAAAAACAAGCAATAAGTGAGACCAACGTTGTGAGGTATTAACTCGGAACCGTCATCTATCCTTGTGGAGAAAAACCCGGAGGACTTGGATTAGGACCCAATAGTCTACCTTGGCGGCAGGTGAGAATCACCTGGGGAGCTTTTGAAACATGAGGCTGCCAGGCTGGACCTCACTCCAGACCAATTGAACCAGAATCTCTGAGGCGGGGCCTGGGTGTTGGTAATTTTCCTTTGAAACACTCCCCAGGTGATTCTAATGGAATCTAGGAGTGAGAATCACTGGGGGAAGGCATTTGTAGATGGGAAGGCTGGTGGCATCTGCTAGAAGACTTGATGTGTACTTGGCCAGAGATAAACCACAGGTCTGGCCTGAATGGGTGTGGAAATGTGTCAGTCATGTTTTCAGATTTCCAAGGTCATTTTCCAAGAGACCTCTGTGAGCTTGGACTGGATAGCGCAGCACAGGGCCAGCGATGGCAGCTGGAAGGGTGGCTGCCTAGGAAGGAGGTAAGCTTTAATAACTGAAATAGATGCTGCACTTTCATCTACTTAATTGCTATGATTTGAAGTCTCCCATAGCCTGAAACGAGGTACCCAGGGGAGGGTGTGAGAGAAGGGGAGGGTACTGAGGGATCCTGGGGCCCCTAGACCTTATCTCATGGAAGGTGCTGGGCTGGGTCAGCAGGACTCAATTGCCTGCTGCAAAGGCCTCAGTGCTCCCCAGAGATCCGGCTCCCCACAGAGGCACTGACTGCACCACACCCTGAGATCTCACTGCCGGTCTACAGCAGGACCATTAAGATAATCAAAGAGTCTCTGGGGAGTTTGTGGAGCGTGACTGTGACCACGGGAGCATATTTTATTTTGCCTTGAACCAAACTGCTAAGGAAGAATTCTCTTACATTTTCAACAGAAAGAGGGTATCAGTCAGCCAAATAGCCCTGAGCACACTTCTAGTTAGCTAACAGCATCCCAGAAAAATAGACCTGAAGTTTCTATAAGCAGCCTGTCTCCTTCGAGACCAAAGCTTTCTCTCAGTCAGGGATGTTGTTGGGCCCCATAGTAAATTTGGGGAGACCAGGGAAAATCCAGGCTCAGGAGAGGTAAATTTTCACTGTGCTTGAATCAGGAGAATCTGATTATCAACATCAACCCTTCTCTAAAATGAATTTAAACCAACATTTAAACATGCTTCCTGCCACCTGCCCCCACTCTATAGAATTTTTCCTCGACTCTCCCCACCCCCCTACTCTCTTTCCTTCCAACAACTCCATTTCAACCACACGCACTTGATAGAATATCACACACAGGCACATTTATTATTGACCAGCTTCTTTATCTCGGATAGTATGTCATGAGTAGTCAAGACTATAGCTCTTGAAGGTAGTTTCATAGATTTAAGATGAAGAAACAGTATCCATATAGTTCCAGAGTCAAGGTAGTCTAATAGCCAGTGAAAAAATACAAGCTGTTGGAGAGTGGAAGTTTACTCATGGGAGCTGGCTTGGACTTTAGATATGAAACATTTGATTTATAGTTTCTATTTCTCTCTGATAGAAAACTCTGCTAACCCTTATTGGAAGGTCGAATGTGTTGGGTTCTTTAGCTGAGGTAGCTGTTAAAATTTATTTCACATTCAAGGAAAGGGGCTCTTGTTATTAACCATGTTCCCATTTTAATTATGATTTTCCTGGCATCATTTTTAACAAGAATAACCTAAGGCCTGCAAGGAGTGATTTCCCCTAATCACTTCTTAAACCCTCCCTCCCCACCCCCAACTAACTGCTATAGCTACAGCTACACAGATGAAATGAAATGGAGACTTGAGCAATTACCTGGTGGATCTGAACAGTGTGGAGTCAGCAGTCAATTAGAATAGTTCAATTACAAAAATCCTTTTTTCTCCCTTCTTCTTTTCTGCTATAGAATTATCACCTTAACTCTTCCTCCTCCACCCACCCTGTGTTGAGGCCTCCTTTCTCATCCTTCTGCTTCCGTTGGCCCCAGACCCCTCTCTACTGGATGGCCCTGGCTCCTCTGCCAGCCTAGCCCTCATATCTATTCCTTTTTGGGGAGAGGCCTCGAATTCCTCCTCTCCCAATTGGATGGGCTTAAGATGGGGAACCTTGTGTTACGCTGACCCCTGAACCCTCACATCATTTCCCAGGTGTCAGTGTACCTTCAGAAAGCCTGTGCCTGAGGTCCTGAGCCACATCCCCCTGGCCTTCCATGTTGCTATTCTGAGATTCTCTTTGCACACCCCGTTGGCTACCCAGATCCATTCACCTACGGGGACACTACTTATTCTTGCCAGCTTCCTTCACCAGGGAGTGAGCCTGACCCTAGTCCAGTATGATGAGAGTGCCTGCCCCCAGACACAGAAGTCACAGATATGGGTGCCAGTAGGCCTTCTGAGTATGGCTGTACCTCCTGCCAACTGGGGCTCCAAGGACTTCCTCTTCACCACAGTGGCAAACACTTGCCTGGATGTTGATTACAGATAGATAGCCAGTCCCATCTTTGGATGATTCTCACTGTCAGCCATGTCTTTCTCCTTAGCAGAGGTCTCAAGCACCTCTCCTCTGGCATGTCTTGCTGGGAATATGATCCACCATACCAGATATGTATTCATCTATTCAGCCATTTAACACGTGTTTATTAAGCACTTACTATGTACCAAGCTTTCTGCTAGATGCTGGGGAAAACAACTTACAAACCCTTATTTACTCTTACATACGTATTCATATGTACCTTTAAGGAATGAGTATTAATTTGCCAGCAATGCCCTAACAAAATACCACAAAGCATGTTTAAACTTGGCTTAAACAACAAAAAATTTATTTCGTCACAGTTCTGAAGGTTAGAAGTCCAAAATCAAGGTATTCGCAGGGTTGCTTCCTTCTGAGGTCTGTGAGGAAGAATCTGTTTCAGACTGGAACACTACCTTTCACCATTAAACAAAAATTCACTCAAGATGGATTAAAGATTTAAATGTAAGACCTCAAACTATAAAAATCCTAGGAAAAAACCTAGGAAATACTATTCTGGACATTAGTCTTAGGAAAGAATTTGTGACTAAGTCTTCAACAGTGATCGCAACAAAAACAAAAATTGACAAATGCAGACCTAATTAAAGAGCTGCATAGCAAAATAAATTATTAACAGAGTAAACAGACAACCTATAGAATGGGAGAAAATACTTGCAAACTATGCATCTGACAAAGGTCTAATATCCAGAATCTATAAGGAACTTAATGCAACAAGCAAAAAACAACCCCATTAAAAAGTGGGCAAAAGACATGAACAGACACTTCTCAAAAGAAGACATACAAGCAGCCAGCAAACATAAAAAAATGCTCAGCATCACTAATCATCAGAGAAAATACAAATCAAAACCACAATGAGATACCATCTCATACCAGTCAAATGGCTAGTATTAAAAAGTAAAAACAAAACAAAACAAAACAAACAGATGCTGACAAGGCTCTGGAGAAAAGGGAATGCTTATACACTGTTAGTGGGAATATAAATTAGATTTCCACCATGGAAATCAGTTTGGAGATTACTCAAAGCACTTAGAACAGAACTACTATTCAACCCAGAAATCTCATTCCTGGGTATATATATCCTAAAGAAAATAAATTATTCTACCAAAAAGACACATGCACATATGATACAGAACATATGATGCACCTATGTTCTACCAAAAACAACATATGTTCATCACAGCACTATTCACAAAGCAAAGACACGGAATCAACCTAGGTGCCTATCAGTGGGGGATTGGATAAAGAAAATGTGGTACATATACCCCATAGAATACTATGAAGCCATAAAAAAGTGAAATCCTGTCCTTTGCAGCAACGTGGATTCAGCTGGAGGCCATTATCCTAAGCAATTTAATGCAGGAACAGAAAACCAAGTACGGCATGCTCTCATTTGTAAGTGGGAGCTAAACAATGGGTGCATAGGGACATAAATATGGCAACAACAGACACTGGGGACTACTAGAGGGAGGAGGGAGGAGCAGGACAAGGACAAGGGTTGAAAAACTACCTGTTGGGTACCCACAGTGTCACACAATATATGCATGTAACAAACCTGTACATGTACTCCCTGAATCTAAAAAGTTGAAATTATATATATAAAATGAAAGTATAGAATAAATTAATAATATAATCCACTGTATAAAAAAAAAAGAAAAAAATCTGTTTCAGGTTCCTCTTCTAGGATTGCTGATGACCATCTTCTCCCTGTGTCTCTTCACGTCATCTCCCCTCTATGCATTTCTTTGTCTGTGTCCAAATTCTCACTTTTTTATAAGGACACCAGTCATACTGGATTAGGAGCCCACCCTACTTGTGACCTTAACTTAGTGAATTACATCTGTACTGATCTTATTTCCAGATAAGGCCACATTCTGAGGTACTGGGGGTTATATCATTTTTGGGGGACACACATTGTTCAACCCATAACAGTATGCATCATTTTATGGGGCAGTAATGATAGAGATGTATATGTACAGTGCAGACCTAGTAAAGGGAGTAGACACTTTTTTTTTTTCAGGGCAGACACATCCTCAAGAAAGCTAATATGAAGCCACAACTATGTTTCAGGAACTATTTTTGTTTATTGATCACTTATTATGTGCTAAACACCATTTAGTAATTTACGTGTGTCAACACAATCCTATGAAGAAGCTGAGCCACAGAGAGGTTAAGTAAACAGTCCCAATGCACATAGGAAGGGGCAGAGTGGCAGATCAGGTGTATTTTGCAGGAACTGAATTACTTATACTGTCTTCCCCTACCTCCCTGAAACACCAGGCTCTGCCCATTGAGGATCTGTCCATAGTTTAAGACCCTGGCCCTGACAGGGACCAGCTTACATGGATGATTAGGCGTGAAAGCTGTCTGAGTCAGGCAAAGCAGAAGCCTCATTGTGCCAAACTTCCTAATCCCCTTGGTCAGAACCTCTGTCCCCATGCACCCTTAAAATAGGCACTTTCCAGTCTATTTCAGGTGCTGTTTATTGTCTTCTTGGTATCTTTCAAACACGATTATCATATTCATTTGGTTATCTCTAGAGTGTAAGCCCCATGAAGGGAGGGACTTGTGTTGTCTTCTTTAGTGCTGCATTGCCAGTGCCTAGCAATGGCCCAGAGAGGCATTCCAGAAAGACTTCTGGTAAATGGATTGTGCTATATATCAGATTTCTTTGGGGTCTTCTCAGAAATTAGACTTCATTAAAAAAATAAGCCCTAGGTGAAAAATGCCTCTACGAACTTGTACATTAAATTACTGAGTAAAAATGAGGCACTTAAAGCATCACAGCTGGTCTCTAGCCCAGGCATGGAGGCCACTGAAGATGTGGCTGTCTGCACCAAAGTCATATTACTGAATTCATTGATAATTATCCTAAGTGGAGCAAATAGCCCTCATACAACTCTTGAGCATAGCTGTAAGTTTTATTTTCACTTAAAGTATTGACTTCCCATCCAGGGATCCATCATCCTTTTTTTTTTTTTTTTTTTTTTTTTGTAACAGTGGCCCACTCCCATTGCTTTGTGGAAACAGGCCACGCGTTCAAGGCAAACTTGACTGTACAGAGCTCACAGTGGGGTGGGTACTTCACGGACACTCTCTGAACTGCTAAGGTGGTAGAGCAAAGCAGGTGGAGTTGGGAGTTGGAAGGCCTGTGTGCTCACCCTGGCCCACAGGCAGCTCATAATTTATGTTGAGATTGGGTATCCCACTTGTAAGAAGGAGTAAATAATTTCTGCCCTGTTTGCCTCACATACTATTGCAGGGTTCAATTAAGTTAATGCACAGAAAAGCACTTCGGACTCAGAATTTACATATGTAAAGAATAATTACCTGGGAGCAACGTGGCAAGAACAGGAGTGGTGGCATCTGATAGACCTGGGCTTAAATCCCAGTTCTACTCACCCTGCTGTGACTTTAGTTATCTATAAATCTCTTTGATTTTTTGTCATTTGTTTTATCATCTGTAAAATGGGGAGAACAATACCAGCCTTGCATGATTATGAGAGTCAAAGGGAATAATATTTGGAAAGTTCTTGGCACATAGTAGGTGCAGTGGTAACTTTTTTGCTGCTCATTTTAGTTTGTCACTTAATCAGAGAGTGTCATTGTATTAGTTTTCTGTTATTGCCATAAACTATCACACACTTAGCCACTTAAAACAATACAAATTTATCATCATGTATTTATAGGTCAGAAGTCCAGTGGGCTTGGCTGGTTTCTCTGGCCAGGTCTCACAAAGTTGAAATCAAGGTGTTGGCAGGCCCAGGGGATTATCTACTTTCAGACTTATTCAAGGCATTGGTAGAGTTGAGTTCCATGTGATTGTAGAATTGAGGTCTCCCAGCTGGTGGCTGGGGATTGTTTTCTGTTTATAGAGACCACCCACACTACTTGGCTTGTGGTCTCTTCCCCCTTCTTAAAAGCCAGCAATGGTGGGTTTTGTCCTTCTCATTCTTTGAATGTCTCCTCTGTTTCCCTTTTCTGCTGCAGCTGACTCTTCTGTCTCCTCTACCCCTTTAAGGGCCCCATGATTATGTTGTGTGTAATTTCATCTGCAAAGCCACGTAAGCATATTGTGCCAAGGTAACACATTCACAAATTCCAGGGGATAAAAACATGAACATCTTTTGCTGGGGGTGGGGTGGAGCGGGATTATTTTTTCTACCACAACCATATGTTGATATCCGATGTTCTCATATTATTAATAATGTCTCCTCAACAAGATCTAATATTCAAAGTACTTAGCTCAATGCCTGGCGTAGAGTAAGCGCTTGGCCAATATTAGTTTCTATTTTTGTTGTTGGTAAGCAGATGACAATAAGTATCTTGTTTTTTTCTACAGGTTCTAGCAAATCCACCTGGCTAAGGGATGCATCTTCCTTTACTACTCATTGTCAATTCTCTCCAGAAAGTCTTTCTGACCCCAGTCCTTGCCCACCAGGCTGGATTCAGTGCCAGTCCTCTGTGTTACAGCATCATAGAACTTCCCTTGTTCAGCTGTCCATTACCCTATAACTCTTTCACCAGATTGTGCTTTTTGAGTACAGAAACTGACATTTCTGTATCATTTAGTAGAGTGTCTGGTACATAGTACATGCTCAAGAAATGCTTATTGAATAAATGAATGATGGGAAAATTTATTATATACTTAAAAATTTTTGATCAAATAATTACTGGTTGGAAAGTATCCCTTAAACAACACAAATATTGAAATATTCAGTGAGAGGAAAATCTATGCATATCAATACTGTGCTTCCTGAGAATTATCTTTACACAGAAGACTTCTTGAAAAATAAATAAACATTGTGTTTGTGAATTGTCCAGGCCTGGATCTTGAGGAGGAAGGCACTTCTGAAATAGCTGCAACTCCCGGTAAGTATTGTACTTGGAATTCACTGAATGATTGTGACACTTTTTTTTTCTGAATGCATTAGGGAACAAACAAAGAGAGTATTGAAATAAAGCCACATCATCTTGGCTTCTCATTTGCTTCCTTACTGGGACTTATTATATCTAACAGCAAAACTGAACCCTAGTGTTATTTCTCTTGGAAATTCACGAGGAGCTCTTCCTTCTGTTTTTTTTTTTTTTTTTTTTGTCTCACACATTGAATACTCATTTTCTGTCCATTTTGTGAAGTGTCTTAACAATACTGCAAGTAGTTAGTGACCAATAATAATCAAATAAGAGCAATTTTCATAGGGCCATTAATATTGCCATGTGTGTTTTCCATATTTTAGAAGTTTCTCAATTTTGGTTTGTCAGCCTGCCCATGTGATTCCAGATCAGCCAAGGAGGCCAGGCTCCTCTTGCTTGGGCCAGGATCACTTAACAGCTGTTTTGAGCTTGGCTGGTCTTTTTGCAATAATTGCTCCCACTAAGGGACTTTGATCTTTTGATATTTATTTTTAGATACAATATAGTCACCATTATTTTAAAGGAACAGTTTTATTATCTGAAACAAACAACCACAAATGAAAAATTGGAGCCAAATCACAGGCCTCAGGACCCAGATGAGGAATAAAGAAAAATTGTTTATAGCCATAAATGCTTTCTTTGCAGCTTTCCTTCTGTCTATTGGGCTGGGTCACATTTTCTACCATCACAGAATGGTGATTAGACATCAGATTATATCTTGATATTACAATGGTACTGCCCTCTATTGGAAGTCTGGGAATCCTAATTTCCTTTGGATTCAGTGCTCCATTTTGAAATCACAGTCCAGCTCAGGTAGCAGGCTCACATATAACATCGAAGGGTTGCAATGAAGTAATTTCTCAATGGCTCCTCTGGTTGAACATGCTTGCACAATTATTTTAAACTCAGCAAACATTTGTTGAACACCTATGATGTGCCAGACATTGTGCAAGGAACTCAATAGATGCAGAGATGTCTAAAACACGGTTCGTGATTTCAAGAATCTTATGACCTGGTACAGGAGACAGACTTTTATATAAATAAATAGAAAGGAATCTGACTTCATGGAGTTCTGCAATTCCAAGGAATTTTAAGTGGTATGTGGGCAGATGCATGGCCAAGGAGAATTAGGACTTACTACTGGACCAGTCATTGGCTCAGTGCCTGGCATACGGTAGATACTTCATAAGTGGGGTATGCATGATTTGGAGAAGGTGATGTAATTAGGACGGAGGGGTCTGGAAGGGCTGTACAGGAAGGGATGCAGCCAGAGCCTCACTGACATCTTCCTCTCCTGCTCATACTCTGAGCAATCCTAGAACCATGGTGGATGACTTTAGCTGCAGCACAGTACGAGAACAGAGTGATCAGGAGTGATGCACTGACAGAGCATCCAGCAAGGCCTCTTTCATTAATAAACTATTAATAAACACAACAGACTGATGTGCCACACATAGCAGTACTATTTGAGCCTGAATATGCCTATAGGGCAGCACACCTTGAGTGGACAGTGGGTGCTAAAGAGCCATTTATACAAGTAATGTCACTCTCTTGCCTGTCCTAGAGTTCTTGCTCCATTGTAACCTCTCTTGAGGAATTCACTCCTCCACTGAGTCTCTGAAAAAAGAAAAGCTTTATCTATCAATGAGCAAGCTCTATAGCAGGGTTTATAGGCCTTCCTTGACCTGGGCCCTGACTACCATCTCTATCTCCTCTCCCAGAACTCTCCCACCTTCCTCCAACCGATCCAAGCTGTTATTAGTTTCTTCTCACACTTTCATGCCTTTGCACTGCCTTTCCCTCTAATTGGAATAGTCTAGTTTTTAATCTAAAGTTTCTACTTATTCTTTAAGACTTAGCTCAAAGGCCACTTTTTTTTGGAAAGCATTTCTTTGCTTTTTTAGACTACAAAAACATCTTCTGAATCTCCATAACACTAGGTCATGTGTCTGTCCTACTGCTTACTGCAATTCTCCAACTATTTGGTTATATATCTGTTTCCCTAGAGGTCAAATACGGTGTCCTATTAGTCATTTTAGCCCCAGGGGGTTAATATATTATCTGGAACATAGCTAACATTTTGTGAATACTTTTCTAATAAACGAAGTGGATTTGGCAAAAAACTCTGTGTTAAGAAAGGTCTAGTGAAATATTTTTCATCTTTCATTTATAAGTATCTATAAGGTAAGATAGGCCCATTGTCCACAATCTGCATTAATAGATCTCAATAACTGGCAAAGGAAGAATGCTCCCCAGAGACCAGGAGAGAGAAAAGGCCAAGTGGGCAAAGCCAGGGCCCTCTTTAACAGACAGGGAGGACAGAAAGGATGGGAACCCTTGTTCATAACTGTTCCTGTGAAATATCCCACAAAAAGGAATCTGTGCTAGAATTATTTTGGGAAATGCGATTTACTCTTTTCTATTTCATTATTTACTCATCCTATTATTTAACAAGTATATTTTAAATGTCTACTATTTGCCATACATTGTTCTCAGCACTGGAAAGATGGCAGTGAACAGCATAGGTCATGGTTCCTGCCCTCCCAGAGTTTACATTCTAGTGTGAGACACAAGCCATAAACAAAATAAGAACTTGAACTGGGCAGTGTTTTACAGAGGGGTATTAAGTGCTATGGAGAAAAGAAGTGGGAAAGCTTTTATTGGAAGTGGTGGGGAGTGGAGTATGGGAATTTTGAATAAGAGGTCAAGGAAGTTCTCACCAAAAGGTTGCATCTGAGTAAAGACCTGAAAGAAGAGAAGGAGTGAGGTAGGTGGATGTCTGGCTAAAGAGCAATCAGGAAAGAAGGAGCTGTGAAAGTTCCATGTTTAGAGGAACAGCACAGGGCCCAGTGTATTTTCAGCCCAGGAAGGGAGGGAGGTGAAGATGGGAGATGTAGGTGGAGAAGTCATAGAAGAGCAATCATTTGGGGTTGTAGGTAAGAACTCTGGATTTCATCTGAGTAAAAGGGGAAAGCCATTGCAAGGTTTTGAAGAAAGAGGTGATATTACCTGTTGTGGCAAGTGAGGCAGTCAACCTAGGTGTTGGGCTGAGAGTAGACTATCGGTGAAGGGCAGAGGCAGGGACACCATTTGGAAGGCTTCTTAAATGGTCCAGGTGAGGGAAGATGGTGGCTTGGGCCAGGGTAGTGGAGTAAAGTGGTCAAATTCTGGATATATTTTGCATGTAGAATGGATAGGATTTGCTGATGGATGAAACAGGAGGCGAAGAAGAAATAGAGGAATCAAGAATGACATTAAGATTTTTGGCCTGAGTAACTTGAAGAATGAAGTTGACATGAACTCGTGGTGGGGGAAGACTGAGTGAGGAGGAGTTGAGGGGATATCAAGTTAAGTTTCAGACGTTTATTAGACATCTCGTGGAAGACCATGAATAGGCAGTCAAGCAATCAGAGGACAGGTATGGGCAGGAGATGTAAATTGAACAGTCCTTATCATGAAGACAGTATTTAAAGCCAGGAGACTAGGAGAGGTCACCCAGAGTATGAAAGTAGGCCAGGAAGAGAAGAGAAGAGAAGAGAACCAAGAACTGAACTCTGAGATGGATTTAGAGTCCCAGCTCTTGAATTCTCATCTCTGACAGTCCTTGAAGAAAAGAAACAGGTTTAACTTGGCTTTTCCCAATGTATCGGATGATGGAACACCCTTTCCCCTATAGAACTGTGGAATTTATGTTCCACTGAACACTTTTTGGAGAAGGCCACTCTAGGCTTGGAAGTTATCCTAGGGCCATAAGGGAAAGCCTTTTTTATCCTCTACTAAGAAGTTTGGACTTTGTCTCCCAGGTGTTGGTAGTTCACCAGTGAATTTTTTTTTTCTTCAACACAAGAATAGTGGTGTTCTTTATTTACCTTTGCATATTTTTTTTCTTCTCTGAATTTTTTTATTATACTTTAAGTTCTGGGGTACATGTGCAGAATGTGCAGTTTTGTTACATAGGTATACACGTGCCATAGTGGTTTGCTGCACCCATCAACCCATCATCTACATTAGGTGTTTCTCCTAATGCTGTCCCTCCCCTAGCCCCCAACCCCCCAACAGGCCCCCAGTGTGTGATGTTCCCCTCCCTGTGTCCATATGTTCTCATTTTTCAACTCCCACTTACGAGTGAGAGCATGTGATGTTTGGTTTTCTGTTCATGGATGGATTTTAAGAGAAGTAACAGGATTTACATATTTTGGTGGCAGTATGGAAAGTGGCTTGTAGAGGGGAGTCTGATGGAATAAGACAAGAGAATAGCTGACTGCAGTAGCCTTGGTGACAGATGATGAAGCCCTGAACATAGCGACTAGGAATGGATGGAAGAATCAGATTAAATGGGTATTTAGGATGTTTAGAATCATTAACATTTGATGACCAATTAGATATAGTGGATGATGAAAAATATTCAATGATAATCCTGAGAGTTCTGTCTTGGGTCAGATTGTCTATATTTACCTGTATCCCTTAGAGAGATCTATCAATGCAAGGTACAAAGCAACATTCCATGTAATTAGCTTTTATTTTTAACTCTGTTCAAGTTATATTTTAACAGAGGAAATTGTGAATTGATTTAATGCCCAATGTTGCCTTCTATTTTTGTCATTCATAAAGCCATGTTAGTTTTTTTATTAATACAAAAATACTTTAAAATGGTATTTACTTGAGTAAGCATGATGAATCGTTTGAATGTGCAGAGGATTATGATGTTATTTTTTAAACACTAATAGTCATATTTTGGGATTGGTGTGTTCTAATCTTTTACATGCAGAGTACAGAATTAAAAAGAAAACAGATTATACTGACTAGAAAAGTGTTTCTAGAAGGTGGTTTAAGGACCTTGTATAGATTGGGCCTTGTTCTCCAACACTGGGAAAAGGTGGGAGAAATTTCCAACATTGCTTCATTGCTTATCTGGATTTTTGTATGTTTAGAATGGGACTAAGAAATGCTGGAATTTCTCTGAATACTCCAAGGACTCTGGAAGGAAAGTACATTTCTATAATGTGGCTGTGGTATGTGCACACCTTTTGCCTTTTAAAACAGCCTTTTGCCGGCATTAATGGCATCTCCTGAATATCTTGGGTTTGAAGCTGTGAATTGAGAAGCAGAATCAAATTGTTTAGGGTCATGTGAATATCACATCTTTACTACTAATAAAGCACAGAGGAAAGACCTTCAGTTGGACATTTAAATAATTCCTAAGACAAAATCAATGCTTTTTTGGTAGTAAGTATTTGTCCTATTCACAATTTTTTTTCTTGTTTTCTTTCCTCTAGGCACATTGTAGGGTTGAACTTCCCTGTTTGCATTACATAGGACTGGTCATCTGACTGGCTGTGGCCAGTGAAAATGTAGATGAAAATAGCCTGTATCACCTCTGGACGAGTCATTAGGAGTCAGTGTATGATTTGATACATTTCCTTCTCTCTGCCATGGTGATTGGTGATGGAGGCTCTATTAGTTTTTGTTCCTGAGTAAAGTAATGTGGGTATGAGTCCCTAGCTGACTTCCAATACGAGTGAGAAATAAACCTTAATTGTTTTAAGCCTCCAAGCTTTGGAGTTTGTTGTACAGCCCACCATGACAAATATACTTTTAGTCCTTTATTTACATGCTTTAAAATACTGCTTGCATTTTCTGATTACCATATGTTCATTGTGGAGAATTTCAAAAAATATAAAAAAAAACCTTTGAAATCACTTACATAGAAATAGTCTCTGTTAATATTTTGATGTATTGTCTTCCTCTCCCAATTTAAAAAATCAGGATCCTAATATATACGATATTGATTTTTTCACTTCATATATACTCTTAAAATACATGAATTTGCTGCATATTATTAATTGATGAGGAAGTGTTATAATCTATTTTTATATTTATGTTTTATATTTATACTATACAATTCATAAGAGTCACATTTTATTTTTGTACTTTTTCTTGTTGTAAATAACATTCCAATGAAACTTTTGTGATTAAGTCTTTGCTCAAATTGCTGCTGCTGTCCTTGGAGTAGATCCCTAGAAGGTGAACGACTAGGTCAAGGAGTATGCATACTTTTAAGATTTTTGCTACCTATTGCCAGGAGAAAGGTTATACCAATTAACACGTCAGCTGTGTGAGATGGGCCATCTCACCAGTCTGTTGAGTATTAGAATTCCTTTTAATCTTTGTTAATTTGATAGGTGAAAACGCTATCTTGTTTTATATTTGCATTTCTTTGATTACAAGTGTTGTTGAACATTTATTTCGTATGTTTATGAGTCATTTGCACTTTTTTCTTGTGGGAATTATCTAAATGGATTCTCACACCCCCCAAACAACAAGCTAATAAACGGAAAGCCACACAGGAAGCCGGCAGTACTGTTGCCACGGAGCCTCTGCACGAGCTTTTGAAGTGTCAGCGTTGAACAGGTTCCTCTAACTCCCTCTCATCTGCCTTGTTTTGATTATTTTCTCTCCAGCTGTATCCCTCCACAGTCCATGTCTCCCTCAAGCCTTGGACTCCCTCCAAGCATTTTATTGCACTAGACTGTAGTCATGGCTCAACCTAAAATTGAGAGAGAAAAGGACAAACGTGATTGAAGTCAGTTTGGAATGAACAGCATTACTGTGGAAAAATCCATTAAGTGTCTCCCTTATGAAGCCCCTCCCTACCAACTGATGGGTCCCTGTGGCAAAGAGGCGGTGGGTGTATCCCCTGCTTGAGATCAGGGGTGGGAGCGCAGCCTGCTCCTCTGGCTTTAGGCCTGACTCTACGGTCCCTGGTGATGAAGCTTCAATTACTCTTCCCGGAAGCATTCTTATTTATTTCATAGACCTTGCATTACCTCTGACTGTCTGTTTGGTGCTTTTAAGAGAGGAGAAGAAAGAATCTAAATTTCCCCAAAGTAAGTGTTACTTTTTAGCTAGTGTGAGATAAAAGACAGATTGAAATGGAGCCAGAGGGACCTGCCCTTCACCCTCCATCTTCCTCGGAGTTGGAAGCTCACATTGGTATGTCAGGCAGCAGCTGGCAGGCTCTTTTATCATCATTAATTGTCCACTGAGTTGTCACAAGGAGAGACTAGAATTCAGGTTTAATTACATCTGTATCATCTCGGTAAAGTTCAGGGGATTCTGGTGGTGCGAAGCAGGAGTGGGCCAGTGATGTGCCAGGGATACTCTGTGAAGTGGAAACCATGTGCATCCTTGAGGGGAAAAGGTGAATTAACCGAATTCCAAGGGAAGTAAGCCTTATCCAGGCTGGGCAACTCTCATGAGACATGGTGATGGAGAAGGGAGGCTGCTCCATGCATTAGAGCTGCTTAAGGGTAATTTAGTTTAAATGAGGCAGGTGTCATGGCTCTTCACAGCAAACAAGTCAAGATTTGTTCCAGAAAGCTTGCTTGTTTTTATGGACAACAATCTACTACCAGACTGGGAGCAAAGAAATACATTTGGTCTTAGATAAAACAATGGCACTCCCCCCGCCTCCCATTTCCTTTATGGAATGAATCTTTTTGAATGGTCTCTGATTTAGTTCTGGAAATACTGGAGCAGAGTGAGGATTAAGTGACAAGCTAGCTTTGACTAAAAACGAGAACTAAGTACAGCTTAATGGAAACGGCAGGTGGCAGATGGCAGGTGGCATGGGAGCTAGGTGCATCAGCAGCTCATTTTTTCATGAAAATAAGTCAGTGAGTGCTAAGAGTCTTCACCACACTTACGACAATGACCCTTCTGCCAAACTTAGTCACACAAGGTGTCATTCTGATCTTTTATTAATCCTTGGGGACCACCCTATCTGCTCTGATCCTTTCGTTATTGACCAACACCTGGACTTTGCACTTCAGAATAAAGCTTTGGCCACATGGTCGGTTCTTGTCATCAGGGAATGGATCTTGTTCTGACCACTAGACTTTATAACTCTCGCTTCCTGAGAGAAAATCTGAAGCCATTTCATGAGCTATCTCTTGTGCAATTAAGTGTTTTCAAAGAATCGGCCTTCTGCTTTTCAGAAGAATAATTTCTATGCTACTCCTATGTCTCAGGAAGAGCAATTTATTTTAGTCCGTAGGCCCTCTTTCAGCATTAAAAAAAACAAATTAAAAAAAAAACTAGATCAGATGAATGAAATCTAAAAAATCTAAAAAATAATAAGTATGTGTGTGTATGTGTCTCTGTGTGTTGTATGCACAATAAAAGGGTTTTGCACACACTCTAATTTTCCAGTAAGAGAAAATTCTTCCCAATCTAAAGGTCAGGATCTTTAGTTTTGAGCCTCTCATTCAATCTACAAAACTAATTTTTGCTTTGATTTTTATCACCAGAAGCACAACTTACAGGGGTAAGTTTGGAAAAACAAGTAAATCAAATTCAGAGCTCTCAGAATTTAAAAGCTAGGTTGACTCAGAATAGATACATAACAATATTAAAACAGAATGCAGGAAGATTGGTATACAAAAACTTACCTGTGATCATAAATTTCCTGAAGCCAGAGGTTCTATATCTATTTTATTTTATTTTATTTTATTAATTAATTAATTTTTTTAGATGGAGTTTCGCTCTTGCTGCCCAGGCTGGAGTGCAGTGGTGCGATCTCTGCTCACTGCAACCTCTGCCTCCTGGGTTTAAATGATTCTCCTGCCTCAGCCTCCTGAGTAGCTGGGATTACAGGTGCCCACCACCAGGCCAGGCTAATTGTTATATTTTTAGTAGGGACAGGGTTTCACCATGTTGGCAGGCTGGTCTCGGACTCCTGACCTCAGGTGATCTGCTCACCTCGACCTGGGAAAGTGCTGAGATTACAGGCATGAGCCGCCGTGCCCGGCCTCAGAGGCTCTATAGCTATACTTCTACCCAACAATATTAGGCACAGGGTAGATGCTTAATAAAGTGCTGGGATTACAGGCATGAGACACTGTGCCCAGCCTCAGAGGCTCTATATACTTCTACCCAACAATATTAGGCACAGGGTAGATGCTCAATAAATAGATACTTAATGTGGAAAGTATTTATGGATTGTGTTAAACACCTTTCATAGTTACCATATGCTCTGGTGGGCTAGTCATGTTAACTAAGATGTGACTAGAGGTAGAAAGAGGTGCTGTGTGCCAAAATATTGAGCTCATCCCAGTTTATGGGCCCATCAGAACTGCTCCTACGAACAACTGAGGCCCTTGCCCCAGGCCCAGGGCTGGTCCTCCATGCTGCAGACACTAGTAGCTGGTTGTAACTTAAGCAGGCCTCTGATCAAGAAGAAGGATGTCTATCCATATATAACTATGAAGTGGAGTCAGATAATAGCTGTATTTTGTCTCCCACTACCTTTCTATCTCTGTAGGACTAATTTTTCCTCTTTCCCCAAATGAAACACAGACATGCCCTATGACTTTTCTGTCCACGCCAGTGTAGCACAAACATCAGTCATTTCAAGCCACACAGAATAGTCTCCCATCATGTGAAGTCACACAACACAGTCTTAGGATGGTAATTAGTAGGCCTGGTTCCATGTTATAGTTAAAACTCTAAAGTAATAAATTCTTTCTTTCTCCCAGTTCAGGCTTATTCCAAGTAGGAGACCACAGTCCAGAAAAGAGAGTACAGTCAGCCTCTCCTCTCTCCTCACCCAGCACTTTTTTTTTCTTTTTTAAATTATCCTTTAAGTTCTAGGGTACATGTGCACAACGTGTAGGTTTGTTACATGTGCATACATGTGCTGTGTTGGTTTGCTGCACCCATTAACTCTTCATTTACATTAGGTATTTCTCCTAATGCTATCCCTCCCCCATCCCCCCACCTCACTCACTCAGCACTTCTAAACCTACTTCCACATCCCACCAACTCCATGCTCCACAGTCCACTAACTTCCACATCCCACTAACTCTTGGGTTCTGACTGGTTAACTGGTTAGCTCAGGGTAGTCTCAGTTGCTTTTGCCTGGGCCTAGTTATTAATAGTTCCCCTTTGGCTCAGTCAGGGTTCTCCTTTACTTAAAGTCAACTGATTGTAAGTGTTAATCACATGAACAAAATGCCTTCACAGTAACACCTAGTGTTGGAAACACAGCTGGGCACCAGAGCCTGGCCAAGTTGACACATGAAAAGAACCATCACACCATTTCCCTTTCAGAAGCCTTTCTGTATGTAAATTATGTGCCACCCTAATTAGTTCTGACCCCTCCCAAGTAGGTGCAGGGAGGGAGAGAAGATGAGGAGAGCAGGAAATGTCTCCCTTAAAGGATACCTCAAGATACACAGAATTGGCACTGTTGGGGCTTGGAAGATGCTTAAACCTGAGTCTTGCTCTGAAGGGCATTTTTTGGGGTGTCCTCTGGAGATTTTACCCCTCCTTCTCTGACACTGGTGATCTCTGTTTTTGGCTCTTGACAGGGCAAAAACATCTTTATTCTGGTAGCCCAGAGACTCGCCCTCAGTGTCACGAATTCTCTTTCACTCTGCCATGAAACCGGCCAGTAAGCCCATGTCTTGCTGATATGGTTTGGTTCTGTGTCCCCACCCAAATCTCAGCTTGAATTATAATAATCCCCACATGTCAAGGGTGGGGCCAGGTGGAGATAATTGAATCATGGGGGCAGTTTCCCCCCTACTGTTCTCATGGCAGTGAATAAGTCTCATGAAAGCTGATGGTTTTATAAAGGGGAGTTTCCTGCCCAAGCTGCCTTGCCTGCTGCCATGTAGGATGTGCCTTTGCTTCTCCTTTGCCTTATGCCCTGATTATGAGGCCTCCCCAGTCATGCTGAACTGTGAGTCCATTAAACATCTTTCCTTTATAAATTACCCAGTCTTGGTTATGTCTTTATTAGCAGCATGGGAACAGACTAATACACTTGCCTTTCAGATTTTGCGGGCGGGAGTCGGGTGTGTGTACAAGAACCACACATTAGGCCTTAGGCTCTCTGAGAGTTCTTTTGACATCTTTTCCTTTAGACACGACTTGGTGGGAGGAAGCTCAGAATATAAACTCTCACCACAGGCCCTTTCCATAATCAAACAATCTCTACCACCCCCTCACCCAAAACAACAACAACAAAAAACCCAACTAAAAATCTCTTAGTTATCTCTTAATCTCTAAACCTTATACCCTGGACGTGAGAGAGAGGATTAAGAATTGAACCTCCTTTGAAATTGTGCCACCATGGCCAAATGATATCTATACTTCAGGACTTTAGCCTAAAGTCCATTTTAACATTCTGTATACACACACAAACACACACACACACACACACACACACACACACACACACACACATAAGAGTTTGCATTCATCTACAAATCTCATCAGTCCCTGGAACTCCCAGTAACAAGGAGAAAGTGAGTTGGGGGATTGTGCTTCACATTTCCCTCTGTATCTTCTTTTCCTCTTAATTCTCTTCTGGATGTTTATTATGACCTCATCTTACCAGCAGGAGTGTGTGTGTGTGTGTGTGTGTGTGTGTGTGTGTGTGCATGTGCTCAGAGGTGGTGTGGAGATGGGGCAGAGTATGATTCTCCCAGAGGGTGGTTTAGTCTGAGCCCTAACAGTCCTCTGGGTTCAGCGCTGGGTCTCACTTCCGATGGGCTGTCTGGATGCTCTTTAAGCGGAATAGTAGGAAGGATGAATGCTACTGCTGGAATCACTCGAAGGATGAATGCTACTGCTGGAATCACTCTTTGCTACAATGGCATTTAAAAGAAGGCCTGAGGCAATTTGGACATCAAATAATCCTATTGCTCTTATAATACCTAAATATTGAATATTTAAAAGTAAGCAGGCTTGAAATTTGAAATGGAAAGAAAATGTCCCTTTAAGTTGTTAAGAAGCGTTAGGTGCCATAAGCCTCTGAAAAAAAGTTAGAAGTTCAAAGAATTCATAAGTCAGAGAACTTGGGTTACATTTATAAATATGTAGAGCTTACAGTAATAAAATCAGAGCCAATTCAGAGGTCCACTTAGGAAGGTGACCAGAGAATAAGTCAAGTAACTGCACTCATAGCCAATTTGGAATTCTGTCTCTAGGAAAATGGTTACTATGAGATATTCACACATAAGTCAGAGAAGGAAAGAAGTCGCAAAAGAGACGTGAGGTGGTTAAGAAAGCAGATTTTAGAATGACAGTGAATAAGTGAATTCCGGCTAAATAATTTATGACCTGGGTGGCCTTAGGATGCATGTAGAGGATTTTTGGCCTCAATTTTCTCACCTGTAAATTGGTACCTATCTCACAAGGTGGTCATGAGAATGCTGGCAGTGTTATTGGTACATAGTAAGTGCTCAATAAATATTAGCTATTATTAAATCTAGATTTTTCCCCTAGAAACACCATGTATCTGATATAAAGACAAACCTTTCAAATAGAGGTTGTAAGACAAAACAGTGAATTCAAGTGATTAACAGTAAGAAAGTAGTTTAGATTTTATACTGATACTAATTTGATTAAATAATCACAAAGATAAATAGTTGACTCTGTTTTAGTTATAAAAGAGAAAAAGTGCACCAAAAAAGTGTTTAATTTGACAGTTATTTTGCTGTGTTTTTTTTTGTGTGTGTGTGTTTAATTTACTTCCAGACGAGAGAAAAACAATTCCATAAAGTTTATTTCACCATCTGATCATGTTCTTTCATACTGGTTTATAGGTACACCTATTATAGACTCATTCTTTAGTTATGGAGATGTGATCCTTATTATTTAGAACAGACCACATGCAGGAACCAACAAACCCTAAGGGCCACTGGTTTCTATTAACAGAGATTTACTTCTCACCCATGCCACAGCTTTCTGGAGAGCAGGCAGCTCCTCTGAAGGGCTCTCCTCCAGTGTTGATACGGAGACGTAGACCCATTTTATACTGTGGCTCTCCTGTTTCCTAGAGCCTCTTTGGTGTTCTTCCCTGAATCTTTAGCTTTCTCCAGCTGATGAGTAAAGGTATAGAATGAAAATGATTGTGTGGGATGTTTTATATGCAGCTTGGAGGTGGCAGTCATCATTCCTTCCCATATTTCTTTGGTCAGAACCTGATCACATGGCCCTCAAAAAACTGCAAGGGAAGATAAGAAATGTAGGTTTTCTGCATCCCCATGATGGGAAAGAGAGGCTGGAGAGCATCTAGTTAGTCTGCCGCTTGACTGTTGTTGATGTTGAATTAAAGAAGAGTTTTTGTATTGAGTAAGGCTTTACAGAATGGTTGCAACAGGGTATGTTGGGAGACCTTGGCTCTTAGATTAAGGCAAAAGCTTTAAACTTCAAAATGTGAATCTGTGCATTAATCTGCAAAGTAGGGAGAACCTATTTGAGTAGAATGGCACCTGATCTACTGGGGAGGTAGAACACATTTTTGTTTCCTTAGGTCAAGATGCTGAGGAAATGGCAGTAATGTTATGCTTACTTGATATCCCCATAACATCAGAGCTCTTCCTGATACATCCCAGAGAATACTGAAGCCCCTTTCACTCGCTGTTCTACTTTAACTTGATGTAATCCTGATATAATTTCCCTTAACATGCTTCCATTTTCCCATCTAAGTCTGGAAAATCAAAATGGCCCTTGCCCTACCATTATGCATGGATTCAGACATTAGTTATTGAAGCTCTCTTATGACACTACAATAAGAATAATTTTGGCTATATTGACAGATAGTAAGGCGGCTTTACAAAAAGGTAGAAACTTTCAGCTCATGAAAAATTCATTCAGTAAGAGCAATTTGTAGAAGCACAACACAGTGTTCTCAAGTAAACGTTATCCTACATGCCTGCCAGCTCCTCATTTGAGTAATCAGCCCCATGAGAGAATGGGCAAATATGGTAGAGCATGCATCAGCTTTGAGAGGAAGAACACAAGTCTGCCCTCACAAAGTTTTTGAATGCCAAATGGGCTGTGTGGTGTATGGCTTGGTACTATTTTGGTCAAGGCTGGATTGTCTGTGACCCTTAACATCTCTGTTCCTTTATCTCCCAATCTCTGGCAGTGGTAAGCTGGACAAGATGATCACTCTTGTTCATTTCAGCTTTTAGAGTCTGTCCTTTGCTCTTTCTGCCGCCCAGAGCACCTAAGGAATGTCTCTGCCTATTTCTCCTTCTTCCCCACCCCTTTCTCTGGTGTGGGCCCAAGAAAAGGGAAAAGCAATTTAATTTTAATATTGTCTGAAGTCAGACATAATTCAAAAGACAAATCTGCTGGAAAAATAAAGTGCATTCCTAAGCTAAGTACTATAGTGTTGGCAGTCAGATCGAGCACCAACCTAGCACATTAACTGTGCTCCATGAGGCTTTCACTGAAGGTAATACTATGTTTCAAGAGGGCATGATGGTGCTCATGGTATTTCCAAATTCTTAAGAGTAACAAACCATGAAAAAACAGGATTTATGTGTATACATGAGTTTTATAAGTACCTTTTGATTTTGCAAGGTAGAGTATCAGACTGGGGAAATGTTATCAAAGGACCATGTAGGATGTTGTTAAAAATGCAGATTTCTGGGTGTTATCCAGAAATCAATCAATCTGACTTTGATTGGTTAATTTCTACGGTCAAATTTCCAGGATAGAATTAAATACTCTGTATATCGGACAAACTACCCAGTTTGAGAGCTCACTAAAAGTGTGGCAACCATTAAAGAAGTTGGACAAATCACAGAATTTTCCCCACCTGTACAAGGAGACTATCAACCTTTACTCTGTTTGCCACACAGAGCTGTTGCACAGGTTAAAAGTAAAGCATGTGCTGCAAAGCCCTTTGCCGGATGAAAATTCCTCTGCCAACATCAGCTTATGCCATTATTGTCAGGGGCAATTAAAACATAGACTGACAACCGTCTTTTGCCTTTGCATGTTCTTGAAAATGTCTCAGGTCTCTTTCCTCTTGGGAGCTTAGGCATGGAGTATCAGAATATGATGTATTTATTCTGCACCCCCTACTTTAATGGAGCTTATGTCAACTGCAGCAGCTCCAAAGTGCTTGTGGAGTTAACCATAAGCAAGGCTTCATTTGTGCACTTACAGATTTTAAAGGGGACAAGCCCGGTGTTCTCTTCTGTTCTTCAGGGACACAAACAAAGCTATTAGCTCTAGGTCCAGGGAAAGGGGAAAAAAATCACTTTTCATATTGTGCAACCAACCCTAAATCAGGTCAATCTTTCCTTTATTGCTGGCTAATATCCAAGTCACAGTGAAAAGCTGATGTTTTTGTTTAGAATGGATTTTTGCAGCGTTTATAAACCAAGTCTCCTTGAAATTTTCATTAGGAGGATCACACAGTTCACCTCTTGTCCTGCCCTTTATCCTTTCTGCTGGAATAGTTGAGTGATTTTGAAAATTCTCACTAGTTTAATTGATTAGTAAGGAGAGTTATTTTTGAAAGTCACCTTCTGCAAAGCAGAACTGAGACTGACATCCAGTCAAGATTCTGTGACCTTGGTTTATGTAGCACAGAGAATGATGAGAACATGACCTTCATTACAGCTTTGAATGTGTGAGGAAGGGGAGGGAAGGATCATTTCTCAACTCAGTGCCAACATTTTACTAGGCACCAAAGAAAGGCCCGTTATTTCATTGAATCCTAATAATTTATAATCCTGTGACATGGGTATTATGATCACTATATTTATAGGCAAGGAAACTGAAGCTCAAGTGGTTACTTCATTAATGGGTGGTGGAGCCAGGTTACTTCCAAATTTAACCACTTAAGACAATAACCATCTATTATTGCTCACAGTCTGCAGCCATCATCAGTTGACAGGTTGGCTGGGATGTTCTGTTGATCTGGGTGAGGCTTGGCTAATTTTGGTTGGGCTTGCTCATGCATTTGCAGCCCATTGGCTGGTTGGCTGGTGTGTGTGTGTGTGTGTATGTGTGACTTGGTCAGGATGGCTTTACTCATGTGTTTGGCAGCTGGCTGCCTGTTGGCTAGAGTGATGGGAGTATGAAAGATGGCCACTACAATATATATCTCTTTTTACAATGTGGCTCTGACAGTTTCTTTGTCTCTATGGTCCTCTCCCTTGAATCTGGGCAGAACTTTGTGACTGCCTTGACCAACAGAATGTGGTGGGTTTAATGGCAGGCCAACTTCCAGGCTTAGGACTTGAGAAACTGGCAGCTTCCACTTCCTTCCTTTTGCAACGTCGCTCTTGGAACTCTCCTACAATGCTGTGTGGCAGTGGAGCAGCCACATGAAGAGGTCAGGTATGGCTGTCTCGCCACCAGTCCTGCTGAGGTCCTGGTGGGCAGCAGCATCAACCACCAGACATGTAAGTGAGTGAGTGAGTGAGTGAGCCTGCAGTTGACTCCAGCTCCAAGAGACTGAGTGACTCCCAGATACTGAGTCACCCTCAGCCTTTAAGTTTTCCCAGTGGATGCCACATGGAGCAGAGGTGAGCTGTCCCTGCCAGGCCCTGCCCAAATTGCTGATTTGTAGGCTGAATAAACGATAATTGTTGTCTTAAGTCACTGCGTTTGAGGCAGGTGGTTATGCAACAATAGAGAACTGAAATAGAGGGTAGTTGGTCCGTGTGTCTCATATCATTCAGCAGGCTAGACTGAGTTTGTTTGCATGGTAGCTAGCAGGTTCTGAGAGGGAGAGGGAGAGAGGGAGATGGGGCAGGAGGGAGGGAGGGAAAAAGAGAAAGAAATAGAGCGAAAACACAAAAGGTCTAGGCTCAAAACTAGCACACTGTTACTTCTACTGCATTCTGTTGTGCAAAGCAAGTAACATGGCCAGATTCAAGAGGAGCAGAGTAGACTCTGCCTTTTGATGGGAGCAGTTGAAAGTCACATTGAAAAGTGTTCAGATAAAGCCAGGAATGAAGCCTTGTGGTCATTTTTGCAACTTACTACATTATGCCACCTCCTAAGGCTTATGGCTAATTCAGGTAAGAAAAGAGAAGCGACACTTTTAAAACCCAAAAAACCTTAGTGATTGTGCTTCGTTTAACAACGTATGGTCTAACTTCTGACAAGTTTGACCATATATAGAATGCTAGTTGCATGAAAAGGTTTTTGAGTCCAAGCAAATAACTATCACAAAGCCCACATACTTTACTCATAGCAGAGGCATGCTTGTTCCCCACAGGCCCCAGTCAGGTGGTGAGGAATAGAGCTTGGAAGGATATGAGCAACATTGTTCTTCATGCTGCAGAACACACAGGGCCCGTGTCAAAGCTTGACTCACATTAATTCATTAATTAACTTGAGAAATCTGCATTCAGTGTGCCTGGCGAGAGGTGGAAGTGATGATCTCAGGACGATTGTCAAGGCCCCTTGCTGGGTCTAAGCTCATGAACATCCACCTCTGAAGATGGGTTATGCTGGGTAGCAGAGGAAGCCAGCTTCACTATGGGGCAAACAACAGATTTGGGTCAGCTTTGGAGTGAGTTTGGTGACTCCTGGCAGTAGCCTGACTTTTGGGAAAGTTGCTGTCAGTTACCAACTTGCTGGGCTGGGGAACACAAGGAGTGTCCACTGGGATGGAGTGCATTGAATACTAAACCTCGCTGAATTTCTTCAGACAAACTCACCAAACTGACTGAGCCAGGTTCCCTTTAGTTAGGCATCACTCAAATCAACAAATAGTGATTGAGTAACTCCTAGGCTCCTGTCACTGTTGTGAGTGCTGGACACACGAAGCTAAAATAAAGGTTGGCCTTTCTTCAGAGTTATTACGGTCTTGAAATAAGTCAATAGATCAATTCTTGCCATTCAGTGGGCTAAATACTATAATCATATGAAAGAAGACGTGCTCAGGAAGCACTGAAGAGGGACACTAAATGTGGCCTTTGGGGTTGGGGAAATCTGGAAATCTTCAGGATGAGAAAGAATTACCTAGGAGAAGCAGGGAAAGGCATTACATGAAGAGGGAACAGCATTTGCAAAGGCCTGGAAGTATTTGGACAGTTAGAGTAAAGGGCCAGATTGTGTGACAGAAAGGCAAGAAATGAGCTTGCAGAGGAAGAAAGGGGCTGAGGGAAGTGGCTTAGAAATCAGCAGTATGAAGAATGAATTCAAGGGGGAAGACAGGCAGGGGGACTATAGGAGATGATTGCAGTAATCAGGCCAGGAGTGATGAGGGCCTCGACCCCAATAGTAGTCATAGGACTGGAAAGAGGACTTTTTAAGAATGTTGTGTCTACTGGACTTGAATGAACTGGGTGGAGCGGTGGGAGTCCAGGGTGATGCCAAGATTTTAAGCAGTGTGTGGCTGGTGGAGCCATTGTCTGATAGAAGGAACATATGAGGATGAGCCTGTCAGAGTGGGGACAATGGTGAGTTTGGCTCAGGACATGCTGTGTTGGAAGGATCCATGAGACATCTAGCCTAACAGGGTGCACCTTGAAGATAAGAGTGTGTCCTGGTTGTTCCTATTTTTATTTTTTCCCTCTTTGCCTGCTTCCATCCCTGCCTCCCCTGTCTCCTACAAAATCCAAACTAAAATAGTGAAAACCACATCTGCAACACTCTATGTCCATATGGAGCATTGACATGTTCCCACCATCTCCTAGGTCATGCTCTGTCCTCCCTTCAAAGATCTGCATGTGTCCAGTGCAGTACCATACACAATCCATACAAATGTCATCAGACATTACGGTGAGCCCACTACGAGCCCACTGTAACTTACATCCTGGAGAGCAGAGAAATGTATTGGTCTGTGCCTAAGTAAACTGTCCTGTATCTGCCCTCAAACCTAAAAGCTATTATATTGTTCTCCAGTTGCAATGAAGGAAAGTTACTTCCCATGGGTTTACAAAGTTTTGCAATTTGCAAATTATAATTCTAATGTGAATCTCACACAATCCTCTCAGGCCTGTGGGAAAGATATTATGGATTCCATTTTATTGATAAATAAATTAAGGCTTGGAGAGCTTGTGGCTTGTCTACTGTGGTAGATCTGGAACATGAAACCCAGGTCTCCTTCTCTAAGTCCAATGTTCTCTCTGTTCCAGCACCTTTTCCCTCCTTGGGCAAGAACAACCAAGGAATGGGTAAGCTCTACAGGGTCTGGGAATTAAATCCTCTAGGCAAGCCTGATCTTCTCTGGTTCAGGTGACATCAGCTCTCTTTCAGAAGTGAGCCTTCTCCATTTGCATCCTGGTTGTTTCGCTGGTCAGAGGCTCCAAGTGGCTATTGCATTTGTCTGCTGTGCCTTTTACTGAGGTTTTCTGGTTAGGGTGAAATTGCTACTGTTCTTTCAAGAGCACTATTTTTTTTGTATATATGCTAGCTTTATGCTTTTATGCATAGGTATTTTTCCTTGTCACATCATATTTCTTTCCAGCTCAGTAGCTAGTGAAACTCAAGTGCCACCACTAATCTGTAGGCTGAATTTCAGGTCTGAAATTGACAAAGTAGGTGTGCACTTTGGCAGCCCCTCACTTACAGCACAGGTCAACAGGGCCAGGGATTGGCAAAAGGAAGGGCAGAATCACTTTCTTGTTTACTTACTTGATGGGCCTTGGTAGGTCGACTACCTGGCAGGTAGTGGGCACTCACACCAACATTGTTTTGGAGAGTATATGTCTTAAAAGGATATGTTATAAACATTTGCAGACAACCTCAATGTCCTCAACATCATGGGAATGGTATTACCCAATAACCAGTTTATTTTATTTATTTATTTATTTTTCATTATACTTTAAGTTTTAGGGTACATGTGCACAATGTGCAGGTTTGTTACATACGTATTCATGTGCCATGTTGGTGTGCTGCACCCATTAACTCATCATTTAACATTAGGTATATCTCCTAATGCTATCCCTCCCCACTCCTCCCACCCCACAACAGGCCCCGGTGTGTGATGTTCCCCTTCCTGTGTCCATGTGTTCTCACTGTTCAATTCCCACCGATGAGTGAGAACATGTGGTGTTTGGTTTTTTGTCCTTGCGATAGTTTGCTGAGAATGATGGTTTCCAGCTTCATCCATGTCCCTACAAAGGACATGAACTCATCATTTTTTATGGCTGCATAGTATTCCATGGTGTATATATGCCACATTTTCTTAACCCAGTCTATCATTGTTGGACATTTGGGTTGGTTCCAAGTCTTTGCTATTGTGAATAGTGCCCCAATAAACATACATGTGCATGTGTCTTTATAGCAGCATGATTTATAATCCCTTGGGTATAAACCCAGTAATGGGATGGCTGGGTCAAATGGTATTTCTAGTTTTAGATCCCTGAGGAATCGCCACACTGACTTCCACAATGGTTGAACTAGTTTACAGTCCCACCAACAGTGTAAAAGTGTTCCTATTTCTCCACATCCTCTCCAGCACCTGTGGTTTCCTGACTTTTTAATGATTGCCATTCTAACTGGTGTGAGATGGTATCTCATTGTGGTTTTGATTTGCATTTCTCTGATGGCCAGTGATGATGAGCATTTTTTCATGTGTCTGTTGGCTGCATAAATGTCTTCTTTTGAGAAGTGTCTGTTCATATCCTTCGCCCACTTTTTGATGGGGTTGTTTGTTTTTTTCTTGTAAGTTTGTTTGAGTTCATTGTAGATTCTGGATATTAGCCCTTTGTCAGATGAGTAGATTGCAAAAATTTTCTCCCATTCTGTAGGTTGCCTGTTCACTCTGATGGTAGTTTCTTTTGCTGTGCAGAAGCTCTTTAGTTTAATGAGATCCCATTCATCAATTTTGGCTTTTGTTGCCATTGCTTTTGGTGTTTTAGACATGAAGTCCTTGCCCATGCCTATGTCCTGAATGGTATTGCCTAGGTTTTCTTCTAGGGTTTTTATGGTTTTAGGTCCAACATTTAAGTCTTTAATCCATCTTGAATTAATTTTTGTATGAGGTGTAAGGAAGGGGTCCAGTTTCAGCTTTCTACATGTGGCTAGTCAGTTTTCCCAGCACCATTTATTAAATAGGGAATCCTTTCCCCATTTCTTGTTTTTGTCAGGTTTGTCAAAGATCAGATAGTTGTAGATATGCGGCGTTATTTCTGAGGGCTCTGTTCTGTTCCATTGATCTATATCTCTGTTTTGGTACCAGTACCATGCTGTTTTGGTTACTGTAGCCTTGTAGTATAGTTGGAAGTCAGGTAGCGTGATGCCTCCAGCTTTGTTCTTTTGGCTTAGTATTGTCTTGGCGATGCAGGCTCTTTTTTGGTTCCATATGAACTTTAAAGTAGTTTTTTCCAATTCTGTGAAGAAAGTCATTGGTAGCTTGATGGGGATGGCATTGAATCTATAAATTACCTTGGGCAATATGGCCATTTTCACGATATTGATTCTTCCTACCCATGAGCATTGAATGTTATTCCATTTGTTTGTATCCTCTTTTATTTCATTGAGCAGTAGTTTGTAGTTCTCCTTGAAGAGGTCCTTCACGTCCCTTGTAAGTTGGATTCCTAGGTATTTTATTCTCTTTGAAGCAATTGTGAATGGGAGTTCACTCATGATTTGGCTCTCTGTTTGTCTGTTATTGGTGTATAAGAATGCTTGTGATTTTTGTACATTGATTTTGTATCCTGAGACTTTGCTGAAGTTGCCTATCAGTTTAAGGAGATTTTGGGCTGAGATGATGGGGTTTTCTAGATATAAAATCATGTCATCTGCAAACAGAGACAATTTGACTTCCTGTTTTCCTAATTGAATGCTCTTTATTTCCTTCTCCTGCCTGATTGCCCTGACCAGAACTTTCAACACTATGTTGAATTGGAGTGGTGAGAGAGGGCATCCCTGTCTTGTGCCCGTTTTCAAAGGGAATGCTTCCAGTTTTTGCCCATTCAGTATGATATTGGCTGTGGGTTTGTCATAGATAGCTGTTATTATTTTGAGATACGTCTCATCAACATCTAATTTATTTAGTGTTTTTAGCATGAAGCGTGTTGAATTTTGTCAGAGGCCTTTTCTGCATCTATTGAGATAATCATTTGGTTTTTGTCGTTGGTTCTGTTTATTTGCTGGATTACATTTATTGACTTCCTTTTGCCAATAACCAGTTTCTTATGGAAGCAAGATTACACTGTTTCCTCCCTTTGCTAGCTCCCTTGGAGCTAATGAAAAAAATAATTATAAAGGACTTTAGTAAGTGTAAAATAAAGGATGCGCAATATAAAAAAAGAAAATATATATATATATATATTGGTAAGGGGTCTAGAAAAATGGTCCCCAAAAGGTATTCTTTGAATAATTGATGGGTCATATTAAAGTCATTTGAAAGATCTAGCATCAAGTTCCAGCATGACTGAATTGGCATATTCTCATGAGAATAAGTGGCATTCTTTATATTCATTCTGGGGAGAGATCCTTTACTTTTTAGGAAATTGCCAGGTGATAGACTTCTTGGGCGATATTTCCCTGCTCAGTGGCTCAATGCCCTGCTCAATGCCCTAGATGTTGAGTACCACCGGGCAGCTAGTGGGTGCGTATGAGGGGCAGGCTCCTGAGCCAGGAACCAGAGAATCAAGATCTCATCTCAGTCTTCCTCCAGCTATGGGCTTGCTTTTTGATCTCATCCAATTTCTCATCAGTCCACTCTTCTGAGCAGAGATGTCATCAGGATACCTGAGAGCAGTCTAGAGAAGAAAGGCCCTCTTGAACACCTGCAGGAAGGACACGTATGAGAGCTATGGCCTTGGCAGCTGCTGTCCATGAAGAGCCCCAGGGATGGAGGCACCTAGAACAAGCCTGTTGGGTTCCTGGTTGCCTCTTCCTGAAGCCCTTTTGGGTTGATGTGGAGCTGGGAAGCAGCAGAAGATGGGCCTGTGGTACCTCACAGCCCATAACCCTCAGGTACCTCTGCTCTGGCCCTTTGAAATTCCAAGCCATATAATTTCCAAGAGAGTGGTTGGTATTTCTACACTGCATGCTACATTTTAGCTTGGTCTAAGTCTGTTGGGAAAACTTCTGTTTGTTGGGAAGCAGTGTGGCTTTATGAAAAGAGCCCAAACTCTGGCAGGAGAAGTCCCTAGGTTCAGACCCCATTGCTGGCTGAATAACACTGAACAAGCCAGTTTTGCTTTCCAGATGTAGTTTCTACATCTGTAAGACAGTAGTTAAATGGTTATATATGTAAAATTCCTCTTAATGTTTGGCTGCAATCAGAACTCAAAAATAGTCATTATATTTATTGACATTGTTGCCCAGGCAATGGGGTTGGACTAAGGTGAGACTGAGGCAAAACACCTGCTCGACTGCCCCCAGGTTCTATAATGGAACTTGCTGTCTGACTTTCCCTAATGCTCTCCCCTGCCCACAGCCCCATCCCCACTGCGTACTCTCACTGCTGAACTCCACTTGACAGTTCCTTGAGGGTGCTGCCTATTCTTGTCACCTTGATAAATACAGTCACCCAGTTCTCTGAATGCAATACAACATGCTATGCTAGCCTGTCTGAGACACTCCCAAATGGAGTTGTGGCCACTCATCCCATCCATCTCCCTCCCCAGGCTCCATATAAAAGCAATAAAGAGAGTGGGATGGTTGGTGCCCAGACAAAAGCCTTTTTTTTTGCCAGGCAGCAGATGGTTTTAATAATAATCATGGTAAATAACTTGGTGGTGAAAACCCATGAGAATATCTGCTATCTGTTTAGGTGCTCTCTCATATCATTTTATTTAATACTGATTGTATTACTTTCAACTCCAAGACCTTGCTTGTTCACAAAACCTTGACCAAACACAGGGACCTGATCATCTTGCCTTTCTTCATTCACCATGCATTCTGAAGGAGTCCCGAGGCCTGATGTTTCAGTCATTTATTCATTTGGAGCTAGCCAAGGAGCCACACACACACAAAAAAAACAGTCTCATTACCTAATAATCACAGCTAGTTACCTTTTTACATCAATCAACACCCCCACAGCCTATTGGACTCTCTATGAGTATTCCATAAATAACAAAATGTATTGTCTTATGAGGGAGCCCTCAAAAGCTTCCCAGTTATTCTCAGGCCCCTGAGTTTCTCTATGACCTTCAGCAGCATAGTCAGGCTTAGCAGCAGGGGCCTGCAGACAGGATCTCCTAAGAGAAAGAGGCTCCCTTGGGCAAAAATCTCAAAACTTTCCTGGGCCTGGTCTTCCAGAGGTTGGCCTCCTTCCTTAAAGCGCAAGCAGGAAGAGAGCTTCTGACTCAGTTATACTCATATTGTAGTACTCATGAGAGTGGTTAAAAGACTAATGTATGTTTATGTGGGTGTGGGTTGGGGAAGGGGAATGGCAAATTGTGTTGCAGGTAGATGACCCATCATTCAAGTTGACCAGTCCTAAGCAAACCAGGGTGGCTGGTCACTTTAGCTTTAGAAAGGGCATCACACTTATTCAGTTATTATTCTGGGAAGCAATGCACTGTTGTGTTTAATAATTTAGGAGTTGCGGTCAGACTGCCTAGGTTCTCACATACTGTGAGACTCTGGGCATGATAGACCCTGTGCCTCAGTTTCATCATCTGTAGGTGGGGATACTAATTGTATCTACTTCGTAGGGTTGTTGTACAGATTAAATGACATATCACAGTAAATCCCCTGACATGTAGAGGGGTTTCAATAACTGGCAGCCATTATGTGATTACCTGGGAGCACAGCCCACCTACATGGGCACTGTGTCTTGAGTCTAGTCTATTCAAGACCCCCTAGTGTTGTAACTGCCCAGTGGGTTCATTTTGCCTGCTGCCCAGATATAGCCCACTTATCAAGACAGCGGAATCACAATAAAGAAAGGGTTTAGTTTACACAGAGCTGGCTGAATGGAAGACTAGAGATTTATTATTACTCAAGTCAGTCTCCCCGAATCGAAGACTAGAGTTTTTCAAGGATAGTTTGTTGGTTAGGTGGCCAGGGAATGGGGAGTGCTGATTGGTTGGGTCAGAGATGAAATCCTAGGGAGTAGGAGCTGCCCTCTTCTGTTGAGTTGACTTCTGGGTGGAGGGCCACAGGACTGGTTGGTGAGTCTGGTTGGGACCATCAGCTTGTCAGAAATGCAAAAACCTGAAAAGACATCTCAAAAGACCAATCTTAGGATCTACAATAGTGATGTTATCTGCAGGAGTAATTGAGGAAGTTGCAAATCTTGTGATCTCTGGAATAATGGCTGGTAATTATTTAACCATGCCTGCATCTCAGTAGATTCAGGCCCCTCTCATCCTTCCAACTTGGTGGACTTTCATTAGGTTTATAGGAACAGTTTAGTTTTTGGGAAGGGCTATTATCATTTAGACTATAAACTAAAATTCTCCCAAAGTTAGCTTGGTCCGCAACCAGGAATGAGTGAAGACAGCCAGCCTGTGAGGATAGAAGCATAATGGAGTCAGCCGTGTCAGGTTCCTTTCACTGTCATGAGTTTGCAAAGGTGGTTTTATTGTCAGTGTGTGGTTCACGGTGACATATGCATGGCCATTTGCAGCTTCCTGAGGGGTGTTTGTTAACTCGTTGGAGGGCTTGTGTGAGACTGAGCGCTATGGGAGTGGGGGTGGGCCAGGCTGCTCCAGGGTTAGCATCTTTCCCAAAGATGGAGTCTGTGTTCTGAGCACCAGCTATGATAAACATCATGGCCTGAGGATTGGAGCCTGAGGTGTCAGCAGGCCTAGGACCCATGTCTCCATGAGTTCCTCTCCTTGAAGAAGGTGTCGGGGTGGAGAGGAGAAGGTGGGAAGGGGGAGCACGAATATGGTGGCTCCCAAATGTGGGGGTCAGTTCTACAAAGGCACAGCAGGCCATTTTTGTTATCTGCTAGTCACACTGCTTATGTATTTTTATATACACACACACACACAAACACACACACATCACTTTCTGCTGTTTCCACCATCCTCCAGAAGGCAAGGTGCAGGGCCTGCTTTTCCCAATTGTCGGACCTCTCTTCTTCCCATCTCCATCAGCTGGTACAAACTTCCTCCTCCAGATTTTTCCTACTGCCTATTTCTGTCCCGGTCCTTTTCCATGCTGACTTTTCTACCCTTTGCTTTGAGGAGTGGGGACCCTGCTTTGTAGGATAACAAATAGAACTGTCAAACCCATCAGTGCTGCCGCCTGCAAAGATAAATGGGGCGACATGTGGAGCAACCTCTGTGGATCCCAGGGCCCCAGCAGGAACTGACATTGTGACAGATGGGGGGACAAGTGACGCTGACACAATCGGGTCACATGAATGTCGAGGGGGTGAGGCTGGTGGCTGCTCCCCTGTTGACTCCCCCTCCCTCTCCACCATGGACATACTGTGTTACTGGGGATCATAGAGATAGGAGGCAGGTTTGTGCTCCTCCCCAGGCCTTGTGAATCTTCCCCGTCAGTGGCACAGGGCAAGAAAGCAGGCTGTCTGCAGAGCATCCTGCTATCTCAAGGGTGACAGCTGAGTTACCTTGCAAAGAAAGCCTGTCCTAGGCAAAGAACCAGGGCAAAGTTTGTCTTTAACCTTCAACCTCATCTTTCTCCAGGCTTGCCCTGCTGATTCACACTTTCTCATCAGTCCTGCCTAACACCCAGGGAGCTCACCTGATCTCTGGGCTTTCACCCAGAACCTCCTCCCAGGCCTTGTTGATCAGTCTGTACAATGGCTGTATTTCTTTTTATATGAAAATGCACCCCATGTCTCATTTCATCAAGAATTGGTAGGGTATCTTACTGATGACTCCCAAACTTCCCTCCTTGAGGAGGAGTGCATACATCAGCATACTCCCTAGGAAGGACTGGACAGGGCATTCCGAAGCCCCTGAGGATGGCCCACAGTGTTGGAAACTCCACTCCAAAAAGATCCAAATGCTTGATAGCATTTGGAGGCATGAATTCTGAGTGGTAATTGCTCACTTGCAATTTCCTTTTTCATTCTACCTCAAGTAAAATTTTCATTTGAATAGTCATCCTTTATTCTGAGTTGGGGGCTTCTCTGGGTTCCTGCCTTCAATAGCCACTGCAGATCTGCTGCCCCAACAGTCAATTCGATTCATTAAACACACAGTGATGATTTACTTCTTGTAAAGCCATGTGTTGACTACTGTGAATTTAGGCAGGCAGAAGAGTGGCTTCAGAGATAAATAAGATGTGACCTGTTGCATCTGGGGAATAACAACTTAGCTGAGAAGAGAGACTTTAATACAAAGCCAGCCACGAAAAAGAGTTAAAGGGACAGAGTAAGAACAGGAGGAGAAAGATCAGCCTTGACTTGAGAGGAACAAGTACTTCCTTGAGAAAGAGCAGGCCTTGAAGGATGAATAGCCTTTGGAGAGGTCGAAATCATGGGGAAAAGGCTATGTAGGCTAGGAAGAGTATGAATTCTGACAGATGGGAGATGTAGACGGTACTGGAGTCTGGACTTGGTCAGATGTAACTGGGGCACATGAGGAGTGTGTGCATGTGTGAGAGAGAGACAGAGGGAGGGAAAGAGAGAGAACATTTGGTTGGGAGAAAAGACTGGGCACAGGCAGTTTAGATTTCATTCTGTATTCATCTATGAGTGAGGGGACAGAATGGTTCTTCACCTTCCATTTCACCTCTTGTCACAGAATTCTCAATGGAATTGGATGCTGTCCTTGGTGTTGAGGAAGGAAATACATAATGAATTACACAGTTCTCTTTGATGCCACAAAAAACTGGGGGTGATGGGCCTTAGGGGAAGAAAGGACAGTGGGGAGGAGCCATTACAGAACGCCTTTGAATAGAATGAATGCACTGTCTTAAATAGGGATAACATGATTCCTGACCTAAAATGGGGATACTACTACTTTCCTCATAGGGCTGTTGTGAGGTTCATGAGTGAAAATATATGTAAAGTGTTTACACAGGGCATCTGAATACCTGCTGGCTATTATTATGACTGTGCCCCTAACTCCTAATCCATTTTCCCAGGCAAGCACTCTCAGACACTGTTGTGGGCAGCTGTGTGAAAGGAACATGTGGTCTGTTTGTAGGAATGAGGCTGCTGAGGGATGCTCAAAGTCTAGATGATGAGGAGACTTAACAAGATCAATACCACTTTTGGAAAAGATTATATGCTATAGTAGGCAGCAAATAGACCATTGAAACTGGATTTGAAAAGCATTTATGGAGTCATTAGAGATGGTTAAACATACCATTACAGAGAAAAATACACAGTGGATTATACATATGCAGCCTACTAGGGCTCTTTTTCTTGGTGTTGCTCTCTCTTCCTCCCTCTTTCCCCATCTTCAGGGTTAGGCAGGTAGGACGCATCAAATAACTCCTTTGAGAAAAGATGGAGAAGGCTCTACATGGTATTATGGCTGTGCAGATCTAGCCTATTTATAGTGTGTGAAATTTCAGGAGCTCAATAGGAGGAGATGGATTCTCCCTGATTAATAAGCTGATGGGCTTTCCATGAATAGCTTAAACCTTTTGGTTAGCTTTTTAAGGTTACTAGCAAGCAATTTAGTGCATTGGAGCTGTAATTCTGTGATCTCTAGTGGCTTGAAATAATTAGATTATTTTTTTGTAATGAATAAATGAGAAGTTAACTCACTGGCATGGATCAGTGTGGTAACATGATTTATTTCTTGCAAAGGTGAATGCTGTAGAGGCTAGACCCTACAAATAATTGTTTTGACTCCCTCTCCTATCTCATTTATAATATGTTTTGGGTCATCTTGTGAGAGAGGCTGCCCAGTGGGATGGGAAGAGCATATGGGCTTTAGGATCAGCCAAATCTTGATTCAATTTTTACTAGATGTGTGACCTTGGGCAAATCACTTAACATGCCAGATCCTGCTTCCGCATTAGTAAACAGTGGTGATAATACTTACTTTTATGAAAGGCATATGAATTAAATCAGTATGGAAGGAGAGGACCTACACAGCTCCTAGCCCGCATTGAAAACCCAAGTAAACATTAGATTCCTTTCTGTCTCCCTCCCACTCTATTATTTTAAATGATTAATGTTTAGAACAAGGATAAACAGCTAGGACATTCATTAATTATGGTTTTACTCATTTGTTCAGTTAGAAAGAATTTGTTAGGTTAAAAAGAAAGCCTTGATAAAGTACTTTAATGAAAATGCTTACTGAGCCTCCAGTTTTGGGTGGCATGAAAGGAGCTCGAAACCTAAATATTCTTGTGGAAATCTATATTAGCATTTTACTTTATGGCCACTAATGACTTAATTCAAGGAAAAACCTCTATTTTCAAATTAACCAATGATTACCTTAATATATAAGGTTTAAACAGAATCTTGAGAATTGGCTTTCTATTCTCTTCTGTGATGACATTATGTACAGTGGGCATTCTACAGCCCTTAGATAAAGTAGAGAAAAAAAATCAATAGCCAAACAGCATTTGGAGATTGGAGAGCCAGTATATTCTGGTGAATTGATGATAGAAGCAGATCTTGGTTTTTGCAGACTAACCAGCCACAATGGGTCCAAATTAATTCAGCAGGGAGGGATGGGGATATGTGCTCTCGGTTCTTGCTAGAACATTACAGCATTGAAATTCTTGTTACGATTTGTTCCAAGCCTCAAATCTGTATATCACTTATCCACTGAATTGAGCAAATTGAAAGTGATCACATTTAGGAGCTGTTGGTAGGAGGCTGGTGCTTCCTTCTCTTTAATAACATCTTGAGAGCTAACGGGGTTCTCTGATGTTCCTTGAATTCATCCTACCTCCCTCTGCACAAATGAACTCAGCTGGAGGTCAGGTTTATTGATGTTTAAATGAGTATATTTGGCTCATTCTAGCATCTATCTAAATGAACACTGATTTGGTGCACTGAAATTTAACGATTTATTCTGCATCCAGGTGACAGAGGGGCATGTTATGGCATTCAGGCTGGGATGAAAACATACGGAACACGTGTCTTCCAGCCAAAAATTGTGCAAATTAAATTAATTTCTGTGATATATCATAGAAAGTTATTTTGATGTTGGGATGGGGGGGAGCTTTAAGAATGTGCTACTGAGCCTAGAAAAGTAAAATAATAGCTACAGAGGGGAAAAATCAGGAGGAATGTCCAGATGAGACTACTAGCACTTGCCCTGTCAGTGTTTTCCTACAATTTCATGGTCCCTCTTAGGGGACAAAAGACATAATCCATTTTGGCTTTGGTGACTGAGCTTAGAAATTTGCAAGATAAAATCATGGAACCTCAAGTTTACTCCTTATAAATACCAGTAATCCATCATGACAGAACTCCTTCCCTGACCCCATGTGCTGCCTACAAACATTCTTTTCACATCTTCACTTCCCGATCTCTCTTCAACCTATTCACATCAAGTCTTTGACCCTGCCAACTGATTGAACTCGATTTTCCCAAGATTTCCAATGATCTCCAAGTTACCAAATCCAATGGTTGATTCTTTCCTCTCATCTTGTTTGAACTCTCAACAGCTTGGGGGCAATGTTGATGATTTCCTTCTCTTTGAAACACTCTTTGTTCTTATCTTCCATAATAATATTTTTTTTCCTGGTACTTTGACTTCATTGATCATATCCCCTGGTCTCCTTGGCTGATTCTTTCTTCTCCACCCAACCTCTAATTCATTAGAGCTTGTTCTTAGTTCTTCAATCTTTTTTTCTCCAGATTCTCCTCCTAGCTGATCTACTCAAGTTCCATGTATTTAAATACAGCTTTTACATTGATGTCTCCAATATTTATATTTTCAATCTAGGCCTCTCCTCTGAGTTCTAGATTTATAAATCCAATTGTCTGCTTGGTATCACCAAGGTACGAAGAGTACCATCATGGTATCTATTTCCCAACTCCTCTCCCAACACCTCAACATCATATTCATTAACAGAGCCTATCCATTCAAATTCTGCAATAGACCTTGCTATGTCCATTGCTATCCTTAATCTTGGCTTATTTCATTTTCTACCTGGGATAGTACAACCACTTCCTAATTGATCTTTTTTTTTTCTTTTGGTCTTACTCTATGCTACAGTCTGTTGTACATACAGCAGCAACTGTCTTGCATCCAACCTTCCAAATTTTCACATTGCCCCTAGAATAAACCCAAACTCCTTGTCATGCTCACAAAGCTTTGCCTGCTGGGGCCCTTATTACCTTTCCAGTAATTTCTTACCACCCTTTCCTCTTCATTCACCATGCTCCAGTCATGCCAATCTTCTTTCATCCCTTGGACATACCATACTTCCTTACATATCAAGGTTTTGCACATGCTGTCTTTTTTGCCTGGAATAGTAATTTTGTAATTACTATTAACTTAATGGCACTTATTACGGGCCAGGTGAATTTCAAGTGCTTTCTCTGGATTAACAGATTAAATTTTCATATCACCCACCCAAGGTAGGAACTGTTATTCTTCCATGTAATAGACGAGGAAATTCACTCACAATGTACTCATCTGAATGCTCTTTCTGCCTTCCATGTGAAAACTCCCTCAGTTTTTTAGATCTTTGCTTAGACATCACTCTTCAAAGATGATGATTACCTCCCACGGAATTTAGTCAATGAACTCTGGCGAGGGAAGGGAAGGGGTGGGAGGGTATCTTCTTGGAGACACTAAATAAATCATAGATGTGGTGCCCATGTCTACATGATTTGTTCTATTCCATTCTACTCCTCCAGAAACAACAACAATAAAACAAAGTAAACAAAAAAGAGTGGAAATGAGCTTAAGGAGAAGGTTGGTTACTTGTAAATATTTCTCTGATCATAGCCTACGCCCTAAAGTAACAAATATCTATTGGGCACGTACTCAGTGGGAGAAACGGCATAGATGAAAGGGTGGAGGCAGGAATCGCGGTTTGATGTGACTATACCAGCCTGTCTGGGGTAGGGGGTTTGGATGTGAGTGCAGTGAAAAATAGCTTCAAAAAACCAGATTAGGGCACTGATACAGCTTGGCTCTGTGTCCCCACCCAAATCTCATCTCCAATTGTAATCTCCACATGTTGAGGGAGGGACCTGGTGGGAGGTGACTGGATCATGGGGGTGGTTTTTCTCATGCTGTTCTTGTGATAGTGAGAGAGTTCTCACAAGATCTGATGGTTTTAAAAGTGGCAGTTTCCCCTGCACTCTCTCTCTCTCTTGCTGCCATATAAGATGTGCCTTGCTTCCCCTTTGCCTTCTGCCATGATTGCAAGGTTCCTGAGGCCTCCTAACCATGTGGAACTGTGAGTCAATTAAACTTCCTTTCTTTATAAATTGCCTAGTCTCAGGTAGTATCTTTATAGTGGTGTGAGAACAGACTAATACAGGCCCTGAATGCCAAATTGGGGAGTGTGGATGGGAATCATTGAAGGTGAAAAGCCACTAAAAATCTTTGCAAAAGGTAGTTTGGGGATTACCAAGAATCATAAAACCCTTAATATATTACAGATATTAGATATATGATCAAATGGCCTTACTGTTATGCCCTCAGCTTGCATTGAGGGAAGTTGTAAGAAACATTTTTTTCTCTATGCCACTTACTGTGCCCTCTATGAGGACTCATAGTGTCCATGCTAGCAGAGCGATGTTAGATAAAGTTAGCATGTAATTATCTTGTAGCTAATTGTGTTTCTGCCTATGCTAGGGCCTAAAAAGGATCTGGACATCAAATTTGAATGATTTAAATAATTGTTCAGCTCTCTTCATCTTGCATTTCTCTCTGTTATCACTCCCTGGCTGCATATTACTATTAGATGTTGATTTTTTTCTTTATTTTAATGTTGTAATTCTTGTTTTTATTATTCCGTACTTTATTTATTTTTATAATCTCTCACAAATCCTTTTTGTTACAAGGGGGTACCCTTTGATTAACATATACACAAGAGAAAGGTTCCATAGGCTTAGAAATGTCTTTGGGGTGTATTATTCTTGTTTTCATTACTGCAAAGGTGAAAGTGTTTATCTGACATGAAATTGGTACATGGTTAATTGTACCTTTTTCTTTAAACCAATTTCCTTTATTCTTATGAGTCATTTGGTCCTCAAGAGGACCATACTGGATTAATGGGGCAGGAAATACTGGGGTAGCAATGATTCTTCCTCAACTCTCACAAGGCCTGATGTAGAGTATTAAAAATTTCCGGACAGTTGCTGTCCAACCTTAAAAAGTGGTTATAGAGGGAGGTTATGTCTCAGTTTGACTCTTTACATGCTGAATGGGCAGCTGTTCAGAGGTTTGACATACCTAGGTGTTAGCATTTTCCTTTCTCTTATAACTTTCCAATTCCCTCTCCCACCTTTTTTTACATTTCAAGAAAAGATAAATAGTATTCACTGGTTCTCTAAGTGTGGGCCAGGGATCTTTGGGAGTCCTTAAGACCTCCCAGGGGTCCATGAGTCAAAACTATTTTCAAAATAACATTAAAATGGTATTTTTTTCATTTCCATAGTCCCATGGTGACCAAGAGAATTTCTCCAGAGGCTACCTCATCTATAATATCTCAAAAGACTGAATACAGAAGCAGATATTAAAAAATGTAAAAACAATGCCAGCTTTTTCCTAAAATTATTTGTATTTTGAAAAATATACTTAAAAAATCAAACTGTTAACGTGTAGTGGGTTTATTATAGTTATTTAAATGAATGAATACATATTTTAAATATTTCTCATTTTAAATTTTGATTATGGTAAATATTGTTAGTGTTAACAGTTTTTATAAAAATGAAAAAGAGACTGCATTAAACAAAAGTCCTTTGGGGTCTTCACTAAGTTCTTTAAGAATATGAAGAGGTACTGAAACCAAATAGTCTGACAATCATTGCTTCAAAACTTCTAGCATATCAGTAGTAACCTTTTACTTGTGAAGGGAGGAGTAATTGAAGAATCGAAGGAATAGAATCCAAAGATAGCATTGGTGGAGGAAGGCAGAGTGGTGAGGGGCTCCCATTGGACGGAAGGCTCTTGGAGGGCAGAGGCTGCGACCTGCCCGAGCTATCTTTGTCTCTCCAGCATCCAGCATTATATCTAGCACATAGGAGCAGCTCAATGAAATTTGGGTATTGAATAAACTGATGAGTGAATGGTAAAATACAATTCACCAGAGTGAAATGTACATTTGATATGATATACAAGGTCTAATTAGGGCTAGTCCTGCCATCAGCAATTTGGATGAGCTTTTATTCATTCAATTTTCAATTCATTCATTTGTTCAACAATTATTTATTGAGTGCCTATTATGCATCAGGCCTGACTTTGTATAAGTCAAATTCTGTCTGTGATTTTTTCATCTCTAAAAAGGAAGCTCGGACAAACTGTGAAACCCCTTGTAGCAATGTCTTCCTCAGGATAATACAAAAACTCTTCTCTTTGTCTCTCTTAGATAAGCTAACACATGAAAGAAGATAATTCTCCTCAGGCAAAAATCACTGTCCGCTTTAAGAGCAACTCTTGCAGAAACTTAAGTGGCAGATGGTCTACTGCGTTGGTGTGTTTCACAGTTAGAAATGGTCAAGTTTGTGAATGAAAAAAATGTAAAGTATGAAGTCAACTCAATTTATTTTTCCTAGATTTATTTAGTATCAGGCTTCAACTGAATAATTTTAATTTAGGGAACTTGGAAACCCTACCAGTTTCTCTCCCCCAACAGAAGGATGATCATCAAAGGCCTTTTGTGAGAAATCTGAGGGACTTTGTGCAGTGCATGCAAGCTTGGAAACTCGCTTCATTGCTCTAAATGGGCCATGACTTTGGAAAAAATGAGTGCCCCTTTTCTTTTAGTCATTTGTCCACAACTTCTGTTCTGGTTGGCAAAGTCTTAAGCATTCAAACCCCATATGCCTGTTTCTTGGGGCCTTGTATGGATAGCTTCCCACATGTATTAATTTTCTGCAGGTTATGTTACAGTACCAAGCAACCCCCAAATCTTAGTGGCTTACAACAAAAGTTTATTTCATGGTCACATTTCAGATTGACTGTGGGTTGGAATGGCACTGCTACTGCTCCAACTATCTTCTTCCTTTAAGAATCAAGGTTGAAAGCCGGGCATGGTGGCTCACCCCTGTATTCCCAGCACTTTGGGAGACCGAGACAGGAGGATCACCTGAGGTCAAGAGTTTGAGACCAGCCTGACTAATGTGGAGAAACCCTGTCTCTACTAAAAAATACAAAATTAGCCAGGCGTGGTGGTGCATGCCTGTAATCCCAGCTACTCGGGAGGCTGAGGCAGGATAATTGCTTGAACCTGGGAGGTGGAGGTTGCAGTGAGCCAAGATTGCACCATTGCCTGGGAAACAAGAGTGAAACTCTGTCTCAAAAAAAAAAAAAAAAAAAAAAAAAATCAAGGTTGAAGAAGCAGCCATCATCTGGGATAACCTTTCTTATGGAAAATGAAACAGACACATGGTTGAATCATACAATGGCTCTTATGTAGAATGTGGCATATATCACTTTGGTTCCCACTCAGTTGGCCAAAGCACGTCACATGCAGCTTGAGGTCAGTGGGGCAGGGAATAGCTCCTTCTCACAAGGAGTTTCTGTATAACATTTGGCAACAGGCAGGGATGCGTATTTCTCAGAAAGGAAGAGTGAACAATTCAGAATGATAATACAATCTAGCTCACTATTCTTTCTTTGCAGGATATTGTATACATGAATTGTTCTCTCTACCCAGTTTATTTTACTTTGTAACATCTAAAGTGGAAAGGGGATCACAAAATTAAAAGCTATGGTTACGGGCCTGCTAGAGCACAGTTCTAGATCATTTTTCATCATCAAAGATGGGTCTTGGTGTTTCTGCCATGGAATTAGGAAAACACAAGAAAATGAAAGAACACCACCCTTCACCAAACAGAAACAAAATAAACACACAGTCACTACTCACACTTCCTTGCTGTCCTTGGTGTTCCACAAAGGAAAGAAACAGTGATTGAGAGGTCTGGCTAACATGCATTTTCTCCTTCACCTCTGGTGCCTGTGTTGTGAAATCTCCACCTGTTGTGTCTCTGAGCTTAGATGCAAGCGTAGACAATGCCCTGTCATTGAACTGTAGAAATGGAGATTCAAGGAAATGGCCCAGAAATACAAAATGTACTCATTATCGCCTTTCCCCAAAAACTCTCCATTCCCTCTGCTTCTGCTTTAATTTAGGCCATTAACATTTTTTTTTTTTTTTTTTTTTTTTGAGACGGAGTCTCGCTCTGTCGCCCAGGCTGGAGTGCAGTGGCGGGATCTGGGCTCACTGCAAGCTCCGCCTCCCGGGTTCACGCCATTCTCCTGCCTCAGCCTCCCAAGTAGCTGGGACTACAGGCGCCCGCCACTACGCCCGGCTAATTGTTTGTATTTTTAGTAGAGACGGGGTTTCACCGTTTTAGCCAGGATGGTCTCGATCTCCTGACCTCGTGATCCGCCCGCCTCGGCCTCCCAAAGTGCTGGGATTACAGGCGTGAGCCACCGCGCCCGGCCGGCCATTAACATTTTGCACCTGGACTATTACAATAGTCTTCTAATTGGTTTCTCTGCCTTCATATTTATACCCTGATAATCTATCTTTTCTCCACTCCAGTGACTTTTCTAAAGTATAAACTAAATTATGTTACCACTCTGTAAAAATTATTCCCTAGTTTCTACCTGTTTGAGCCACAATTCAATTGCAGGAAAAATGGGATAATATCTGCTTTGTAGGGATGGGTATGAGGATAAAAAGAACTATATGTAAAGCACCTAACACAGTATCTCAATAAATGGCAGCTAATGATTATTACCACGATAAAATCCAGAGTCCTTTATCAACACCTACTAGGCCCTCCAGGTCTGGTTGTCAACAACTTCATTAGCTATACTTGATTGCCCATCCCCACCCTCCTATCTCTACCTGCACCCTATGGGATAGCTTTGCCAAACTACCCTCAGTTCCCTAATCAGACATCCTGTTCTTCAGTCCACAGCACTGCCTACATGCTGATCTCTGGAATTTATTCCTCACTGAGTCCACCTGGGCCCCCCTCGTTAGAATGAAGATGTGTTTCACAGTCTCCCACAGTCTGATGTTGCTCCTGACCCCTCTAGGAGAACTAACTGCTTCCTCCGTTGACATCCCCTGAATCATGCCACTTCTAGTGCTGGATTGCCTTCTCTCTTTTTGTACTTTTCTTTCCTGCTACTATGAGCTGTATGAGGGCAAAGACTCCATCTTAATTATCTCTCTATATGGACCACGGTGCCTAGTAGGTAGTAGGTGGTCAACAAATGCTTTTTAAATGAATGGATATGATAAATAGAAAAAAAGAGAGTAGGAAGAGGTTGAATAAAAGATAGATTATGATTAAGCAAAGGCTACATTAAGATTTGAAGATTCGAGGTTTAGAGTGAGAAAACAGAGTAGAAATTGCTACACTAAGATTTGAAGATTCGAGGTGTAGAGTGAGAAAACAGAGTAGAAGACAGAGTACAAAACAGAAGCACAAAAAAGAGAAGGCAATCCAGCATTAGAAGTGGCATGATTCAGGGGGCGTCAATGGAGGAAGAAGTTAGTTCTCCTAGAGGGGTCAGGCTTAGAGTGAGAAACCAGAGTAGGTCTCTATCTTGTATGGTAAGTGGGTCAACGCAGCCTTGGGTAAAACTGGCTTTAGTACCTTAGTCCTTAGGAAGATAAATTCATCATGAAAAAAATCCTGAGTTAAAAGAACCTACAGGTGGGCATTTTCTTAATATAATAAGTAGGTTTTTTTTTTTTTAATAGATGTGCTCCTTAGTATACTAAATCTTGGCATGTCATGCTGCTCCTGGGATTAACCAGCCATGTGAAGCTGAGTAGGAGTGCAAGAGTAAGATTAAACAAGTAATTCTATTGGTCTGCTGCACACGCCATTGTTTAGCTAGAAAAATTAAATTCCTATTTAAGCCTTTCAGCATGTTTAATAAATGTTTCAGGTGGAAAGAACCATGTTTGAGGCAGGGAGGAGCAAGGGCATTCCCTGGGAATAACATCTTTATTAACCTCACAGAGTAATGCAAGCACCTGGGATGCCGGTGGGGAAATGGGAGCAGCAGCAAGAGAACCTGGCAGACAAGGACATGTCCATGAAGCACCCCTCTTCTTTCTCTGTGATACAGTGCAGTTTGCAGGACAATGGTCTGGTTTCAACATCAGGCAGATGTGTGTTCAAATGCTGGTTCTGCCACTTTGAAGCTGTTATCTTGGACATGTTTCGGGTTGCTGAAGCTCTGCATTCCAGTTTTCTCAGCAGCTGCCATTTATGGAGAACTTTCTTTGCACTATATGATGTAGTTTATCTGCTTTTACCTTTTTTTGTTATTTTTTTATTGTGGTAAATTATACACACCATAAAATTTACAATTTTAATCACTCTCAGTGGCATTAACTACAGTCACCGTGTGTCTGCCTTATTCTTACATCAATCCTATGAGGAAGGTGTTATTATTATCTTTCTTTCACAGATAGGGAAGCTGATGCTCTGAGAAGTTAAATAATGATGACTCTTTTAAGATACTTGGCACATTTCAAGTGCTTAATATAAGAAAGCTATTATTATTATTTTATTTCCAGGCCACAGGCCAGACATCTTATTTAGACTGTTAGAGAGGGAAAGAAGACAATGGAAGTTTTAGATTTCCAGACGCACTAGCAGAGATACCTGCATCAGCAGAGGAGGCAGTGAAAATAGGCAGCACTGCACAGCTCTGCCTCCCAGTGACAAGCAGGTGGGTGTGAAGGTCCTGGCCTCAGTGTGGATCTCTCAGGACTGTCCCACTCCAACCAGAGCCCCAGGGGGAAGGAAATGAGTTAAGCCTGTCTTCAGACACGTTTGTATTGATTCTGTCAGTTTCTGGCTGCTTGCTGACAGGAGATAGATGGCTCATAACGTAGATTGGCACAGCACATTATGTCCCCATTTTGGGGCTCCTGAATCATTTTGAAATTTTAAATTCCCTAATCAATATTTTATCCCCAGCACAAGGCAGTGATCAGGACTTCTTCTCGCAGGGGCATGTGCTCACACACTGGGACCCAGTGGACGTGAGTGGCCAGAGGGCCATCCGGATTCTGGGGAGGACTGTAGGCAGTGTTCTTCTTGAAAGCAGTCATTTATTGCTTGCCAGGACCAGAATGGTCCTCAGACATCACGTGGTTCAGTGCACTCCTATAAAGGAGAAGAAACCTGAAGATGGAGAGATGATGTGGTTCGACCTTGGTTGCCTAGCTTGCAGCAAAACTGAGACCAGAATGTGGCCTTCTGATTCTAGTCCAAAGCCCTTTCCAAGAAACCATACCCAGCAGGGAGCCTGGTGCATACTAGATGCTTAGCAGATATTTGTCTGGTGTTGAATGAATGCTGAAACTTGGGAAAAGCCAAAGTCTGGGCTGAATAAGCCTTCATGCGTATCAAGCACATACTAAGTGCCAGCCATTGTTCTAAGTTCGTTATGTGAAAAATATCAGTCTCCCATGAAAATCTCCCATGAAAAATATCAGCTCCCATGAAGCAGGAGCTATCGTTATTCTTATTTTATATATAGCAAAACTGAGGCACCAAGGGCATGAGTGAATTGGTCAAGGCCACACAGCTGGTAAGTGAGAACTGCCTGCACTGGAACACAGGCAATGAGGCCCCAGACCTGGGCTCATCACTGCTGTGTGATGTTGCCTCCCACACAGATGGGCCTTCCTTTTCCCCAGCTACCTTTGGACCCAAGTCCAATATGCCCATGTTTCATCACAAGGAAAGGACTGAGAAAAGAAAAAGAGACCAATTCTGTGACCAGCCAGTAGATCTGAAGGAAAGCAATCTGCTGTCAAACCTGAGGTTTTCAATGGTGCTGGATGAAGACAGATTCTGAAAGCACAGGGCAGACTTGAAGGCGTTCAGAGGAAGCAGCCGCTGGTTGGGAGGACCGGGCCCTGGTTTCCGAGGCTTGCACAGGAAGTAGGTGCTCCACAAAGAAACCTTGATGATACTGGCAATTGGCAGGCCTGCTGAAGTGCTGCAGTGGAAACTTAGAGAGAGAGAACAAATCCTAGACCTTTCCACTGGCTCACAAAGACTTCCCTACAGGACTTGCTCCCTCCGTGCATTTTTCTCCTTCCTTCCTTCCCTCTTGCCCCTTGTCTCCTCTCACTGAGCTCCTGGGTTCCCACCTCAGTCACTGCCTCATCACTGCTGTCCCCTTGGCCCGAAATACTCATCCACATGTTGTCCCATGGCTGGATCCTTCTCGTGATTCAGATCTCAGCTGTCAGCACAAAGCCCTTCATCCTGAGCAGCTAGGACAGTGCCTCCACATGGCAAGTGATGAACAAATCCTGCCTGAATTAAAGAAGGGAATTAGAGGTATTTTGAAGAAGACCCCTCAGGTGTCAGGCAGAGCACACTGCAACTAAGAACGATGAGTGAAAGGGAATGATAAAGCAGCCCTAAGGGAGGGCCAGGGCCTATGAGCAACCATCCCCTGGGCCAGGGATCCTACTCCCTGCCTGCAAGGGAAGTTCATGCCATGTTTGGGCAGCTCTGACAGCTGCAAAGTGCTTTCTTTTTTGGGTATGAAACTCAACTCCTTGTGGCTTCTACCCATTGGTCTTTATTCCAATCCTAGGCCCCCTGAAAGTGATGCTGCATCAGCAGAAAGCACCTGAGGCACAGGGAGCCCTGCCCTTCTGGGCTGACTGTGCACGGTGGAGGACAGAGGGTGTAGCTGTCGGGCCTGAGCTGCGGCGATCTTATGATACACTGTGTAGTGATTTTAGCTGTCAGAGTTAGCTTGCATTTCCAAGGAAACATGCAGGGAATTCTGGGTCAATGTTCTTACAATCTTCCTAAAGTAGAAGGAGGTTTTGCCAAGCAGGGGAAGAAATGCCAAAGAGTCGGCTATTTTCCCTTCAAAGAGCCCTGTTACAAATGCAGGGGTAATAATAATGCACTGTTACACTTCCACGTTTTTTATAAATTGTAAAGGCCTTTTAGGCATATTATTGGGTGCTCTCATCAATCTTATTAGATACCTGAGACAGGTTTCACTGCCTTCAGGGAATAAAGGGCTTGTCTAAGACTACTCTGCTAGTAAGAACTCAACACCCTGTCCCTTCTCAAATGCTTTACTCACACACTGTGGATGACTTCAAGCTTATCTGTGATTACAGAGAGCTGTGCTCCTCAAACCTGAGTGTGCATAAAAATCACCAGGAAGCTTGTTAAGCCTGTAAAACACAGATTCTCAGAGATTCTTATTCCACAGGTCTGGGGTGGGGCCAGAAACTTTGCAGTTCTAACAAGCTCCCAGGCGACACTGATCCTGTGTGGCACTGGCATGGACAACCCCAGCCCTGTCCGGGTAGCCGAGGCTGGCCGCCATATCACTGCCTCTCTGAAGTCTGGTAAGCAGCAGGTAAAGCTTGTTGTCAGCTGTTGCAGAGAGTGATTCATTTCATCCCACAACGACCCTATGAGATAACTACATTTATTATTCCCATTTTAGGTTTGGAGAGGTTAACTAGCTTGCTAACTAGGTTAACTTTGGTTAACTATCAAAGTTCATTTGGTAAGTGGCTAAGTCCAAGTTTAGCTGAAATTCAGAGCAATGAATTCAACCACAATGGTTAAATCTCTCTCCTTCCTGAAAGTGAGAGGGTTTTCTGGCTGAGTCTTCTCTTCTCCCTGGAAGAAAGACCTGGCATTCCACTGGACACTAGTATCAAAGCTGAGGTCCTCTGAGTTTAGGAAAGAGACTAAAATTCTTTCTGGGAGTCACAGGTATCCCAACAGCTCGGTGCTGTCTGTATCAGCTAGTTCATAAAGTATCAGGCCATACCCACAGGGTGACAAACACACCACAGCAACCCTGGGCAAACTTGCACACAGTCAGGTTGGGGTGGGAGCTCCAGCTCCGAGCATTCCCTAGTTAATTCCTCCCTGCCTTCCCCAGGGCCCTTTCAGAACTTTCCTGCTTTTTGATGTTTAAACAGAACAAGAGTTATTAAACTCTAAAAATTGATATGTTAGCAACTTCAGTACCTCCTCCCACAGATCTCTGCATTTAAAAAAGGATTAAGAGGGAAAGCAATGACCCACCAACAGAATTCATTTAGAAACGCTGCAGTGCTGACATGATTGTCAGCAGGCAGGAGAGGTGGTTTGGGTTGGGGGTCCTCGCTTTCCTCCCGGTGCTTTCCTGTCATAGCCCCGGCACAGGTGTGGTTCTGCAGTTATTTGTAGGACTGCCTGTTTAATGACTGGATTCCCACAGGACTGGAAGCTCCGTGAGAAGTAGACTTCAACTGTTTTGCTCTTACTGTTGCCCAAAACCAAAACATGTAGTGGAATTGAAGCTTAGTCACAACTCAAATGTGCAGAAATGTGACAGTGTTTTTCTGTAACTGTCACTAGCCCCATTTTTGCTATTGTGGAAAGATTTAATCTTGACACTTAAAGATAGCTTAGTCAAATTCTGGCTGAATGTGTAGTCTCTTTTCATTAATTGCTCAAACAATTAAAACTCAGTCACTTTAAAATTCTAACTTCATATCAGGATCATCTTCCCTTCTCAAGTGTTCTTTTCTCTTCTCCTATCTGGGATGGCACCTGGTGTGCAGGTAGAAGCTTATGGAATCAAAGCAACAAATGTGCGGAGAAGGTTTCTGTCTGGCTTGTGTGTTGGTTTTGGTCCTGGCTAAATCGTGGTGTGCAGTAGTTGGTCCTGTCTGATCTGGGGGCATCATCCTCTGTTCTCACTGCATTGGTTGTCTAAGTGGCTCTGGTTGGTGTAACACATGGTCTGTCTTGTTGGTTCAGTCCATGTGACCCTGCCCACTGCCCAATAAACTTGTGGCTTTATTCAGTTCTTGCTATCCACTGTGATCCTCTGAAATTTCCAGGGTTACATGTATGTGTGTGCATGTGTGTGCGTGTGTCTGTGTGTGCAGTGAAGAAAGCTGTACCCTCTCCAATAGAGTGGAGGATCGTTTGATGAGAGAAGGGGCCCTTTCCCCTGACTTAGAATTCTGAAAGGCAACCACCTGGCAGGTACCCTGGAAGGGACAGGTGGGGTCCTTTCAGGACATTCACCTACATGTAACTCCCTTCTGTGATTTTCTTTGAGCTTTTCCTCCTCCAGTAGAGGAAAATTGCTACCACTTCATATCTTCCATTCTGTCTACTCTATGGAGTTCAGAAAGACCCATTTTCTGAAGAGCTTGGCTCTGACACTGGGAAACCAGGGCTTTCAAGATTATTGTGTTTTCTGTGAATTTAAAAAGTTGAGCTTGAATATCAAACCCATTGTTTCTTGAAAACTGAATGCTTCGTTCTGTTTCCCACTCCACCCCACCCCACTTCCCAAGCCATGGATAACTCAAACCTTGAGGGAGGAGGGCCTTTGGGCAACACAGGCTACTAAATAACCAGGGATGAAGAATACATAGATGATGTTTCAAAATACTGTCCTTCTGGACTGGAATGTATTTATGAAATGAACAGTGGTAGTGTGGAGTCAGAGTCAATTCTCAACTAAAATTAGGGTTCCTTTTGAGGTCCTCAGAGCCTCAGAATGTTGAATAAATGAAGACTGATTGGGGATTCCAAGACATCACACACTAGGGAAAGCCCAAAATAACATGATTATGATGATCATAATGCTTCATTTACAAGATTTTTTCCTACAGACTATTTTATTTTATAATTTATTCTTCATTTTATCAATCAATGACATTGTGTGAGGCATAGTGTCGGACATGTTGCTATGTAAGGGGACAAAATTTATTAAATTGAGAGTGTTTATACATTTTCCTTTTTCTCCAGCCCATCAAAATCAACTTGCCATCTAGCCCCCTTTTCTCTCCTTTTTTTTTTCCAGAGAGAAAGCATTCTTATTTGTTGAGAGAAAGCTTAAATTAATCTATATCATAAAGTGCTGAGGGAGACGGCAAGAGGATTTTGAAGAAAGTCTCCCTTGCCCACTTCCCTTCCCACCCTCCCTTTCCCCGCTTCCCTGCCTCCCCTTCTCCCTCCTTCCTCCAATTTCTCCTCTCTTTCTCTCCCTTTCCTTCCCTCCCCTTCCCAGGCATTCTCTTCAGAGCTTTGGGCTTCTTTTCCTCGTGATCTAGCCAGAGGTGATAAGACACCCAAGGTCTGGATTCAGTGTCTGGAGAATTGAGAGCCTCCACTGGGACTCCAAGCCTGAGTTTCACATCCCACTTGGCTCTGCCTGCTGTGGGGGAACTGGGCATGGGCCCAGCTAATAATAAAATGGTTCCTCTGTCCCACTGGGCCATGATTCCTCACATGCACAGCTCCCTCAAGAATTCCTGAATAAAGAGCAATTATCAGGCTGGAATTTAGGTCACCCTGTGTCAAGCACTGGGGTCACTGGTGATCAAGACAATGGATCCAACCCTCCAGGAGGTCCCTGTCCAGAGGTGGAGAGGGACAAGTGCACAGGAAATCACAGCATTGTATGGTGCATGCTGTGCCAGGGATATGTGCCAGGTGCTTTAGAGCACCTTGGGGACACCCAGCCCTTCTGACCTGGACGGCTGGCTGGAGAAGTGGGTCTGAGCTGGGAAGGTGGTAGCACTGGCAGAGTCAGGGAGGTGAGGAGCTGTGTTGGTTGTGGAGTAATCTGATGAGGAGATTGTTTTTAGACAAGTTGAGTCGAGCTGACAGGGGGTTTTCAAATAGAAACAAAGTAATGAGTGTCTAGGATCAGGAAGGGGAATCAGGAGTAGGTAGAGATGCGGGCATCATCTCCTTGGAAGTGAGAGTTGGAGCTGTGAATGGGAGTGAGGCCAGGGAAGGGAGAGGAGAGAGGAGGGCAGAAGGCCCAAGAGCAAACCTGAGAATACCCGAGCTTGGGGGCAGAAAATGGCAGGAGGGCCAGAGAAGGAGATAGAGAACCAGCGGTATGTCCCTGCAACCTGCGTCAAGGTACCAGCAGACCCTGGGGCCTCCTGGTGTCCAGCTGAAGAGTACGCAGCCCGCCCTCGCTTTGTACTGCTATTACTGCACATGTTATTCATCACAGCTGCTGCCTTTTAAGGAACTGCCAGATGGCAGACACTAGGCTAAGCACTAGTGTATAAGATAATGTACACTATACAAGTACAAGATAATGTACACTACACAATGTACAAGATAATGTACACTATGCAATGTACAAGATAATGTACACTAGTGCTTAGCCTAGCATCTGCCAATTTTTTTGTTTTTTGAGATAGACTCTCAGTTTGTCACCTAGGCTGGAGTCCAGTGGCACAATCTCAGTTCACTGTAGCCTCAACCTCCCAGGCTCAAGTGATCCTCCTACCTCAGCCTCCCAAGTAGCTGGGACTACAGGTGTGTGTCGTCATGCCCATGAATTTTTTGTATTTTTAGTGGATACAGGGTTTCACCATGTTGCCCAGATGGGTCTCAAACTCTTGAGCACAAGCGATCTGCCTGCCTTGGCCTCCCCAAGTGCTGGGATTACAGGTGTGAGCCACCACGCCTGGCCTATCTCGTGAAATTCTTAAAAGAGTTCCATAAGACAGGCATAGTGTTCCCATTTTACAGAGCAGAGAACAAGTTCAGAGAGGTTAAGTAGCTTTCTCAAGGCTCTTGTGTCATGTCTCACGTGAGTCAGAATTCAGATTGGAATCCAGGCTTTTGAACCCCATGTTAAGCATTGCTATTCTTGTCTTAAAGGACTACTCGAAGTGCAACATCAGCCTCTCCTAGGAGCTTGTAGAAATGCAGTGTGTCAGGCTTCATCCAACATTTACTGCATCAGAATCTGCATTTTAATGAGGGTGCCTAATGCACTCATTAAAGTTGAGATGCTGTGCTGTACATTACGTCTGCTCATCCCCTACCTTCTCACCATGTGTGAAGGGTCCGCTCTGCCCTTCATTCTTTGCTTCCTTTCCTGTCCTCCAGCCCTTCCCTGTTGGGCTTGGGCATTGTTTGGTTTACCTCATAAAGACCTGCTCTGCTCTGTGATGACCAGAGGCTTGCACTTCTAAGTCTTGCTTAGTTTTGCATTGCATGTCAGTGTGGCACTTGAAGTTTCTCAAAGGAGTGGTTTGTCAGAAAATCATTGGTGTGAAGGAGCCAGGCAGCTTTTCTTTGGTGACATTCTGTCCCCGAAGATCTTGCACTGGGCTCCATATCTGTTGCTCCCCAACTGTGCTGATCAGATCCAATCTCTGTGATCCTGTTATTCTGACTGAGCACACACAAAGCCCATAAGAGCCTGGCCCCTCTCCCTACCCACCTAGGGAGGTTACCAGTGCCCTTGTGTGGGTGTTCCCCCATTGTCTGTCTGCAGAGAGAAAGGTACTCAACAGCTATTGGGTGTTATGCCCAGTCAGTGATTGACATGAAGCATCACTGTAACAGTTATTTTTCATCTAATACCTTCTGTATGCCAGGGACTATGCTAGGTTTTATAATTCTCATTTTACAGATGATGATGAAACTGATTCTTAGAAATGTTAAGTGACTTGCTCAGGGATACATGGTAAGTGGATAAGCTGGGATAAAATTCCATGTTTGTCTGACTCTAAAGGTGACACCTTTCCCACGTCACCTCCTTTTTTAATGCTTAACATTTCTAATTTCTCTTGGTTAAAGGGACAGAGTCACTCAACTTCGAATCCTCATGAATGTCAAGTGTAGTGGTTAATTTTAGCATACATCAGAATCAGCAGGAGGGCTTGGTAAAACACTGTTTCAGCAGTTCTGGGGTGGGGCTGGAGCATTTGCCTTTCTAACAAGTTTCCAGGTGCTGCTCCTGGAACAGGCCACACTTTGAGAACCATTGCCCTGGTGAAGCAGGGAGGCAGAGAAGCCGAGAAGTGTGGGCAGCAAAGCCCCTGCTATTCCCATCCCCTCTTCCTCATGGCTGTCACAGGGCAATGCTGTGGTAACAAGTTCATTTATTGCTTCCTGAATGTTCTTTCTCAATAGAGCAGAGCATTGGTTATTTGCATGTTTCAGTTCTGTATCTACCCTTATCTGGGCAGTGTTTAGGCTGGGCCATAGCCCTAAACTTATAAGGGTCACCTGGTAACGAGCTGAAGATTTGAAAAGCATTCAATCACATAAATAAAGGCCTGGAAAGAGAAAGCATGTTTATTTATGGGCATTTCCCAGGAACCAGTACTCTAGTTCAGAGAATTAAAAAAAAAAAAAAGATGCCGTCATTCACTCAACTAGATGGCTCATCTGGAATTGCTGAGATTTGCAAATAATGGGATTAATCATTTACCTTTCCCTGGAGTTCTTTCTTTATTGTGCGTAGCCCAGGTTCCAAAAGGGGTCACATTTGAATATCCATCATGGGGCATACAGCATGTTTGGATGGACCACTAGGGGTCCTGTCTGCATAGAAACCCACTAGGCATTGTGGTAGAGAGAAACTCATGACATATGGAGCACCGGCATCAGGAGCACTGGGCTGTGGAGTTAAATGGAGCCGGTTATGAATCCTGGCTCTGCCATTTGACAGCTGAGGGTCTATGGGCATATTACTTAGCCTGTCTGAGTCTCATTTTCTCCAGAATCAGGGCTGATATAAAAAAATATTTAAGCAATAGAAATAGCAGAGGCACCCACTAGTCAGAATGGATAGAGGCCAGATCAGAAGCAAAACACCAGCTGTACACAAGCCAGAACCGAGATGGACTCCTGGCTTGCATTTCCAGAATGATGTGGGTCTCACGCATGGTTTATCTTTATGCAGGGGAAACAGATTTTACTAAGTGAGGAGGAGGCTGGGGTGTGTATGTGTATGTGTGCACTCAGAGAACAGCAGGAAGCTTTCCCAACAGTGAGGCCACCCGTATTCTCTGGCTGCTTCAGGACCAGGAGAGGTGCCTTTGTTGGAAGACCTCGGTCATGACCGCTTTGGCCTGCCCCACCTCTTTTCTACAGATAGCTGGTGGATGTGAAGTCAAGACTAAGAGAGATGGTTTCACTGGCTGGCATTTCTTACCATGCTATCTTTGGGGAGGTATAAGGCCAGAAACAATTACTATCTGAGATATTGAAAAGTACAAAAGATTGGGTAAAGCTCTCTCAATCCAGACACAGTGGGGAGGAACTGAATACTTCTCGCATGGCTGTACAACCATTGGCTGCCCTGGGTAACGTTTTCTGGGACATAGGACAATAATAGTACCTACCTCACTGGCTTGAATCGAGAAGGAAATGAGATAATGGTATGAAACAACTGGCAAATCGTAGGACCACAAAAAAGAGAAGCTGTATGTAGGACCATTACATAGCACCATTAATTTCCTAGGCCTGTGCCTAATGGGAAGGAGCGCTTTAAGGCTCAGGAGGGCTCAGTCTACTGCCTGAGGGCCAGTGGAGCAAGGGGGATTTTACTTGCAATGCTGCATGGACTTAGTTCATTGACTCCTGAGTCAGTCCTTATGGGAAACTTGTATCAAATTCTTAGACAGATGAAGTAGTTATTATCTGGAAGAGTAAGTAAATGAAAATGTTGTTATGTTGGGTGAATTCTATCAAGCAGTATAGAGGAGGTCTTCCTGTCTAGGGTCTTGTCAGAGAGTTACAAGGTTGGTGGGAGAGTATAACCTCAGTGCAAGCAGCGTGGGTGGCCAAAGAGGCTAGGCCACAGCTAGCAACTGGGAGAGTGAGTGGGTCAGTGTCTGTGAGGATGAGGGAGGCTGGCCATAGGGCATATGGACATCCCAATGTCATCCCAAGGTCAGATGTGACCTCTGACCACTCTTGCAGGGAAGTGTGGCAGCCATGAGGGAACCAGTTGAAGGACGAGGGTCTCAGTTCTTTCAGGCTGCTATAACAAAATACCATAGACGGCGTGTCTTCTGAAGAACAGATATTTATTTCTTATAGTTCTGGAGGCTGGGAAGTCCAAAATCAAGGCGCTGGCAGAATTGGTGTCTGATGAAGGCCTGTTGCCTGGTTTGTAGATGGTACAGTCTCACTGCATCCCCGCACGGTGGAAGAAGCAAAGTAGCTCTCTGGGGCCCCTTTCATAAGGGCACTAATCCCATTCATGAGGGCTTTGCTCTATGACCTAATCACCTCCCAAGCCCCACCTCCTAATATCATCACTGTGAGGGTGAGAATTTTAACACAGGAATGTTGGGGATATGTAAACTTTCAGACCATAGCAAGGACCATCTTCACTGCAGCTCTAGGAGAAACTGTGATTCAGGCTACTGCTGTCCCCTGGAGCACCTGGGCTGGGGCTGGGGATCGAGCACCAGGGCAGGTGGAGAGGCAGAGCTGGAGCCCTCTGTTTTCCTTGTGCTCTTTTAGACTGCCATTGCCTGGGAAACAATCACTCACCACATCTATATCTGTGGACATTATACCTGCCCTTACTTCCATCAGCTATGTCAGACACTACAGTCCTTATCTTGACTCTTGCATTATTTTACAAGTTGGCCATGCCCTCCTTCCTGATAGTCTCTTGGCTCTTGAATAATGTGATATTGCTATTTGTTGTCTTCCCTCCAAAGCCCTTCCTTCAAAGTCTCTTTCCTCCACCTGCACCTTCATTTTTGGTGCCTGTTCTCATTTTCACTCATCCACACTCCTCAAGGACCCCTCATGAGCCCTGAATCTCTCTTTCTTAAATATTTGGATGCCCTCTGGATATTTCCTCTTTGGTTCTTGCGAGGATTGTTCCACTGATCTCCTAACTCGGGTCCAGCTCTCAGCTCACTCTCCTCCAGTCCCCACTCCCCCCACTGCCCAAGTTTCCTTTCTAAATTACCCATGAGGTCATATCCCTGGGCAGCTTCAAGGGCTCGCCATATCTGCATAATAACTGCTTAGTGTGGCTTAAAAGAACCTTGATGCTGGGGCCTTCTTCCTTGCTAGCCTTATTTCTTGTTTCTCCTTCACCCATATCTTGTACCCTGGCCTCACTGAACTTGTTTCCATTTCTCAAATATCCCATGTCCTTCTTCATGCCTTCAGACATGTTGTTCTCTTTTTCTGGAATGCTCTTCCTCTTTGATCTGCTGGTGACTTCCTGCCTTTTCAGACTTGGCTATAGCAGCACCTTTTCTGTGAAATGGTATCTGACACCCAATGCTGGCCTCATGGACATGTGAACTGTGTAGTTGCACAGAGTCTCACACTCAGAAGGATTCTGCATTTGGTTTAATGCTCTGCTATCACCATTTAAAAATTCTTAATCATTTTTGAACAAGGGACTCTGCATGTTTATTTTGCACGGGGGCCCATAAGTCATGTATCTAGTCCAGCTGATACTTCTGACCCCCATGGCAACATACACCCAGTACAGTGCTGGCACTTCTTAGGTTGGGCTGAAGTTGTTATTTGTCTGTCTCTCTGCAGACTCTCTGAGGGCAGACAATGTCTCTTATTCATTTCTATTCCACAACGTCAGGGAATGAATGACATAGTAGGAGCTCAATAAATGCTTGCTGAAAGAACAAACTTACATCAATGGTTCCTTTTTCCATAGTCTGTGAGAGCTGCCTTTCCCCTTTAAGGAGACCATAGTGAAAAAAGCATTGGTCTGGGCACCAGAAACAGACCTCTAGTTTGACTTATTATTTTTTTTAAACTTGGCTTTATGATCTACTTAACTTTGTTCACCTCTTGGGCCCTTAGTTCCCTTATCTGTAAAATGCAGGACATAACTGAAGAGCCCAACATTTGATGAAAAGGCAGGCTGTATCCCCCATGCCCATCGCCGCGACCTCCTTTCTAAGTTCTAGGTCTCTCAGGACACCCTTAAGCATCCTCATCCTTTATCCTATTCTTTTCTCACCTTCTCTCTCGCTTCACCTCTTTTATTTCATTTTTTCCACCAGGAAAGGCAAGGCCAGACTCTTCACTCAGCAAAAGCAGTGTTTGTTGACATTTGGGGGGAAAAAAAATGAAGAGAAAAGTCAAAGGTCCTTCAAAATCTTGGTGTTTGAATATTTAAAGACCATGGATGCTGGAAATGTTGACGGGCCTGGTGTCAGCCTTCATTCTGATTTCTAGGCCCATTATTTGCTCTGTAGAAATGAAAGTAGCTCACTTCAAGGGGTCTTATGCAGAACAAATTAGGTGCTCAACTTTTCTGCCTACCCCTCCTCCCCCTGGGCAGCCCTGTTGGGCCACTGCAGCTGTTCTCTGACTGCTCTATGTCCACGGTGGGTGGGGGGAGAATGAGTTGGGAAGAGGACCAATAAGGAGGACCAGGGCAATGGAGGCTCTGGGACCCCTCTCCCACTTCCACCACTTTCATGGGTTTTCCATATTGGGATTCTGCATAAGATCTTACTGGGAAGAAGTGTTGTGATGCTAATAAATGCATAACAGCGTTTGGAGGTAGAGCTTGGCCTGGGTGTGGGGCCCTGGCTGGTTGTACTGACTCTGGGGCCTGAATCTCATCAATAAAAAGGAACACAAATTATTAATGCTTCCTGCTCTTATTGAGGAGTAGGGTTCCGATATTGGCCTCTTCACCATTTCTCCCTGGCTACAGGCTGGGTTTTGGCCAGGGATCAAATGCCTTGGCAAAAGCTAGGACAGAGCTGTTGATAGCATTGCTACAGATGTTAAATGGCTGTGGAACCCACTTCCTTGCCCAAGGGCCTGGGCGCTTGCTATGTGGCACATGCGACAGGGTGGGAAAGGAATCTCTGCTGGCTCTGAACACCTCCATGATCCTCCCCCAGACCCAGTAGTATCTTAAGTTTTCCCAGAGGACCTTCTGGTCTGCCTTTGGAAAGGTGACAGCCCGCCCTGGGAGACTGTGGAACAGGGGAAGGATGTAGCAGGGAACAGAGGCGGTGTGGAAGTCTGGAGTCCCTGCAGACCTGGGGTTAAGTCCCAGCTCCGTTGTTTAGCTAGCTCTTAAGCAACTATGTGTGCTTGGTGCTATGTCAGACCTTGTCGGGGACAAAAAGGGATTTGGAATCCTGTTGGGGAGAAACAAGTCCTAACTTGTTTGAATGGTAAGATAGTTCTCTTACTCTCCTTATCTTCTCCCCCAAAACAAGCCAGAGAGAACCCCAGGAATTGGGAAGGAAAACCTGGGCACAGTATCCCTCACTGTTCAGGAAGGTTGGGAGGGGACAAAGGCTTTTGGTAGAGTAATTAGTTCAAAATTATATTAACAGGAGAAATAGTAGCCCTGGTGATGGGTTTTGGCAGGAAGAGTATCCTTGCAGTTTGAGATGTGTCTGATATGTTTAGATATTTGGGGAAAGAATAAACTGCAAACTGCAATAGTGGAATCCAAAGTCCTTCTGTTACCGGGGGTCCTTGCTCCCAGAACTCCCAAAATGGTGGTGGGATGCTCCCAAGATGGCGGCAAGCCTCTTGTCCTCTGACCTGAGGTTCTTGGCCCCAAGGAATGGAATCTTGGGCCATGTGATGAGTGTTATAGTTCTATTAGAAGCCATGGGTCACGGAAGAGAACTGTGGAACCCAGCGACTAGTGTTTGGCTAGATTAGGACGAACCCGGGCACTTAGCCATGCGGGAACAATGGCAACCCTTTAGCCCGATCTGGAGCGGCAATGGACGCCTCACTGGATCAGGAGCACAGCAGACACACTGCCGGATCCGGAGGGGTGGAAGTCAGCCGCGGGTCTGTGATGGTGGCAAACAGCAGTGGTGGACGGTGAGTGAAAGCTCAGCTTGAGTGGTAACAAACATGGACCAGAAAAGGGTGCAGTTGCAAGATTTAATAGAGTGAAAACAGAGCTCCCATACAATGGGAGGGGACCCAAAGAGGGTAGCCCTTGCTGGCTCCAATGCCTGGGTTTATATCCTGATCATTGTCCCTCCCCTTGTGCTCTCAGGCAATAGATGATTGGCTATTTCTTTACCTCCTGTTTTTGCCTAATTAGCATTTTATTGAGCTCTCTTTACTATCTGATTGGTCAGGTGTGAGCTAAGTTGCAAGCCCCATGTTTAAAGGTGGATGTGGTCACCTTCCCAGCTAGGCTTAGGAATTCTCAGTCGGCCTAGGAAATCCAGCTAGTCCTGTCTCTCACTTCCTCCCACACAGGCACCCTGATGCCCCAGATACATACCCAGCAGTGCAAAGTGGGGGCAGATTAGACCCATCTTTGACTCATCACAGGTAGCAGAGCTACATGATGCATGGAGGAAGGGAGTGGGTTCTAAAGTGGGTGGGTGGAGGGAGAGTAAGAATGGAGGGGCAAGTTCAGGAAGTGGTTAAAAGGAACTAAAGAAAAAGAAAAAGCAGCGTAGGGAAGGAGGGCTTGGTCCGACAGAAGATCCCTTTGGGTCCCAGGGAATGTCTGTGTGCAGACTGAAGGCGTTATGGAAGCTTAGCCTTGGGGAAGTGAGAGAATCTTGAGGTGACCAGGAATGCCTCATGGAACAGGCAGGATTTGAGCCAAACCTTGAAGGACCAAGGTGGATGCAGCTGGTGAGGACATTTCCTGTGCAAGGCTAATGTTCATATGGCCCTTTTTAGGTTCAAGCCTCTCCTGCATTTTTCTTTCCCCTGTCCTCTGCCTTTCCCCCAAACAGGGCTGTTGAGCCCACAGCTTTTCTGGGGACGTGGCAGGGACCATGGACCCCTCTTCTTACCAACAAGAATGGAGAATTCACTCAAGACTGGGACTGTCCCTTTCTGGGGTTTGGAGGAAACACAAGCTGGCCTTGCTCAGTCCTGGGAGTGGGAGCAGTGGAAGGCATATTTCACATTTATGTGAATTACGACACAATTGTGTCGATGTGAAAGTGGGAGCCTGTTGACTTTAACAGCCCAGCTGTTCCTGTCTTCCGGACAGCAGTCAAAATATCTTCCGAGCAGAGGGGCGAACAGTCTGAAGTTCTAATGAGAGTCCTCTGGGATGTCATAGAAGAGCAGTATGTTATGGTAATGTGGCCCTGGGGTCCTCTGTGTTCCCTCCCCACACAATGCAGATGGGAACTACTAAGCTCAACTGTATTGGGAGTGATGTCCTAAATGTCACTATCTTGTGCTGGGAGTAAGTCCCGTATTTCTTAAGATTTAAGACCTGTATTACAGGAGTGTCATTTATTTGGGCCTCCCACTGCCTTACTTCCCTTACCCCTTATCTCCACCTTATCCTCATTATGAGGAAGTAGAAGCAAAAAAAAAAAAAATGCCTCATTTCTTTCTGATAATGGCAAACTTTGCATATTTGTCCCCACCAAATCACAGGTTGAAATTTGATCCTAATATTGGAGGTGGGGCCTAATGAAAGGTATTTGGGTCATGGAGGTGGAACCCCTCAAAGTATAGATGAATGCCCACACCCAGGGGCAGGGGTGAGTGAGCTCTCACTCTATTAGTTGCCTCCAGAGCTGGTTGTTAAAAACAGCCTGCCCCTCCACCCTCTGTTTCCCTCCCACCATGTGATCTCTGCACACACTGGGTGCCCTTCACCTTCTGCCAGGAGAGGAAGCAGCCTGAGGCCTTCACCAGATGCCTGATCTTCCAGCCAGCAGAATCATGAACCAAATAAACCTGTTTTCTTTATAACTTTCCCAGTCTCAGGTATTCCTTTATAGTGAAACAAGATGGACTAAGACACTTGCTCTCCCCAGCCCCTCAGTCCTTTCCCTCTCTTCCTCTGATTCTCTGTGCAAGGCTCTTTCTCTCCACGGGGGCAGAAAAAGCCCCTCTAACTACCAGAGTTTTAAAGATGTGGCTCCTGAACCTGCTTTTGGCTCTTGGGTTTTTAAATTTTAATTACCTTTGAATGTCTCACCTTCTTCTCCTACCCACCTTTTGAATCCCATTACTTGTTTCTGGCATTGTAGAAGAGGTGTCTCACCAAATTAACTGCAAAGCAATGGAAAATGTAAATGTAGTACGAAAGATTATCAATCCCTCTTCTAAAACTAAAGTGCGGTAAAAAATGGGTTGTTTATTTGAAGTCCAATTCTTTTCTAATTAACAACTGAGCTGGTATATAGCTGCTTTGCTTCTGGTGACAGTCAATACGAGCAGCCAAACCTCTCACCAAAGTTCATGTTTGGTTTTACCATAAAGCAGTCAGTATGATTTTTTTTCGTAAGTGTACCAGAATTTTGTGAAATGAAAATAATCCTCTTCAAAGTTGTTGTCAACTTGTAAGTAGTTTGCACATGCCAGCTGTGTGTTTAGAATTGATGATACAAAGGTTCTCCATCAAAGTTTCATCTGGTTCCATTCATAAACAATTGAAATATGTCAGAAAGTCCAGGGTTTCAGCATCAAAATTATATTTGCAAGATAGCGTCTTATTCTTGCAAGTGGCTTAAAAAGTCTTTATCAGATCACATGTCCCAACTTTCAGCTTCAGAAAGCGTCACCACGGTAACCATAACTTCCTCCCCAGGATGCTGCCATTAGGTGAAAGCAGTGATCACACTTCAGTATCAGTTTACACGTCACACAGGAAAAGCACATTCATCTTTCCACTGTTGCCCTCACATTGACCCAAAAGGTTTTTGCCTGCTTTACTCCAAGGACTCTTGACTGTTTCATGTGTGCAGATGAAACGTTGCTGTAACCAAAGGGTATTCAAAGAGTGAGCTATAGACTCTGAATAGGATTTTCAGAGAGGAGCTCAAAAGCATTCTGAATAATGGCAGCTTCACAAAAAGAAACCATGTCCCATGGGTTCCACTTGAAGGAGATGGCTGTTGGGTTGGGGGCTGAGCAGACATCTTTCCCTGGCTTTGTGTACCTATGTGAAGAGCTATCCACTAGAGTAACATTAATGACCATTCTTTATCTTCTCACTCCTCCCAGGAGGCAAGAGTAACTGAATCTGATGGTGAGTAAGGGAGAAGGACTGGGCTCTATTTTCAAATTTGCCAACCTGAAGATCTCTTGTTCTGTTCAGTGGGGAAGCCTGCATGGGTGGCTCCTATATATTTGGAGATAAAGTATTAGCAAACCCTCTTGGCCACAGATTTAAAACCTCATGGTCAAAGATATTAGCAATATTTTGAATTCTATCTATGTGACTCCTGTGTATTTCTCTCATTGGATTTTAATCTTCAGGTGAAGAAGAAAGAGGTATTATTTATTAGCCCTCTAAATCTCCATCAACTATGTTCATTTGGATGTATAAATTTCTGTTGCCTTTATTATGAGACCACATTCCTTGCTTTACAGTTATGCCTGGCATAGTAAAAAGTAAGGAGCCACAAGACAGAAGTCTTCTTTGGCCCTATCCCTTTACTTAATTAGCTTTAAAAATTCTTGCAGAAGATATGGAAAAAAAAAGGAAAATGCCTATTCCTTGCTTGTGGAATGGGGCTGTGAGTAACTCTACCTGTCCCTTGCAAGAGGGTAATTTTCACTTGGTGGGTTATTTTTAGAATTGATGGAAACAAAGAGCTTTTTGCTGCAATTCTTATTTTCCCCTATATCATAAGCTCCTAAAGGGTAGGACCACGTTGTTCAATGTGATTGTACCTTCTTTCACTGTGGGATGTGTTGCTATTTCTTTTTGTCTCCTCACTGAGACTCAGGTTTAGCTGTTGGAGAACCTTAAGTGAGGTATTCTGGAAAGAGGCCAAAGTATCTCTACCCCTGAGGGCCAGTGAGGGCTGAACTCTGGGAAGAATCCCTGTCTTCCTGTCTTCCAACCCTAGGAGGTGGGAGGACTCAGCCCACCTGTCCTTGGTGGCTGAGAAGAACCCTAGACAGATAAAGAATTCCTTCTGGTCGGATGCATGTATTTGTGTGGGAGAAGGGTGTCCCATGCACATGGAACTCTACCAAGAGCTACAGGTTCTAATCAGGGCATTCTGTAGCTGGGTCTCCAGGCTCTCAGCAGGCACACAATGGAGAGAGTCCCACCAGTGTCTCCCACTGAGTTCATAAGATTTCTCCCTATTCATCCTGGTGCCTGTCAGCACCAATAGCTACTTAGATGAGAAAATAGGGATAAATTGAAGATCAAAGTACAGGCATAGCATCATGTTGTGAAGCCACCATCTTTCCAGAATTCTCTTGACTCCAACTTATCCAGACCAGATAACGGGCCCTTGCTTGCTTTCAGGAAGCAAATAATATTGTGGTTTATAGAAATTACTTTGGAAACCCCACGGCACTTGAGAGTATGTTCAGTCTCAGTGGGGGATGGAGAGAATTCAAGACCTCCAGCAAGGGCTGATTTGAATTACTATGCAACATAATCTGACCCCCCTTTTTTTTAACTTATACTTTAAGTTCTAGGGTACATGTGCACAACGTGCAGGTTTGTTACATATGTATACATGTGCCATGCTGGTGTGCTGCACCCATTAACTCATCATTTACATTAGGTATATCTCCTAATGCTATCCCTCCCACTTCCCGCCACCCAACGACAGGCCCCAGTGTGCGATGTTCCCCTTCCTGTGTCCAAGTGTTCGCATTGTTCAATTCCCACCTATGAGACAGAACATGCAGTGTTTGGTTTTCTGTCCTTGCGATATTTCGCTGAGAATGATGGTTTCCAGCTTCATCCATGTCCCTACAAAGGACATGAACTCATCTTTTTTTACAGCTGCATAGTATTCCATGGTGTGTTTGTGCCACATTTTCTTAATCCAGTCCATCATTGATGGACATTTTTGGGTTGGTTCCAAGTCTTTGCTATTGTGAATAGTGCCCCAAGAAACATACGTGTGCATGTGTCTTTATAGCAGCATGATTTATAATCCTTTGGGTATATACCCAGTAATGGGATGGCTGGGTCAAATGGTATTTCTAGTTTTAGGTCCTTGAGGAATCTCCACACTGTCTTCCACAATGGTTGAACTAGTTTACAGTCCCACCAACAGTGTAAAAGTGTTCCTATTTCTCCACATCCTCTCCAGCACCTGTTGTTTGCTGACTTTTTAATGATCGCCAGTCTAACTGGTGTGAGATGGTATCTCATTGTGGTTTTGATTTGCATTTCTCTGATGGCCAGTGATGGTGAGCATTTTTTCATGTGTCTGTTGGCTGCATAAATGTCTTCTTTTGAGAAGTGTCTGTTCATATCCTTCACCCACTTTTTGATGGGGTTGTTTGTTTTTTTCTTGTAAGTTTGGTTGAGTTCTTTGTAGATTCTGGATATTAGCCCTTTGTCAGATGAGTAGATTGCAAAAATTTTCTCCCATTCTGTAGGTTGCCTGTTCACTCTGATGTTAGTTTCTTTTGCTGTGCAGAAGCTCTTTAGTTTAATGAGATCCCATTCATCAATTTTGGCTTTTGTTGCCATTGCTTTTGGTGTTTTAGACATGAAGTCCTTGCCCATGCCTATGTCCTGAATGGTATTGCCTAGGTTTTCTTCTAGCGTTTTTATGGTTTTAGGTCTAACATTTAAGTCTTTAATCCATCTTGAATTAATTTTTTGCATAAGGTGTAAGGAAGGGGTCCAGTTTCAGCTTTCTACATATGGCTAGCCAGTTTTCCCAACACCATTTATTAAATAGGGAATCCTTTCCCCATTTCTTGTTTTTGTCAGGTTTATCAAAGATCAGATGGTTGTAGATGTGTGGTATCATTTCCGAGGGCTCTGTTCTGTTCCATTGGTCTATATCTCTGTTTTGGTACCAGTACCATGCTGTTTTGGTTACTGTAGCCTTGTAGTATAGTTTGAAGTCAGGTAGCGTGATGCCTCCAGCTTTGTTCTTTTGGCTTAGGATTGTCTTGGCAATGTGGGCTCTTTTTTGGTTCCATATGAACTTTAAAGAACTTCAATTCTGTGAAGAAAATCATTGGTAGCTTGATGGGGACGGCATTGAATCGATAAATTACCTTGGGCAGTATGGCCATTTTCACAATATTGATTCTTCCTATCCATGAGCATGGAGTGTTCTTCCATTTGTTTGTGTCCTCTTTTATTTCATTGAGCAGTGGTTTGTAGTTCTCCTTGAAGAGGTCCTTCACATCCCTTGTAAGCTGGATTCATAGGTATTTGATTCTGTTTGAAGCAATTGTGAATGGCAGTTCACTCATGATTTGGCTCTCTGCTTGTCTGTTATTGGTGTATAAGAATGCTTGTGATTTTTGCACGTTGATTTTGTATCCTGAGACTTTGCTGAAGTTGCTTATCAGCTTAAGGAGATTTTGGGCTGAGACAATGGGATTTTCTAAATATACAATCATGTCATCTGCAAACAGGGACAATTTGACTTCCTCTTTTCCTAATTGAATACCCTTTGTTTCTTTCTCCTGCCTGATTGCCCTGGCCAGAACTTCCAACACTATGTTGAATAGGAATGGTGAAAGAGGGCATCCCTGTCTTGTGCCCGTTTTCAAAGGGAAAGCTTCCAGTTTTTGCCCATTCAGTATGATATTGGCTGTGGGTTTGTCATAAATAGCTCTTATTATTTTGAGATATGTCCCATCAATACCAAATTTATTGAGAGTTTTTAGCATGAAAGGCTGTTGGATTTTGTCAAAGGCCTTTTCTGCATCTATTGAGATAATCATGTAGTTTTGGTCTTTGGTTCTGTTTATATGCTGGATTACATTTATCAATTTGTGTATGTTGAACCAATCAACTGGAAGAACGGGTATCAGTGATTGAAGATCAAATGAATGAAATGAAGTGAGAAGAGAAGTTAACAGAAAAAAGAGTAAAAAGAAACAAACAAAGCCTCCAAGAAATATGGAACTATGTGAAAAGGCCAAATCTACGTCTGATTGGTGTACCTGAAAGTGATGGGGAGAATGGAACTAAGTTGGTAAACAGTCTGCAGGATATTATGCGGGAGAACTTCCACAACCTAGCAAGGCAGGCCAACATTCAAATTCAGAAAATACAGAGAATGCCACAAAGTTACTCCTTGAGAAGAGCAACTCCAAGACACATAATTGTCTGATTCACCAAAGTTGAAATGAAGGAAAAAATGTTAAGGGCAGCAAGAAAGATCGGGTCACCCACAAAGGGAAGCCCATCAGACTAACAGCTGATCTCTCGGCAGAAATCTACAAGCCAGAAGAGAGTGGGGGCCAATATTCAACATTCTTAAAGAAAAGAATTTTCAACCCAGAATTTCATATCCAGCCAAACTAAGCTTCATAAATGAAGGAGAAATAAAATCCTTAAGCAAATGCCGAGAGATTTTTGTCACCACCAGGCCTGCCTTACAAGAGCTCCTGAAGGAAGCACTAAACATGGAAAGGAACAACCAGTACCAGCCACAGCAAAAACAAACCAAAATGTAAAGACCACCGATGCTAGGAAGAAACTGCATCAACTAACGAGCAAAATAACCAGCTAACATCATAATGACAGGATCAAATTCACACATAATGATATTAACCTTAAATGTAAATGGGCTAAATGCTCCAATTAAAAGACACAAGCTGGCAAATTGGATAAAGAGTCAAGACCCATCAGTGTGCTGTATTCAGGAGACCCATCTCATGTGCAGAGATGCACATAGGCTCAAAATAAAGGGATGGAGGAAGATCTACCAAGAAAATGGAGAACAAAAAAAGGCAGGGATTGCAATCCTAGTCTCTGATAAAACAGACTTTAAACCAACAAAGATCAAAAGAGACAAAGAAGGCCATTACATAATGGTAAAGGGATCATTTCAACAAGAAGAGCTAACTATCCTAAATATATATGCACCCAATACAGGAGCACCCAGATTGGTAAAGGAAGTCCTTAGAGACTTACAAAGAGACTTAGACTCCCACACAATAATAATGGGAGACTTTAACACCCCACTGTCAACATTAGACAGGTCAACAAGACAAAAAGTTAACAAGGATTTCCAGGAATTGAACTCAGCTCTGCACCAAGCAGACCTAATAGACATCTACAGAACTCTCCACCCCAAATCAACAGAATATACATCCTTCTCAGCACCACATTGCACTTATTCCAAAATTGACCACATAGTTGGAAGTAAAGCACTCCTCAGCAAATGTAAAAGAACAGAAATGATAACAAACTGTCTCTCAGACCACAGTGCAATCAAACTAGAACTCAGGATTAAGAAACCTTATTTTTCTTAACCTGGTAATTTGTTCAGGTTTCTCCTTGTATTGGTAGCCTTATGAATATCTTCTTATCTAATTCACTTTAATTTCTCTTTGGGCTTTCTCCACCCAGCTCTTCGTGTCTGGTTTCCTTGCCTCTGGTCCTTTTGGTTTCTGGGCTTGGGTTTGAATCTCATCTTTCCTGCTCTGTGTTTATTGTCCCTCTAGTTCTTGTCTTGTAATTGCCTTCCTGCCCACTGCACAGAAAAAACTAATTCGCTGTCTCTACTGCAACATAGTGTTGCAGTAGAGAAAGAGTTCAATGAACACTGAGCTAGCCAAACAGAAGGACTGGAGTTATTACTCAAATTAGTCTCCCTAAGAACTCAGAGGCTAGGGTTTTTATGAAACATTTGGCAGTCAGGAGGCTAGGGAATGGGTGCTGCTGATTGGTTGAGGATGAAATCACAGGGGTGTGGAAAATGGTCCTCGTGTGCTGAGTCTACCTCTCTGTGGGGCCACAGGACCAGTTGAGTCATAAATCATAGGTCTGGGTGGGGTTTGTCAGTTGACAGAATGTAAAAGTCTGAAAAACATCTCAAAAGACCAATCTCAAGTTGTACAATAGTGATGTTATCTACAGGAACAATTGGGGAAGTCACAAATCTTGTGACCTCTGGCCACAAGACCCTTGAGCAGTAAGGGGTTATAGAAACCACATCTTTATTTGAGTAGAATTCAAACGCAATTTTCCTCCCATAATCTTAATCTTGTGGCTTTTCATTAGTTTTATACACAGGTTTTGGTCCCTGAACAGTGTTGGGGGATAGTTTTAGGGAGGGATTGTTTTCATTCTTGCTTCAAGTTTAAAGTGTAAACTAATTTTCTCCCATGATTAGCTTGGCCTATGCCCAGGAATGAATGAGGACAGCCAGCCTGTGAGGCCAGAAGCAAGGTGGAGTCAGCCATGCTAGACTTCCCTCACTGTCATAATCTTTGAGAAGGGGTTTCAGTCTCGAGTAGGGAGTGCCCTCTGTAGAACCCAATCCCAGCCCTGGACCCTTGGATTGTGGATCTCTGGAGATGGTGGAGTTCAAACAAGGGCTCTGATATCAGATGTGATAGAACCTGGAAACTGACTGGGGCAAGGAGGTTGGTGAATACTGAGTACTCCTTTCTTATTGATAGGCCTGGACTTGAGTGGCCACATCCTGCACCACATTTCCAGAGTGAGTTTGGTGATAATGGTTTCTGAACACCCCAGATGGCTCCAGTATTTTCGCAGCATTCACAAAGTTACACATACTTCTTAAAACAAAGTTAATTTTCCTTTTGAGAACAGAGCAATACACTGTAAAACAAGATGAGCAAGAAAAGAAATGAGCTTGTCAAACAAATTGGAGACAAATTCTGTAAGATTTCTTTCTGTCCTGCTGTCCTTGTGTATATGCATGTGGAAATTAGGCCAAAAGAAGCTTAAACAGGGAAAAGGATTTTAATAGTAGAGAAGCCTTGCCTCTTGATCTTTTATTTTCTCCCTCCTCAAATACCAAAATCAGACCCATTGGTCTGGTTGTTTAATTCCTGTTTCTAGGACACAGAAGGGAATCCAGAGTTTTATAACTGTAAGAAAATTAGGAGGGATTTGATTCAAACCCCTCATTTTATACATGAGGTAACTAAGGATCAATTGGTGAGGTGACCAGCCAAGGCTACACAGTCAGTTGGTGGCAGGTGTGGAACTTGATGCCAATTACTTGACTACCCAACTAGTTCCCTGTCCGCTTAGCCCTCACTGCCAGGGGAGGGAAAGGAGGCCAGGGAATTGGAAGAGATGAGGTCCCAGTGTCCCTCCTCTCAGCTTCACACCGAGGAGGGTGCTGGCTGGAGGCTGGAAGACAGGAGCATGCTGGCAATGTGTTAAAGTATGGCATGGTGCTTTTAAATGTCAAGCTTAGGACAGCTTGTTGAGAAAGATGCAGAATCCATATCTAGATGTTCACCAAATTCCTCTAAATTGTGCAATATAAGGTGTGTAAGTCATGTATTTAAAACAGTATCCAAAACTTCACAGAAGCAGTTATGAAATATTTTGTTTTACTGGCAATGGGACAAAAAATAATTGGGCATTAAATCAAAGAAATGGGGAAAAGGGAGCTGCAAATCAAGGGAAATGGTGGAAAATTAGGTCTTAGTGGAGAGAAATGTGTACGTATGAACTGCCTGGTGTTTCTGGGAAAGAAATATGGTCCTGTAAATCTTCCCTTTAACCCTTTAAATTCGAGGGCTGTGCTGTGCTTGTCTGACTGCCAGTGTCTGGGGTGATGGCACCTGTCAGTGGGAGAACTGGCATCTCCCTGTTTCATATTGTCAGAAATGTGGTGCGATGATTTAGACACAGTTCTGTTTTAAACAGTAGTTTGAAATCCATGCTGTGACCGTATTCCTAGGACTAGCATAATGTCCTCATTTCTCTTGCCTTTGACTGGGCGGAGGGTGACTTCAGTCTGATGGCAGCTGAGACCAGGGAAGAAGAGGACATGAAGCCCTTTGCTGGAGGGCACTAGGGCCCTGCTGATGTGCCACCTGGCTTCATTAAATCACACTGAAAGCATGCCTTATTATCTGTCTACTATGTACATAATTCCTATAAATTATAAATTAAAAAATAAATAATAAACACCTTTTTAATTGCATATTCTCTTTTTCTCTTGTCAATTAAAGTGAACTTGCAAAGCTGCGTAACACAAAAAGCTACACAGACATCAACTCTTGTTAGATGTGGTACAAGCCGTTATACTGATTTTCCCATAGCTGCGAGGATTAATCACAGATAATCATCACAAAAGGATCACACCCATATAAATAATATAAAAATAGCAAAATGCCCAAAGTGGAACTACTGAGAATGAAGAAAGCCATTTAAAAATGGATAGCTCTGAGTTACCACTCAGGGAGCATAGGAGAGGAAAGGGAGAGGAATCAACTCTGGCTTTTGCAAGAGCCCAGATCTTCTCTGATTAGAGTTTGAGACCAGAGAAGTGGGCCAGTGACTGGCCCTGGACGTAGAGAGCCTTTTAATACCTGGTTCTCTGTGTTTTTGTCAGAGAATGACCTTTAATTCATATTGACTAAATGTGAATTAGATCATTAAATCTTAATAAAGATGAGGAATGTGCACAGCTTCTAAGAATGATGCTGGGAGAAATGATGTGAAGCTTCAGCTGAGAGTTCAGGTTAGACACAAAGAAGAACTTTTTTTTTCTTTTAGCAAAGGCCAAACTTGATGACTAAAGAAAGCAAGAATCTATTTGCCTAGGAATTAAAAAAATGAAAATCAGTTTTCTCAAATGACTTAGCCTGGGTCTGGGGTGGTGGTAGGGACAAGCCAGCATTTCTGATTTCCCCTTGTCTTGGGTTATGTTATATCTTCTGTCATTCTGGGGCATGTGGTGGCACTTAGATCAAGACCACAGACAAGGTCATCAAAGAAACAGCTGTGAAATATTGCCCGTGAGTGGCATTCTGTGGGCAGGATGTGGCAAGTAAAACCATGTGGTCATCTGTAATGTGATAGTTGCAATGAGAGGAGAGTTAGTAGGATGAGGCTGCAGCAAGGGAGAGCAAGCAGGGCAGGTCAGGGCCCTGCTCATTGCTCATCAGTGGGGATCTGACACCTATGAGCAAGGAGTGGACAATCTTCAATGCTGGGAGGCAGCATGAGACCTGACATGTAGGGGCTATATCCTAACCTGCCAGGAATTCCCATGAAATGCCAGGGGAGGGCTTCATTCACCCATCTTCTGGCTGAGATTCTCTCTTGCTGCACCTGCCTGAAGGCTTGGACAGGGGTCATATTACAGACTGCAGCTTTAAGGTTACTGGATTTGGTCAGAGGGAGACTCTTAATTTGTACCACATCCTGGATTATACTTCTGGTTTCTCTTTGAGTGGCACACACAAGGAGCAAGTGTGTGTGGCACAGGCTGAGGCAGGAAGAGGCATGAAAAGACCTCAAAAGGCTCATGGAAAAGTGGAATTAAAAGATAAAAAATATAAACAGTTTCTCAACATAAGCTCCATCAGTTCATGACACTTTTTAAAGCAATAATAATAGCCATTTAGTCCACCCCTAAGGAACTAAGGGTCCTGGGAATTTATGTCAATGCAGTCTTTTTTACATTACTAATGGAAGAAAAATGGGTGCCCTTCAAAGATGTTTTTTTAAGAATAGGAAACAAAAAGAAGCCAGGATAAGCCAAATCAGGACTGGAAGGTGGATGCCTAGTGATTTCCCATAGAAACTCTCACAAAATTGCCCTTGTTTGATGAAAGAAATGAGCAGGTGCATTGTTGTAGTAGAGAAGGACTTGCTGGTGAAGCTTTCCTGGGTGTTTTTCTGATAAATCTTTGGCTAACTTTCTCAAAACACTCTCATAATAAGCAGATGTTATCATTCTTTGGCCTTTGTGTCCCAAAACAGTGTTGCCTTAACCTTTGCTCTTGACTGGTTCACTTTTGCTTTGACTGGACCTCCACCTGTTGGTAGCCGTTGCTTTGATTGTGCTTAGTCTTCAGGATTGGACTGGAAAAGCCACAGTTTGTCTCCTGTTACATTGCTTTGAATAAAAGCTTCAGAATCCCGATCCCACTTGCTTAAAATTTCCATTGAAAGCTTCGCTCATGTCTGCAGCTGATCAGAGCATAATTGTTTTGGCACTTATCGAGTGGAAAGTTACTCACATTCAATTTTTCAGTTAGAATTGTGTAAGTTGTACTGAGATGGTTATGGTGTTGGCCGCTGTGAATTGTTGGTCCTCTTCAGTTAGGACACAAACAAGATTAGTTTTGTCTCACAAATTGATATGAATGCTCTGCCATTGTGAGCTTCATCTTCAACATTGTCTTGTCCCTTCTTAAAATGCACTATCCATTTGTAAACTGCTGATTTCTTTGGGGCATTGTCCCCATAAGCTTCGCAAAGCATCAGTGATTTCACCATTCCTTCACCCAAGCTTCACCATCAATTTGATGTTTGTTCTCTCTTCAATTTTTGCAGAATTTATGTTGTTCTAATAGGGGATCTTTTCAAACTGATGTCTTCTCCTTCTTAATGCCTCAAACTAGATTCTGTTCAGACATGTTATAACAAGTTAGTATGAATTTATTTTGGTCCAATTTAAAAAAATCCATGCATAGTTTTTTCATAATGCACATTTTTCATGAATTTTTTAAAGAATCCTTGAATTTGTCTTTCCATCATGACTTCAAGGATTCATGAAAGGGTGCAAGTTTGAGGTCATTTTTGAAACAAGAAGGACACTTGCTCTGGGCAAAGGTTCTGGGACCAAAGGTGCACCCTATGTAGAGAATGAAGGTCTTGACTTAACTGTGCCTAGAACCAGGTACGTGGTGCTAGGATTGGCAGGCTAAAGCTCACAGGGATCCATTTGAATATTGCTCTATCAGTATTTCAGGCTGTCATCTGTATTTCCCCTGTGGGGAGTAAAATAAAATGGAGTTCAGGTGAGATCTCAGCAGGCTAACTGTATTGAGGTTTGAAATGCTTCTCTTTAGATCATTGATGAGAATTGTGTTTCTACTCAGCCTGAATTGACTCAGCATTTAAGTTTATAGGGCTGTTGAATCAGCTTCTTTCACCGACACTTGAAAGTGAAAATTTACAAAGGAGAAGGCTTTGCCCCTGCATCCTCATCCCATACACCTGAAAGTTTTTTTTTTTCACTTGCAGCCTATGTTGGGGGCTCCCCGCTATGCTGACTGGGACGGAGCCTCAGGGCAGCTGAGAGGGCCCTGTGATCACCCTGTGCACCAGAAAGCTGAGATAGGGCAGCTCCAGCTGTTCTGCACATTGATTTTCATTTTAACTTTCAGGTAGTTCTTCTTTTCCTCCTTCAAATCTCCTGGTTTTCTTTGCTTTGGAATTGTGTGGCTGTCAGTCCTGAAAATGGCAAGACAAGGTGTCTGTAGGCTAATGAACAGCTGCAGGAAGATAATTAATGCTCTCCCACCTTCCTTGCAGCCTTTACCACCTCACCATGACACAGCCTGTAACATCTGTGCTTCCCAGAAGCTGAGCTGTAAAACACCCTTCCCTGCTCTTCACAAAACAACTATCAGATGGGCTGGCACCCACGTTAAGGGCAAAACTTACAAAACACTACAAAAGATGAGCTATGTTATTCCCAAGTCATAGATGTTGAGTCTTTCCATGAGAGAGGACCATAGAGCACTTGGCTTGGATGTGCCTAGCACCAGTACCTTGTGGATCGGGAGGTAAAGGGAGGGTGGAGATAAGCAATGCAATGAGGGAACTGCCTTGAGTCTTTTGTTTCAGGGCAGGTAGCTGAAACTGTAGGCTTTGGAACAGCCCAGAATTGCTTTGACAATTACCAGAGGGGAGGGCAGAGTCATCTCAGATTTCTTATTGTCTCATACAGGGGCAATATTCAAAAGAATAAACTCAACAACATCAACATCATTCAGAAGGGACATTGGTTGTAAGCACTTGTACAGCCATTTCAGTTCATGTACTGACTGCATATCAGACCTGTTCTCATGCTTTCTTATGATCCCTCTTCAATTGCAAACTTAATAATATTTATCTAGTACCTGCTTTATGCCAGAAATGGTTCTAGGTGCTTTAGATAATTTTGCACATGACAGGTATGACTAGAATTCTTTCGATAGTGATGTTAATTTTTTTCTGGGTCATGAATGCTAATTTGTGTGTGCTAGACATTAGCCCTATCTGCATCTGCAGCATCTCAGCCTCTTTTAGGTCTTGCCCACCCCACCCAACTATCTGGGTATTTCTGGGCATTCCTAGGGGGTGTCTCCTCAATGATCAAGAATGGTTCTCTCATGTGTATTTTCCTGATCCAGCCTCCTGATTGTGTCTTTTACCCACAGGCACTTGAGAGAGGTACCCTGCTGCTGCTTTCCTGACTAGGGTACTGTCTCCTGATGCTCTCACCTGCAAACTCTCCTGACATTACTGTGCTAATAAAGTGCATCAGGGTTGTATTTTGTCCTCTGCACTCTGGTGCAGCATTGCTGTGCCTTGAGTATCAGAAATATCCTTGGGAAAACAGCTCCTTCACTTCTGCTTTGGCTCCTGCCTATATTAGGCAGGGTCCAACTGGATCTCTTGCACATAGGATCCTCTCTATTTCTTTACTTCCCTTATCTCTCCACTACAAGAGCCCCGACCCTCTCTCATTGTAGGGCACTTTCTTCTCATGCAAATCATTTCCTAATGATCGTATCTGGCAAATGTGGTGGGAGTGTCACCGGCCTCACCGAGGCCCTTTTTGGCCTTAGCCAAGATCACCCGGTATCAAGTAATTAAACAAATGTCAAGTCTCAAATTGCCTTGCCCAGGGGATGTGTACTGGTGTTAAGGGAGAAATAATGTGTCATTATGCAAATGTGGTCCAAATAAGTTTGAATCTGAGCAGAAAAAGACTCTTTTTACCAAATAGACTCTAAAACAACCCTTTCCCAGAATACTGAGCCTTCCCAGAGAATCTGCCACTCAGAGAAACCACAGAAATTGAGGGTGGGGGTTTAGTACCACAGGGTTATAGAGGCACAGTCAGCATTTTGCAGAGCTGAGAACAGCACCTTCCTAGAAACTGAGTCAGTTTTAACTCTCAACTGCATTCCAGCCCCAACCAAGCCGTAGAGCCACAACCATGTGGGACCTGCTGAAGAAGGTCTAGTCAGGCCCAGGGTTAACCACCAATTCTTCAGAGAGGGACAGGAGAGGGACATCGGAATTCACTGCCTCTCCAGAGTGTTTCAGTGCTCACTAAATCCCTTTTTTTTTTTTTTTTTGACAGAGTTTTGCTCTTGCTGCCCAGGCTGGAGTGCAATGGAACCACCTTGGCTCACTGCAATCTCCGCCTCCTGGGTTCAAGTGATTCTCCTGCCTCAGCCTCGGGAGTAGCTGGGATTACAGGCACACACCACCAAGCCTGGCTAATGTTTTGTATTTTTAGTAGAGACAGAGTTTCACCATGTTGGCCAGGTTGGTCTCAAACTCCTGACCTCAGGTGATCCACTCACCTTGGCCTCCCAAAGTGCTGGGATTATGGGGGTGAGCCACCATGCCTGGCCTTAAATCCTTCTTTTTAACCTTCATAAATTCCCAACTTAAAAAACTCTTTAAATATTGTAAAAGTACAGATATCTGACCAGAGAGGGTACTTTCTGACTCAGGATTTAGCCTCTGATGCCTAGAGTTGGCAAAGTCATTACCTATTACAAGATTTAATTGCTTCTGAATGTGCCAAGTGTTCCCCCTTCATTATCTAATTTAACTTTCTTCCTTCATCTATGGATTCCATTCAACTTGAGCTTGGCATATGAGCTCTTTATGATAACTGGTGTAGGGTAAAATGGAATAAAAGGCAAGCCTTGGCCCTCATACTGCTCACAGTCTAGTGGGAGAAATAGACAAGTAAGTGGCATAGGGTGTGATAGCTGTAACACAGGAGTGTGCTAGATGCAAAGTGAGCCCACGGAAGAGATCCTGAAGCCAGATTTGGCCGCAGTGGGTAAGGGGTGGGAATAAGGAAGGCTTCAGAGTGGACGTGACTCCAGACCTGAGTCTGGAATATTCCTAAGCGTTACTTAAGTGAAAGGGATTCTCAGAGTAAACAACTCATATGTGAGTATGGAGGCTGGGAGAGCATGGCACATCTGAAGATCTGTGATTAACTGACTAGAGTTTAAAAACATGATGTGAGCATATCAGGGCTGTTATGAGACTTCTATGAAGAGAAGCCAGATCATGGAGGGCCTTGTACCTTAAGGAAATCATACTAAGGGGACGACAGCTTGTCCAAGAAGCAATGGGAAATCACTGGCAGATTTTAAGCCTGGGATTGACATGATCAGAATTGCTTTTTAGAATGCTCATTCAAGCTCCAAGTTTAATAGCAGTTGTATCATCATTCAGTGTTAGAGCTAAGGCAGAACTCTGTTTCTAAGGCAATATTGGAGACTCTGAGTACATGTCTGCAGTTTCCTGGTTTCTTCATGGTTTGCTGAAGAGCACAGAAGAGAAGCACTGCCCCATTCATTGAAGTCCATGAGTGGACTCCCACATGTCTTATGGGATTAGCATCTGAGAGACTTTGGTTGACCAGTTCTCAGTTCATATGTTCAAGCCAGCTCCACCATGGAGACCTTTGGATGTACCTAGTTTTGACAAAGTGAGTGATTGAAGAATAAAGTTGAAGAGCCTCAACTATTCTTAGAGAGCTATTTTAGTCTTGTCAGAAGACAATATGTTGACACAGATTGAAGTCACTGCTATGAGTGAGAGGAAAAGGTGGCTGCTGGTTGGCTTAAGGCAACTTCCCTGGTTGGTCAAGTGTTATTATTCTCAGCCTTATGGAATTCAACAGTTTTTATTATCCAGCACACCATTATTTGGACAGAAATAATACTTTTTCCACACTGTGTTATTTCTGGAAATTTGATGTGTTCCTCCACTGCTCTACCTGCCTGGAAGATGTTTTTCTAAAGTCAGGCAGAAGAAAACCTACATTGGCTGCTGAAAAGTGGATGCCTGCTATTCACAATGCAATTACCATGACAAGTATTTCTAATTGCCACTTCCTTTCCTGCAAGCTCTCCTTTTCTTCAGACATTGTGAATTTCTGGTAATCTTGGGTTATTATCACACTGAGCTGCTAACCTGAGTCTTGACACTCCTCCTGGAGACCCATGTCAGAAGTAATTACAGCTCAAGTGAGGTGATTCTTTCTTTGTTATTAGCAGTTGCTGGTGTTGGTATAGAGCATTGATTAGCAATTTGGAACAACGCATTCCTTGAGCTTTGAAACACGTTTTGTTTCTTCTGTGCCTTGGAGGACAGCACACATTGCTCTTTGTTCTTGCCTCCCTTTGCCCTTGTGTCTGTCTGTGTATTTTGAGAAGTTTCCTTTCATGCTCCAGTGATTTATTAACTTCTAATGTTATTTTCTTCTGTCTCTTGTTTTTCAAACCATTTGCTGGTTCTGTAGATGAAGTAGAATTCACCTCTTGGAATTAACGCAGTATGTTGTTTTGGGAGTTCTGAGAACTGAGAAAGGAACATTTAGCACCCCATAACCCAGGTCTTAGCCAATAGAAGTAGAGAAGACAGGGAGGGATGAAGCTGGTTTAAAAAGGAAGAAGGGAGAGGTAGGGGCTGCTGCTTGCACAGATGCCTATTTCCAAGAAGCCCACTTATTTTCTTTTAGACAATCCCCTTCCCTTCTCATTACCACAAGGTCTGGGATTACTATGGGGTGGGAGTAGGGAGTGAAGTTTATATTGATAGCTCTGGAAGGGGCCTGCTCAGCTGTTGTTTCTGTCTTCTCTCAATGGTGAGTGTGCAAGCACATATGCTGCTCATTAGCTCATCCTTAAATGTCACCCCTGTTCTAAAGAGGCCCTCTTGCACGTGGCTGTGTGGAGTTAAAGGCTATATAAACATAGGACAACTCCTTATCAGAATTCCAAGTCTTATTTATTTATTGAATTCATTGAGAAAGGAAAGGCCAGTAAATAAGATATTTTGTTTTCCTGCTCTGGTTTTTTCTTCCTTAGATTCAGTTAAAGCCAGAATCTAGTCCCCAGGTATATTGTAGGCATTTCTGTGCTGTAATGTGGTTGCTGTGTCTTATTGAGACTATTCCATACTTTCATCTTTGGATAGATACAGATACTCTGACTCCCAAGTCTTTGAGAAGCCAGCTGCCCTTGAGTCCCCTTAGTAGTTGGACTTACTATACCATGGAAGTCTAGGATCTCAGTATTATAGCTTTATGTTACATAGAATTTATTTGCTCATTTATTCATCCACTCAATAAACATATATTAAAATACTTCATCAGAGTGGGTGAAAGTCTAGGGATTATAATATTTATTGATAATTTGTTGTGGTCCAGAAACCTACACACACATTATTGGAGTGGCTGTGTTGTATAAAGGATTTTAATATGGGCTTTGAGCTCAAACAGATTTTTCTGGAGTCCCAGTTCCAACAGTTAGTCTATGTGTGACTTAGACATGTCCACTAACTTCTCCAAGCCTCAACACACTTAGTGATAGTGGCAGGAGGCAGACAGGGGCAGGTCTCTGATGAAACTCAACCTTCAAACCAAAGACAGTTGAAAGCCTGAAAGCCAAGCTACAAGTCAAATCCATGGACCAGATTAAGAACCTCTCTTTCTGTTTGGCATGCTTTCCTCTGATTGATACCCACCCTTCACCCACTTTACATATACCTACCATTCTCTAAATGTTTTTTTACACTGACGTGCCCACCTTTGATCAGTATCTTTGTTTTAGCCTTTTCCATACTCACAAACCAATCAGCATGTACTCCCCATTCTGAGCCCATAAAAGCCCTGGACCTAGCCACTCTGAGAGAGAGACCACCCAACTTCAGGTGGGGGACCACCCTCATGTCCCCTCTCCACTGAGAGCTGTTTTGTTACTCAATAAAACTCTTATCTGCCCTCCTTACCCTTTGTTTGTCAGCATAACCTTATTCTTCTTGGATGCAGGACACGAACTCAGGACCCACCAAATGTGGGTACAAAGAAGGCCGTAATACCGTGGCCCTCCACCAGTGGAGGGCAGCCACCCCACATGATGGGAGGCAGCAGCAGGGCTAAGCCAGCCTCAGAGCTGTGGGCTAGAGTAGGGTGATGGGACTGACAGAGCTGTTAGCACACTTCCGCCCACTGGGCTGCAGAGAGCAGGACTAAAAGAGCTATTAATACACTGTAACACCCCTCTGAGGCTTCAGGGTTGCAGGCTTCCCTGTTTGTGTGCCACTGCATTCCCCTCATCTGGACACCGGAGTCCACCTTGGGAGTCACTTGCAACATGCCTGGTCCAGCTGCAAGCTCCACACAGAGCCTGCTCCTGTGCCGGCCCTTGGGGCAGTTGGCTGGATCCTGCACTCACTTGCCCACACACCCCATCCACCCAGGGGCTAAGTGCTCAGTTGCAGTGGCCACAGGATCCATGCCAGAGCATAAGAAAGTCATGGCCCAGTAGGCCAAGTAGGTGGGGCATCTCCTGCAGTGAATTGGGGGCTGAGTGAGGCCTGGGCAGCAGCATCACCAGCTGGAGGTCTCCAGTTGGCAAAGTGGCCGAGAAAAATCCTGCATCACTATCTGTGAAATAAGGATCATATTAGTTCCTATCTGGCAGGGTTGTTGATAGAAATAAATGACTTAATGCACATTAAGTGCTTGCATTTATTGCCACATCATAAATTTACCTTTTCCATTTTCCTTTTTTAATTTAATCTTCAAAATGACCCTGAAAAATAGGTATGATTGTATCACCATTTGGTATAGAGAATCCAATGTTACAAATTTTGGAGACTTTATATCCTAGAATTTGGTACTTTAAGTAGCCACATCCACCTTACTGTTATATAGGTGAAGTCACTGGGGTGCAGAGAGGATGTGGAATCAGGACCACAACCCGGGTCCGCTGATTTCCAGGCCAGGCTTCCTTTGTTACTCAGCACTTCCCCTCACTTGCAATGCAATCCGTGGTTATGCAGAAAGAAGCTCTTTAAAACTGTCTGTAGATGCTTGTCACTTACTGATGATAGAATCAGCCCTCCCTTATTTGATGGTTGACTACACAGTTCATATTATCCAGACCATTTTTGTCTCCTTTCTCTCTGTGCACTTGGGGCCTTTCCATCCTCATTAACACCTCTACCAGAAAGGAAATGTAAAGGGAAAGAAAATTTAAGCCACTCAGCTCTGTTCCTTATTAGCAGCTCTTTTTAAAAGATTTGGGGGCTGGGCACGGTGGCTCATGCCTGTGATCCCAGCATTTTGGGAGGCTGAGGTGGATGGATCACTTGAGGACAGGAATTTGAAACCAGCCTGGCCAACATGGTGAAATCCCGTCTCTATTAAAAATACAAAATTAGCCGAGTGTGATGGCGGGCACCAGCTACTTGGGAGACTGGGGTAGGAAAATCACTTGAACCCAGGAGGCGGATGTTGCAGTGAGCCGAGATCGTGCCATTGTACTCCAGCCTGGCTGACAAGACCAAAACTCCGTCCCCACTCCCCCCAAAAAAATTTTGGTGGATGGGAAGGCTGGCTTTCAGCTACAGTGGGGTTTCAACTATAGCCAAGGATTTAAATTAACTGGGCTACCTTTCTTGCTGTTACCATGGATAAATGAGTCAATCATCTGAGCTCCTGGAGACCCCCTGTCCATCCAGCCAGTCGCTCTATACCCTCTGGCTCTCCCTTCTCCCTGCTTGTGCCCTCATTACTGACCCTCCACTGGGAGTTTCTTATTCACACTGGAAGTAGAGAGAATCCTCTCCAAGGTCACCCGGCCCTTGGCCATGTTTGTTGGGGCTACCATGCTGCATATGTGAGAGGAGCCCTGGATGTGTGCGAGATGATGGCCCTGGGTTGATGTGATTTGGAAAAATACAAATCTGGGAATAAAAACAGGTCAGACATTTTCTTTCTTTCTTGTTTCATTTTAAAACCTTTCTCTTTTACTAGCTACACTACATTCTCCTTAGAGAGTGCAAGCTTTCCTCTGGTCCTCAAGGCTTCCTGGGGCTTGTTATTTTGACTGCATTCAGCCTTGGCCTGGGCCACTGTTGTCAGAGGTGACCTTGCAGTCAAGCTCATGTTAACCCTGTCAAGATGACCTCTTCCTGTTGATTTTTGATTGTGAAGGTGTCAGCAGAATGCAGTACCCAAATCATTGTGCTCTTTCAGCTTATTTCATTTCCTAAGTCCTCTTCCCAGTTTGTCATAGCTCTTGGACATTTACTTCAGTTTTTTATTACTTAAAGGGCTTCTCCTGTGGCCTGTCTTCCAGCAACCAAGTATAGGCTGAATTTTGATGGTGGATGTGATATTGGGCAGCCACTTGGGAACGGGGGATGGCAGCTCCACAGAATAGCCTCAGTTTTCTCATCTGTAAAATTATGAGGCTGCTCTAAATGACATCTGTTGTCCTTTTTGTCCCTAACTTTCTATGATTCTCTAAATACTTGTTTTACTCTTCTTACCTAAACAACCATGGACAGGCAGGAAATCAGGCAACCAACATGCAGTCTAATGTCTTCATTAATCATTGTTTCAAATGCTGTATCTCATTTTTCCTCATAGAACCTTCCATTAAAAGTCTTGGCAACATTGTGAGAAGAAATGAGATACCATCAGTAGAAGCTCTTTAAGCATTTCAGAAGAAAGCTGTTATTCTAAACCCAAGGCATTATTACTATTAGGTTGGTGCAAAAGTTATTGCGGTTTTGCCATTACTTTCAATGGCAAAAACCACAGTAACTTTTGCACCGACCCAACGGTATTTTAAGATTCCTCCTAAGTAATACAAAAGTAGCTTATTTATTTTTAGAAGCTCAAGGTAATGCTGTCCTAGAATTTAAGGACACTCTTCCTGCTGTATGTTTGGAGTTAGAAATAATTGTTTTTGTAAATAAAAATTTTAAATAAAATGTTTGGAAGACTTTAGAAAATTAATTTTTTTTTTCATGAAGTGAGAAGATCAGACTGAGAAATGGAATGTGCTGGAGGGGAAAGTGTTCTAGACCAGCGTCGGGGTCCTAGGTTCAAGTCACAGCCCTGTCATAACTGGATGATAGGCCCTGGAGGGTAGGGCTCTGATGCCAACACTCAGCATAGCACCTGGATGGAATCCCTGGGGCCTGAGGGACTTCATAAATATCTAGTAATGAATAAAAAAAATAAATACTGGGTGACCTGGGGCACCTTTTTTAACTTCTTTGTGTCTTATTTTATTAACTCAGAAAATTCAGAGAGATTCTGAATTTTGAGAATTCTGTTTTTGAGGATTGGGCAGTGTAAAAAGAGATGACATCCTCCCTTTAACCTACCTGTGAGGCTGAGTGACAAAGGGAACTGGACCTTATTGTTGCTATTTGTCATCTATAAGGATGTGGAAAATCTCCAGGCATCCCCACTCCTGGTGTCCAGAAGCTGCTGGGAAAATCCGTCACAGACTAGAGGAACTTCCTACAGGGATTTCCCCTTTTCATCTGTTTATTTCTACATCATTATCCTCAACCCACAACAGGTAGAATTTATTCTGCTGAAAAGGCCTGAACCTTCATTTCTTTGGAAATCCTCTGCAAGCAACTACTTGAGACTGGGGTCCAAAGCTCTGTAGTGATGAGGAATATTTAAGAAGCTTTGTGAATACAGGTGGCCTTAGTGGGGATAACAAAACCTGGCAGGTTCTGATTTGCATCCTTATTCTCTCCCACCCAACTCCCTTCCCCTTAAAAAAAGGGGTTCTTTTATTCAGCACTGTCCCCTGTTCCTACCAGGAATTTGAAACTAAATGGCATTTTTAATAATTTGAGGAAGAGAGAATTTGGGAGCAGGAAGATAAGGGAAGTGAGTTGATTGCCAGCAGTGGAACTTTTGTAGTTAAGGCTTGGGCAGGGGTGGGGGAGCAGAAAAAGAAGAGAGGCAGTGCTGCTTTTTGTAGGCTTTCCACATCTCCTTTTCCTCCTACCAAAAGGCAGCACTGCTTGTTTTGAGGGGTGGAGAAGCGAGGGGCTCAGAGCTTGCTGTGCTGGGCATGTTTCCCTGGGAGGTGAGACCTGAAGCCAGTACCGTCTGTACTGGGGAATGGGGCTGAAGACCCTCTGGTGAGCAGTGAGGGTCCTCCTGGGTATGCTGTAAATGCACCTCCAGCTTTTCCCATTAGAAACATTTGAGTTACTCTGCATCCCGAGAACCATAAATGTACTGGAAAAAAGAAGTTAACAAACAGGTCCCTCACTTCAATTCTGGGAGACAGCCATGCTATATAAGCTTAACAAATATATTTTAAACTCTGCTGGGTTTCTGATTACAAAAGTCATGCTTGTTCATTGTAGAAAATATCAAAAAGCATCTAGAAGAAAATAAAAATCACCTAGAGCTCTCCTTCTCAGAGATAGCCTCCATTAACATCCTGGTGTGTAGCTTGCCTGTCCACATACACATATGTTTCTAACAAACAGGATTCTAATAACTATATCATTTTTGTAATTTGCTTTTTTTAAAAAACTTAATACAGTCTGAACATTTTTTTGATATGTATTTAAATATTTGCTTTCCATATAATGCTTAGTGGATGCCACTCACTCTTAGCTGGCTCTTCATGGCTGCTGATGACGCTGAGAAGCTTGGGGCAGATATTTGTTCTTCTTCACCTGGAAGTTGTCTATGGTCTCTGCCTCCCTCTGCTTTGCTCTGTTTCTGAGAATGAAGAGCCCTTCCTCCATGCCAAGGCTAAGGCTTCAACCCCTGCTCTCAATCTCATTCCCTTTAAGAAGCTTGCTTGCCATTCCCTCCCATGTCCTGGCTTTCGTGTCCACGTTCACGTCTCCAGTTCAGGCCCTTGTTCTTCACACTTGGCAGAGCTTCACAAGAGCATCCTTCCTTGTCTTCTCCCCTCCTGTGTCTCTCTTCCAACCAGGATTTTACACATCAATGGCACATTAATCTTATTAATGGTCATGTTCTTTCCTCATTCAAAAACATTGAGTGTCTCCCCATGTCTGCCATGTCAAGGCCCCACCCTAGGCTTGCACACAGGGCCTTTTGCAATATGTCCTCATTTCCCATACGTGGGAGGAAAATTTAATCCTCTTTTTTCCCCCTTTTTCCCACCAAATCCAATTGATCAAAATCTCCTGTAGACTCTACTCTGCTCTTACCTTGCTGGTTCCTCCTCCTTTTCCCCAGCCTCTTTGCTTCTGCCTGGCTCCCACCCTCTTTATTTCTTATCTGAATTCCTACAAGAATCTTGTCCCCGGCTTTCCCACCTCCAGTTCTTCCCTCTCTGTGATGCTTTTCATGCTGCACATAGCAGGATTTTCTAAAAGAAAATATGACTATTGTATACTTCCTTAAGATATTTAATGGCTCTGCAGAGAATTTGGAAAAAATCCTAATTTCCTAGCATAACCTAAAGGCTCTTCCTGATGTGAGTTCACCTTGGGTTTCCTTCTCACCTCCTCGATGTTGAGCTTGAGCCACACTGAGTGCCCCCAGCCCCTTGAATGCCGCGGAAGTGCTCTCCAATCTTGTACATGCTGTTTTACCTCCTTTATGTCTCCCCCTCCTTCTCTCCCTGAGAATCTGCTCCTGACTCTGGGTTAAATGTCCATTTTAAGGGCATCCACATCTTCTGGTACTTCTCTTTTCCTGGCTGCAATCATATTGCATTATAACTGCCCTTTTACTTGCCTGTTAGGTAAGAAGCCTTGAGGTCCTTGAGGGAAGAGTTGGTATTTTATTTGTCTTAATATATCTCCAACACCCAGTACAGGAGGTACAGCAGGTTAACTCAATCACTTTTGGTGTGTAATGAATGAATAAGTATCTCAGTATTACATAAGAGTGTATCAAGGATTCAGATATGGAGAGAAGGGGGCAGTGGATACTTACTGTTCCTGGTTCGCAATCAGGCAGAAGTTTAATAAATAGTCAGTTGTAGCTAACATGCAATTCCCATGATTGCTCTGAGTCTTCCTCCTTCCATAAGTGCATGGGGCTATTTGTACAGACTCTTTTTCTGGGCTGTTTATATCAGTTTCTTTAGATGTCTGCGAATGCACTGTGGTTGAGGCACTGGGCTATTGCTCTGATGGCAGATTCCAGAGAGGAGGTCCAATGCCTGGTGGCCTCAGTGGAGTCATGACTACCCCAGGACCACTCTGACCTTGACCCATGATTTGATAGTGATGGCAATGGCAGTGACCATGATGGTGATGATGGAAAAACACAAAAAAGCTTATTTGTGTCTGTGTCAAGCCTGGGCTGGGGATGTGAGTGCTGGTCGCATTGTTCTATAAGGGTCACAAGGCACATTCCTTGTCCATGAGGAGCTTGACATGTCTCTGGTCCGAGTCACTAAATACTATCAAAGCTGCCTTCTGAGGGTCCCCCTACTTTCATTCCAGGCTTACTCCATGAAAACATTCAGATCGTGTGACTCCCTTACTTTTTAACCCCTCTAGCAGCTTCCTTTGCATTTAGATTTGAGGTCTTTATAATGGTCTGTGAGGTCTTGCCATGATCAGGCTTCTGCCTTCCAATCCAGACTCCGGTCACCGTTTTCTCCTTCATTGGCTGCATTCCAGACACTTTAGTCTTCTTTCAGTTTCTCGAGTGCTCAGGTCTCTTTCTCACTTCTGCATCTCCTCTTATGGTGCTCTTCCCTCTGCCTGGAATGCCTTCCCCTTGCCCTTTGCATGACTGATTGCTTTTGTTGTTTCAGGTCTTAGCTTGGGCTGCCCTGGACACACTTTCTGGTGGGACCCTCCATGGCACTCCATCACTGCATGTTTTTCACTTTCTTCATAGCATTTCTCACCATCTGTAATTATGAATTCATCTTTTGATTTACTTGATTGCTACTTTTCAATCCTTACCAGTTGAATAATTTTGGGTAAATTACATAACCAACTTTCACCCCAACGTCTTCATCAAAAAAAGGAGATATTGAGAGGATTAAATGACAGCAATACATGTCAGTGCTATAACAATGCATAATGTTTAGTAAATGCTCCAAATGTTAGTGATTATCTTTGTTATTCAAGTTCTTTGAGAGGATGGCTGATACGTGTTGTGTTTACCTGTGCCTACCACAACTGGTACATATTAACCAAACAGCTGATTTTTCTTGAGAGCTATCACTGTGTACCAGGTACTGTGCTAATCACTTAACATGTGTTAATTTATTTAGGCTTCCTAGCAGAGAGGCACAGAGAGAATACCCAAATTGTCCAAGTCTGCATAGTGCAGATAGAATTTGAACCCATTCAGTTTTGCTCACAGTTGACGCTCTTTGCCAGGCTAAGTGCAAATGTTCATTGAATTCATGAATGGGAAGATTCCTCCTGAGCACTCCTGATTTTTCTCTTTGAAAGCATTCTCTTGCAGGATAGCAGGAGCATTACCAGTTCTCTAGATCCATCTAGAATGCCTGGGTGCCCCCCATTTTGCCACACTTACCCTCCTTGAAAGGAAATGAAGCTTCCCTGACCCCCTGAAGACTGATAACCAAGCCCCAGCCCCCAGGGTGACCTTGATGCAATGGAGGCAATGGCCTCCTGCCTTTGTGCAGCAGGAGAGGTTTCAGACAAATATGCTGTGTGTGCTCCTAGCTGCATCTGCTGCCTGCAAACATCCTGCTACAAGGAATTCACTCAAGGCTGATTCTTCTTTTATTTTCCTTGACAAAAGGCAAGAACTGTGCAGGGAGGAAACCCTTTACTCTAAAAGGAATTGTTAAGTGTGGAGCCAGTCTTACTGTTCCACGGATCAATTTAAGGGGCCTGGGAGGCTGACAGTGGGTAAGGGGCTCTCCCTAAAAGCACCCAGGCTCTGAAGCCCCAATTTCCCTAGTGGTCCTGCTGTGAGCCCCTGACCTGAGATATATGAGGTGCTGAGAGAGATGGACTTTGCCTTCCGGCTGCCAGTGAAAGACGTCATCACACACAGGTCTATATTTTCATTTCCAGAGCCTGCTTCTCCTTTTTTACAGAGTATATTGAGGGCCTGTAGGGATTCCTTTGAGCATCCCTCCTTGTGATGAGCCCCACCTTTGAGGACTTGCCTGCAGTAGCTGCCCTCTTCCTCTATCCTCTGTCATTTTACCAAATATATCTGTGTGTATTAGGCATGCAATAAGAGTCTTCTAAATGAATGTATAACCCTCAGTGCCTCTCAAATGACCCCAAGCAAGTCTCCCCTGCAGGGAAGGGCATTCCAAAGAGAGGAGGTGGTGTGAATCAAAGCACAATATCAGGAAATTGTGTATGTAATTAGGAAATAGTGAGCTCATGCTTTTGATGGAAGATAGGGTACAAGCAATGAAATGTGCGTTTATTCTCCTGATGCTCACTATGTCTATGCTTTATTCTTTGCTTTTCTCATCCTTGCTCTGTGTCCCAGGAAGCTGACTTCTCTGTTTGGATCACATGGGCCCCCTTGTCCTGAGGTTTCCTATTGGAATTGAACAATAGGAGGGATGGCAAGCCATTAGAGGATGGGAATAAAGAGAGATGGGTTCTTTATTCCCTTTCTTCTCATGGGCCTCCTCCCTATCCCCAGCTGGCTGAGGTTCCAGTGGAGGCTCCAGTTCTCTAGCAACACTTCAGTCTAGGCTCATGTTCCTCTAGCTCCAGATGTCATGGGGGTAATCTAGTGACATGGTTCCTACCTTTTGCTGCTTCAGACCTAGGGACAGTTAGGGCTTCTCCTTGGTTGCTGGTTCCTCCAAGTTTTACCTTCCCTTGATGGTTCCTTTAAATAGTCCCAATAAGTGAGTTCTTTGTAGTTGAATCCTTGAGTGTGTGTGCCATCTGGTTCCTGGTAAAAACCTGACCAATACAGAGAGCCCTGGAAGACTTTGCTAGTAAGACTGGATATAGCTAGGTTTTGGAGAAAATTGAGGACTAGGCCTAAATTTTTTTTTAAATTAGGCAACTTGAAAATCATTAGATGTTTCTGAACACGAGAAGGACTTGGGCGGATATATATGGCGGCAGTCAAAATAAAGAGCAGTGGATGCAGGAGATAAGGTAAAGGTAGAAGACGGATGGAAGTGGTAACTTACTAAGTATGTGAGGATGGAGAAGGAGCCTTTGAAGCTGGGTCTACGTCTCCAGGATGGGGCTCACTGAGAGAATAATGGTGCCACAAGCAGAAATGGGAACGGGAGGGGAGGCACTGTTACATTTGGTTTGAGATGAGTTGAAAATGCCTCAAACCTTCCTCTATAAATTGTGGTCATGGCTGTCTGCCTCAGAGGGGCTGTGGTAGTATGAAATAGTTCACCAATCAGCCCCAAGCCTGTGATAACAGAAAATATCACACAAACATGCAGTCCTTCTGCAGAGTGGGGCTACTTAGTAATCATCCAGTACAGTCCTGGTCCTTCAGAGAGTTAATCCACAGTGGCCATCTGGGTTTACACATAACAATGAAATCTCAAGTCTTTTTTGTAGATGTAGTTTTTATTTAGATATGAGTTGAGGCAGCAAAATATATCATAAGAGGGCATCTTGGGGAACAGAGGGCTACTTAGTTTGGAGAAGAGAAAGCTGAGAGGAAAAAAGAGGTTCGTTCTGTGCAACGCCAGGGGGCAGCTCTGAGAGAAGGGTGGGGTTAAGGGTTGGAGGTGGGCGGGGGGCGGAGGTCACCAGGAAGGTAAAATAGAGAAGAGCCTTCCAAGGATTGATTTACTCTGCCCATTGTTGGCATGAGCCCTTCACAGAATGGTGGGTACCTGCTCCTAAGGGAGATTAAACTTAGGCTAAATGCTTGCTGGTCACCAACTCTGCAAAAAGAGTTTCTGTGTTGTGTTGTAAATCGGGCTGAAGAAAATCACATCATATTCCATTTCCATGTGTTCCAGGCCAGTGATTCTATGAGCTCTCACCCTGTAAATACAGATGCAGAGGTGGACTGATGGCCACAAGGCTAAAACCAGCAGCTGTCCAGGTTCTTGGCTTTTCATTACAGGTATGTTCTAGAGAGAATTAACGGGGCAAAGAACAAACAAAAAATCTTTTGGGTCAGAAGTTGAATAACCTTATTTGTCCCTATTCTGCCACAATGGTTATCTTTATCTTCTTTAAATAATATCCTATTTCCTTTCAATTCAGATTAACAGTATGAATTTGATTGGTCAGCCACGTAGGGAATATGTAGAAGAGAGAACAAATTTGCTTTGATTCCCTAGTGGTTCTACCAGCTGCGGAGTTTCAAAGATTTCTTTTTAAATCTGAATTGAAGATGGAATAAAGGAAATGTGCTATGATGAAAGCATGTCTGGAATGGAGAAAGGTGGCAAGTGAGGAATTTCTTGCTAAATGGGGCCAGAGAAGTTTCTCTTTCTTTGGAGTAAATGGGTGTTAAAAAAATACACGCTTATTTAGAACCATAATACCTTGAAGGAGTTCAGAGATTTTTCTGCTATTATCTTCTATTTCACAAATAATACATAATATGTATAAATTGACTTTAAGTTTACAGAACAATTTATGTGCACTATCTCATTTTATCTTGTGAGGCAGGTATGGCAAGTAATACTCTTCCCAGTTACCAGAAGAGCAAACTGAGACTAAGAGAGGTCAGTCTTCCTCTTCAAGGTCATGCAGATGATAAGGGGATGATATGGTTTGGCTGTGTCCCCACCCAATTCTCATCTTGTAGTTCCCATAATCCCTATGTGTGGTTGGAGGGACCTGGTGGGAGGTAATTGAACCATGGGGGTGGTTCCCCCATGCTATTCTCGTGATAGTGAGAGTAAGTTCTTATGAGATCTGATGGTTTTATAGGGGGCTTCCCCCTTCACTCAGGTCTCATTCTTCCCCTTCCTGCCACCTTGTGAGGAAAGATGTGTTTGTTTCCCCTTCCGCCATGATTATAAGCTTCCTGAGGCCTCCCCAGCCATGCTGAACTGTGAGTCAATTAAACCTTTTTCCTTTATGAATTACCCAGTCTCGGGTATGTCTTTATTAGCAGCGTGAGAATGGACTAATACAATGGATGGCCAAGTTTTGAACTTTAATCTTGCGGTCTTCCAAGACATGAGAAATTAAACTGTAAGCTAACAGTTATTGCATACTTATCTCTTGTGTCAGACACTGGGTTAAGCACTTTTCATGGGTTAGATTATTCAATCTTTACAGTAATTCATATTTTCCAGATATGGAAACTGAGGATGCTCCTCTAGCCTTCTTGCTCTTCCAAAATAAACACTGCTGTTTGGTTTCAAGGCCACAAGATTAAAACTAGCAGCTGCCTAGGTTCTCAAGATCAGTGTAGGCTCCTTCTCTCTAACAGCAGTAAACAAAATGTCAGTAGTATTTAGATCAGGTGAGTACGTGCATGTGTGTGTGTGCAGGGAGTATGCGTGTGCCCAGAGCGCCACACTCTATCTTTAACTGCATGCTAGGCATCTATACTTGGTTCTACTCCCAGAAACTGGAATGCTCCATTTCTCAAACTAAACTCATTATCTTCTTCCCCAAACAGCTCTTCGTTTCCTATCTTGGCCAGTGCCATCATTCTGGGTTAGCCCATATACCTGGTGTTGGTATTGAAGTCCTCTAGATTCTACTTTGTCAAAATTGTGCACAGCCATTCAGCCCTCTCCATTTTCTCCACCGTGCCTTGGGTCAGACCCACACCTCTTGGACTTTGGAAGCAGATATCTAATGGAGCCTCTATCCTTCTTCCGTTCCTACAGATTGTCTCAAATTATGTTTTTTTAGAAACATAAATCTTATCCAATTATTCTTTCTCCAAAACTTTCATGGGCTTCCTGTTATAGTCATTCATTCCACAGATGTTGCTTGTCCAACCACTGAGTGCCAAACCCTATTCTAGGTGCCGAGCACACTGGAGTGAATAAAGCAGTTACAAAGCCCTGTCCTTGTGCAATTTAAAAAGTACACGTTCTTCAGCCTAGCATTCAAAGCCCTCTACAAATCGGTTCAGCTCATCCTCCTGGTTTTTGTCCTCTCTTCACTCCACCTGTGGGTAAGAGTCATATTTCCTGTAATCCAGTCGTAGTGAGCATGCTTGGTGTCCTTTCTAGACTGGCGCCTCATTTGATGGTTACCTCAACCTGGTATTCTCTCCTGAGTCTCTAGATTTCCTGTGACCCCACTTAGTTCCATCTTTTCAGTAAATTCTTTCTAGATCAAGCTCCTCCCCTAGCTCCTCTTGTCAGAATTAATCTCCCATTCACCTATACTGTGTGTACAATGTTTTTGTACATTTATGGTAACTTTCATTGTCTGCATTACTTATATATGTGTCTGTCTCCTCCGCAGACTGAGATCCTTGAGGAGAGAAACTATGTCTCTTTTGTACTCTTAGCACTTTGCTCAGTCCCTGGCACACAGTAGGTGACTAATATTAGCCACTGTGAAATGGCTAGATGCTGACTTTCTGGATAGTACCCCCGCTATCCCCCACTCCCACCATCATGTGTCTCCATCTTTTCAAAGCTCCATAACGAGTTTACTTACACAAATAAATAAATCTTGCATAAGAGTGTCCAAGTTCGGGAGCATACTTTCAAGCCTCTAGGTGGCAATATTACTGTGCTCAAAGTGAGGAGTTGTGAGCCAAGTTGGGAAATTGTATCAGCCGCTTAGGGCACATGCCTTTCTGTCCCTTCTTTCTCCCTCCCACCCTTCTACCCTCCCTTTCACTTTTGTTTCTCTCCCTCCCTGTCTTCTACTCTCCCCTCCTCCCATCTCCATTTCTGTTCATCCATTAAATATCTTCCCAGATTTTTTTAAAACCCCAAGATGTAATTGTAGGACTGAGGAAAAGGTACAAGATCTCCTGGAGAGCCTGCCTCCTCCCTCACACACTTTGTGTAGAGTTTTACATTTTAATATTTCTATTAAATTCCATTTACATTTTGTAGGTCTGGGTGAATTATGATATTTAGAGATGGGGAGTTAGGAAGCAGCTGTTTTTAGAAGCAGCTGAGGAAATAATCCAAAATGGCCTTACGACATGTCTGGCGTGTCCACATTCACCACACACCAATCCTGGACCTGTCATGGGTGTCCGGGGGTGAGAGGGACACTGGGCTTTGCCAGGAAGATCTGGACTGGACTAGTTGACCAGGTTTAGAGAGGGCCCGGGGCTGGATCCACAGGTGATGTTTCAATTCAAATCAGGGCAGAGGTGGGATTTCCTGGGAGCCCGAGTCAGAGGAGTTGGGCAGCAGGAGGGAGCCAGCGGTGGGGGTTTAGGGGGTCAGTGGGGAAGCTGCGGCAGAGCTCTGGGAAGGCAGGGGAATGCAGATGGGCTGCTCCTAGCTGCCCAACTGAAATCTCCACCTGCCTGTTTTTCTATAATGCCCACTGCTCTAACAATTCAGCATTTCAAAGAGGGGATGGTGGAGGAGGGAAGTGGTGATTTAAGCATGAAAAATGTCATTTTGCCTCAGAGCAAACTGCCTTTCTATGGCCTGGCTCCTTTTGTGAGGTTTGGATTTAGGCACATCTGGAAGATCATTTGCCCAATACTAATAGGAAGGCTCACTGTGCTCGTTTGTTATGAGATGTAATGGGACTTACTCTCACTGTGAGAACGGCAGCCACCTAGTGCCACTGATTTCCATTTTTCTGTCACCATGAAAAACTCTCTTTCACATGTATGTGTGCACACACACACATGCACACATGCACACATACACACACACGCATGCATGCACACACACACATACACACACCTCACACCCACACATACACATTAAAGAACCCTTGGATTTCCACTTATACATTTCTCTTTGAGACAATTAAATCCATTCACTTTCCTCCAAACCCCATTCTTTATTATTTTCCTGCCTTAGGTTTAAGGTCATTTGGTTCAGAAGAGAGGCCCTTTCACTTGCATACATTTAATTAATCCTCCTCTTTCTTCCTGCCAAACTCCTCAAGATACTTTGCTTTCTAAACGTGGGCTGTATTTTTCTCCCCTTTCCCTTACAAGTAGCATGTGTTTATTATCTATAACTTTTGAGGGCCGTGCACTTATTATTCAGTATTTGAGTTCACTGTTGTTATTTGTAATTTTGAAAAAAATCCAGATACATCTGTAACAGAGGTTTAGTTTTGATTTTTCTGTCTCCTTATTAAACTATGCCTGTTTCTTTAAAAAATATCTTTAAAATTCTGTCCTAAATTCTTTGATTAGTGCCATTGATCTCTGTCACCTTTTGGGTATTTGGGGCCCACATATGAGGTACCATGTTTCCCCAAAACTGTAGCACTGTTGTCTCTTGGAGAGTGAGCCTCTTCTTTGTCCATACACTAAATATGGGGGAGACTGGACAGAAGCAGCTGTCAGATTGATTGGTCTGGAATATGGTCAAAGTCTTTACAATTCCTCAAAGCTCTTTGGATAAAATGACATTTTTCATTTCTTTTTCTTGCCTTCTCAGATGGTTTCTCAAATGTGGTTCAAACTACATGTTCCTGGGACGTGGCTGGCACCCTCTGTAACTTCCTGCTGGGATTCTCATCCTTTCGCAGGATTCCTTGCAATTTGGCCAGTGCTCTAGTGCCTCAGGCCCACTCTGGAACCATGAGAAAACTCACAGCTGCCCAGTGTGAGGCACGCATGCAAGGCCTGCCTGCCGTGCCTCCCTCTGCCAAAGGCATTTTTAGCAATTTCCTAAAAATGTGGCTACAATGGAAAATGAAGCTGTTCAGGGGGAGAAGTGATGGCCCCGAAATGCATCCAACAGCCTGAGGTGTGGCTGTGGAAGAGGAATGTGTATGGCTTAGCAGTTGAGAGTGTGGGTTTCCAAGTCAGTCTGTTAGGTTCTCATACCCAGTCCGCCACCGTGTGACATTGGGAAGTCATTTCACCTCTCTAGGCCTGCTTTCTTTATAGAAAATAGGGATAGCCACAGTACTTGAAGGGATTATGCTGAAGATTGAATGAGATAATGCACATAAAGTTGTTAACACAGTGCCTGAATCATGCCGAGTATCCAGTGAATGTTATCTATGACCAAGATGATGAGTCTGAAGGATGGAAGGTACCGTAGAGATCATCGACCCATTCCTTCATCTTTCAGCTGAGCACAGGCCACTCAGCCAGTTGATGACAGCAGCTTCTGTTAGAAGGCAGACCTCTTTTTTTTTTTTTTTTTTTTTGAGACGGAGTCTCGCTCTGTCACCCAGGCTGGAGTGCAGTGGCACAATCCGGGCTCACTGCAACCTCTGCCTCCCAGGTTCAAGCGATTCTCCTGCCTCAGCCTCCTGAGTAGTTGGGATTACAGGCATGCGCCACCACGCTCAGCTAATTTTTGTATTTTTAGTAGAGATGGGGCTTCACCATGTTGGTCAGGCTGGTCTCGAACTCCCAACCTCAGGTGATCTTCCTGCCTAAGCCTCCCAAAGTGCTGGGATTACAGGCATGAGCCTCCATGCCCAGCCAGAATGCAGGCCTGGTAACCCTTAACCCAGCATGCTTTCTCCCACGGTTGCAAGCCCTAGGCCTTCCATCCTATTCTGATGGTGGTAGTGGGTGGTGATGCAGTACTTATGATTACATAGGCAATCATTCATAAACTATTTATTGAGAAGATTCAATGACAAGCAATACACAGATCCTATATTCAGTGATCCTATTGTGCTATAGTGGGAATCAAATGTGCACTGATAACTAAAAGTCAGAGTACTATAAACGATCATTAAGGATTTGTAAAAAGTGCCATGGAAGGCAGAGAAAAGAGGCTGCATATAGATGAATACTAAGATAACACTCAGCAAACATTTATGGTGCCCCTGTTATGTGCTAGGCACAATGGGGCATAGAAACTTCTTTTTTCTTTTTTTAGATGGAGTTGTGCTCTGTCGCCCAGGCTGGAGGTCACAGCTCACTGCAACCTCTGCCTCCTGGGTTCAAGCGATTCTCCTGTCTCAGCCTCCTGAGTAGCTGGGACTACAGGCACGCACCGCCATGCCTGGCTAATTTTTGTATTTTTAGTAGAGACAAGGTTTCACCATGTTGGCCAGGCTGGTCTCGAACTCCTGACCTTGTGATCTGCCCACCTCGGCCTCGCAAAGTGCTGGGATTACAGGTGTGACCCACCGCGCCCACTGGGGCATAGAAACTTTAAGAGTAGGAACTATGTTTTACTTATCTTTGAATACCCAGCATGGTGCTTGGCAGGTGGTAAGTGGACAACCAATGTTTGCAGAGTGAATGAATAATGCAAGATCTCTATTTTCTGTCATTACTCTAGAGGTCACCATGAGGACTAGCTGGCAGTGGTACCGTCTCTGCATCTTTTTGCTGCTGCTTGTTGCTTTCCCAAGTTTTGTGCCTGTAGGTGCTCATAATGAATGGCAGCCCACAGAAGTTAACCCTGTGGTGGTCACCATGGTTGTTCTGACCTAGGAAGGACTCTGCTCCGAGGTGTCTGATATCTCCCAGGGGCCATTGTCTCCTTTCCATTCAAGGATGCCTGTCCTGCCTCGCCAGCCCACAGCACACAGCACTCTTTTCTATGCTAACCTGATCAACATTTCTATTATGTGGTGTTACTGCCCAGCTTGGCTGTTCTGTTATAAAGCAAGCTGAGAGGTGTGATCTGATTTCTGGTGGGTTCTGCTGTTTTGGCTGGAGGATGGAGAGGAACTGTGTGAGTAGATTTATTTCTCAAATAATCCTCTGCAGAAACCTGTGTTGGCTGTCTTGGTGGAACAAATGGATATCGTCAGTGCTATTGATCTGACCTTTTCCCCCTCTTCTTGTGGACGGTGTCTGTGTCCTCATTGCTGTCACTCTTGGGAGCACTGAGACAATTTAGAGCCGTTTGTAAGAAACCCCTGCTCTTCCCTTTGGCATTTTGGAGAAAGAAAAACACTTTTGACGTGAATACAAAATAATCAGGTTGTAACACCCTAGACTCTGGTTGTGTGACACACTGGAGTCCATGGAAAGCAATTTGGTGGACACAGTTCTAAATAAACATTTCTGATGAAGTTTCCTTCTTTGCTGGAAATCTAGTTGACTGGTTGGGTTTTCAGGGATTTTTGTTGGTATAGAAAGAGAAACATTCTGATTTTTCCCCTTATTCTTCAGTGAGGGAACAATGTGACTCAGAGAACTCCTTAGTCTAGTACATGGGCTGCTGTGGTCAGTGGTGCTGTATGCTCCTCTTTGGGAGGGTGAGGGTGCAGGAAGGGGAAGGTGCTCAGAAGTGGCAGGCCCAGCTAGCATAGGCAGTTTCTAAAAGACAACTTTTATGTTGTTTGCTTTTTATTATAAATTACATGTATTCCTTAGGGAAAAATCAGGAAATCAGATAAACAAAATTAAGAAATAATTATTAAAACATCAGACCTAGCATGGCCACCTTTTAGCATCGGAGGACAGAAATGGCATTACTCTCTCTCCACCATTAATTAAAAATAAAATAAGTCTACTTTATGTTAACTGAAGTATAATCATGAAAATACCTTGTATTTGTACACTTTATTCTATTTACAAGATGCATTTAAATATATTATTTTATTTAGTCTTACAATGAACATCTGAATTATGTTGTTACTAGCCTCATTTTTAAATTAAAAAAACCTCTTAGACTCAGAAACATATAGTGAAGGTATAGTGACTTCTTCCAATTGAACAGCAGGTAAGTGGCAGATCTGGGACTTGAACTAAAGTCTTTAGAATGAAACTGCAATCTACTGGATTTCAGCCATCTCATCATTTTATGGGAGCCATGTGTATCAACTGACTATTGTTACAATAATGCTGTGTAACAAACCACCTCAAAAGTCAGTGGCTCACAACAAGTATCTATGCTATCACATAGGGGTCTACAGATTTGCTATAGTTAACTGATCAATCTGAGCCCACCTGGGAGGCTCTACTTCAGGCTTCAGATCTAATGGACTTGGCTTAAGGCTGTATTTTTGGTTCAGGTCTGTTCCATGTGTATTTGTTCTGAGGACCAGATAGAAGGCAGGCCCTTTTTATGACAGATCCGAGACAAACCAACCAAACACATTTAAAGCCCCTGATCCTGCCATGCCTGGTGACATTCTATTGACCAAAGCAAGTCACCTGGCCAAGCCCATGACATTAGGAAGGATATACTGCCCTCAATAGGAAGAAAGGTTTGTACAGCAATGCAAATTATTACAATCTGGCCTCTTATTCACTGTTCTTCTGCAAGCAAAATATACTTATCTTTATTCTAATACCCTTAAATGACTCATCCAATCCATTAAGCTAGGATCTTGAAATTACCCCAAATCCTGATATAACTCCTATTAACTGAGACACCTAGGAACTAAAGAGACAAGTTATTTGCTTTTCAATCACCCAACTTACAATGTTGAACAGACATAGGCAGAATACTCCCATTCAAAAAATGCGAATGGTAGACCCATTGCAGTCACTGGTCTACAGCAATTCTGAAATCCTGCTGTGCAAGTGTAGCCACGTTTCTGTGGGTATAGAATATTCTTTTACTAGATTAGGGGTTCACAACTGTAAAGAGCCAGTTAGTAAATATTTTGAACTTTGCAGGCCTAGTTCCTATTGCAACATTTCAACAAAAGCAGTGTAGACAATTTGCAAATGCATGGATGTGGCTGTGTTCCACTATAACTTTATTTACTAAATCGGGTGGCAAGCAGGGTTTGGCCTGTGGACCATAGTTTGCTGAGCTCTGGATTAGGCCCTAGTTCTGCTCCCTAAGATGACTTACCAGTTCATTGTTCTCCATATCTTTTGGCTCCAACCTCCCGGAGATTCTTCCTTTTCCATCATCCACCATGCCTGGCCACCACTGAATAGAAGTTTACAGGATAGCCTTTCTTTCTGGCTGTGCAACTTCTCGGTCTGTTTTCCGCTTATAAAAATTTGGGAGCCAGAGATCTTTTTACATCTCAAACAGTTACAGTCTCAGGTTGATGGCGTTTTACCAATATAGGTGCTTTAAAAGTTTTGTGAGTTTCCTATGTATATGATTTCAGTCAACTCCATGCAGCAAAAGTTACAACTGTGATACATTTTGAGATATGTCTCTCTCTTAAGACTTAATTTTGTCTATTTTGGTTATACCAAGCCTCTGTAGGAGCATGCCTTTTAGCTTTCTAGGAGTACTTTATTCAGCTGAAAAGAACAGCAAGGCACCCACTTCAGTTATTTTTAGAAGCTGTAAGAAAGGAGCTGACGGCCACCCCTTAATTTAGTCTTTGTCCTGAGACTGACAAAATAAGGTGAGAAAGTTTCACTTTTCAAACCCACAAGTTCTGGAATTTTGGGGCTTTCTCTAGTCTCTCTCAATTCTGCTGGCAAACTGGTCAGTTCTTTTCAAAACTCGACTTTGTCTTACAATATCTTATCCTGCTACTAACAGCTAGATTACACTATCAATATTCTGGCTTGACACTTTCTTGCCCAGTGCTTCAAGTCCATTAGGTACATTTTCTGTCTTTCAAATGATCACAGATGAGTTTTGCCAAGCACTTATCCAAATAACATGGGATGGAATCTTTCTGGCCTTCCACTACAGTTCCCTCACTATCTGCTGCCTAGTCCCCAAACCACAGTTCCATATTTTAGGTTTTTATTACAGTAGTACCCCACTTCTGATACCAATTTCTGTGGTAACCAGCTATTGCTACAGTAATGCTACATAATAAACTATCTCAAAACTCAGTGACTTCCAACAACATGCACTTATGCTCACATTCACAGATCTGCTGGTGAATTGTTGTTCAACTGGTCTGGGATGGGTTCAGCAAATGGCCCTGATTTAGGTGGCACAAAGACTAGGATTGGCTGTAGGCCATGGTTTGGCCTAAGGTCCGCCCCATATGTATTTTCTTTCAGTCCAGGCTGAAAAAGGGTGGCAGCTACCTGGGGATCAGCTCTTCTTATAATATATTGCTGGAGCACTAGACCAGCTGAACCACACAACACATTTAAAGCTTCTGCTTGCATCATGTTCACTAACATTCCACTGGACAAAGCAAGTTACATGGCCAAGCCCAGTATCAGTGGAACAGGGAAGTATACTGAGTCCACGATGGTCAGCAGGGAAGGGAATGAATTTTTTTGCCAAACAAGAATGCAAATGATTACACTATGATTCATTTTTGAGATATTAATGTCAAAAAGAGAAGGAAAATAAATGGACATTTACCACATACCTTTCTCAATGGTTTTTCAACATATTTTTTATAACAACTCTATGACCAAGTTCTGGCTAATAGGATGCAGGTTCTGTGTGCTACTCTGAACTGGATCCGTAAAGAAAATTGGCATGTTCTCCCATTGTCTCTTTCCACTTCCTGCTGGCTGGGGCATGACTATTAGGAGTTGAGAAGTCACTTGGAAGTTAGAAGTTTCAAATGGAAGCCGCATGTTGGTGATGGCAGGCTGCCTTCACAGCTCTGCACTATTATGTGGGAGAAAAACTCTTGTCACCTTTCTTATGTGTCTTTGTTACAGCAGCTTAGCCTGTACATAATACTGCTTCTAGATTGTTACACAATAGATGAAAATCCTTCTTATTTAAACCACTGCATTTTGGGTGGTGAGGGGAGGTCATTGTTAAAGCAATTGAGTTTGTTCCTTAACAAATAGAGATTGTAATACTACTGTTTTGATGGTTGTAGTGATTAAATGAGATAATGTAAGAAAAAATCAGAACTTAGTATACTTTCTTAAGGAATAAGTTATAACAAAAATGATATACCATGTTATTAACAATTGATATATAAAATGTGTTTAGATTTTTATATTTAAATACATTTAATATTATATATAAAATACAATTAGTATAGCATAAAAATAATATTAATTATTGTGAGTCAAATACCAGCCATATTCACTGCAGAATTGCTAGTTCTACTGAACTGTCAACACTAGTCCCCTGAAGAGCTCCTCTTTCTTCTGCCTCCATCTCCCTCAATGTAGTAGTTGCCTCTGTCATTTTCTTCTTCAGTTGTGGCCCAGTTCAACCTCAACTAGCTCATGCATAAATAGTTCTGAGAATAGTGATGACTTAGGTGTCTGAGTGGGAGAACATCAGCTTTGAGTGAGACTTGTTGTGGTTGAAACGTTTCGTTGGTTTCCCAAATAAAAGAGTAGGAGTGTTGTGTATTTTATAACCTTAGCACACATATTCTGGACTTTTAAAATATAGTTCAATCCCTGTCAGACCCTTCTTAAATGCATGCCATTTGGATTAAAGGAAACAGGGTAGAATGTAGGTGGTTCAAGGAACATTCATCACCATTTCTGGAAAAACAGCCCTACGTTTAACAACCTATGGACAGAAGATCACTAATATTTTCTATGCATTGGAAGAATGGTATATTTTCATTACATATTCAGAGTTTATAGAGAAATGTCAAGAGAATAGTATATTTTCACTACATATTCAGTGTTTATAAGAAGGTGGCTCTAGTGCCTCAAAGAAAATCTGCCCTTCCTTCCTTCAATAAGCATTTATTGAGCAGACTCACAAGCTAGGTACTTTGTTGTAGATACAGAAATGAATGAATTGTATTTTTTACTTGTAAGGAGCTCACTATCTAATAGTTGCAAGAAGGCAATATATGTAGTGCTTAAGAGAGTGGTCTCTGGAGTCGAGAGTCTAATTGGGTTCAAACCCTGGCTTTGATGCTTAGCAATCTTATGACCTTGGGCAATTTACTTAACTGCTTTGTGCCTCAGTTGCTTCTTCTGTCATATGGAGATAATAATAGTAATGCATTTTATAGGGTTGTTGTAAGCATCAAATAAGCTAATGCAAGTAAAGCACTTAGAACACTGTCTGGCACAGGTGAGGACCCATTATATCATTATATATTGGCCATGATTACCTATTAGACTGTTAGTTTCTGAGGGCAGGGCATCTTGTCTGCTTCATTCACTGCTGTACCTTTAGCAGCTAGATTAGGGCCTAGAACCAGTAGGCATTCAGTAAATATTTGTTGAATGAATGGATGATGAATACAATTACATTCAAGCTTTTTGTTCTTTCCTGACCCTCTACCCTCCAAAAAGAAGGATAATATTTATTGAGCACTTACAATGCTCCAGATTCAATGCTAAGTGATTTTATGTATTACTTCATTTGTTCCTGTACAAACTTTATGAGTTGGATGTAATCATCACATTGTACAGATGTGGAAGAGAATCAGAGACATAAAGCAACTGGACTGAGGTTGCACAGATGCTTATTGGGAGATTTAGGATTTGAACACAGGATTTTCTTGCTCAGGTGCTTGTGCTTTTGAACTACTGCCCTCTCCTGCCTCCTGAAGGCCCCGTAGCTGGCACCATCAGGGCAGTCACATACACCAACCTCTGTTCCCTTGTACAGGTGCCATCTGCAGTGTGCAATGAGAGCTGGGCACTATGGGAAAGAACACATACTGAAACTTGCATTTAGCATCTTGACTGCTGTGTGTGCTTCACATGGCTGAGAAGTGGAGAGCAGGCTTTGGCTGAGTGCTGAATGGCTCATTGCCTTGGCTGCTCCTGTCTTCCTTCACATTCAGGAAACAGAAGGTGCAATCAAACTTTGAGTTAATGGGACTGTTCTATTCATTATTTACCCAGGGTAGTACTTTATCACAGGAGCTCCTAAGTGTTTGACAAAGAAAAGGCATCTCATTAGTGCCTGGGAGGTTATGGACTGGGCAGATGGTTTCTGTTTCCTTGTTTTCCTGGACAGAAACACAAATGTCTTGGACAATGTGGCAGAAGCTTAAATTCTGAGGACTCCAGCATACAAGTTGGTTATCTCTTTCCCTGTTCCCTCCCTTACTCTTTGTTAAATGTAAAATGAAACCCTTTCTAGCTTTCTAACAGCTTTCCTGCTGTTATGCAGGTGTTGTTGAGTTGGTATTTACACGCAGCACAGTCCTAAAGGGACAAGAGGGAGCAATAGTTTCTAGACGTACGCTGATATACATTCTTGACCTAGCAGCTGCCCCCCAACGCCGGATGTGTTGGCTAAGTAGGTGGGGTGGGGGTGGGGTCTACAGGTGACCTGGCACCTTTGGTCCTTGGCTAGTGGTGTCTATATATAACAAGATGTTATATATAGTGTCAGAAGATTCTAGTTAATGTAGGTCTTCCATCTCTAGGAACCAGTGGCTGGAAGAACCATGACCTCACTAGTTAATAATATCCCTCATGTTGGATGGAAAATAATAATAGCCACCATGAAAACAATAGATAACGTTTACTGAATGCTTCTGTATGCCTGTGTTAAGCTAAGTGCTTAATGTGCATTATTTAATTTAGGCATCTGAACAATCTTATGAGGTTTTCATGGAACAAAAATTAAACACTTGCTATGTGCTTCTCATTGTTTTAGGCACTTGGGATAGATTAGTGAACCAAACAATAGAAGAGAATAAATAGCAGACATAATAAGTGCATTATACGGAATGCTAGAATGTGATAAGCACTATGGAAAAAGAAAAAGCAGAGTGGGGAAAGAGATGTTTGGAGTAAGCACAGGGTAGGTAGAGTGGTCATGAAGAAGGTGATGTTGGATCAAAGACATGAAGAGGTGAGCCATGCAGAGAGGTGGAGGTAAGAGCACAGCCAGTGCATGGGAGCATGCTGAGTGCTTTGAGGAGAAGCAGGGGTAGGGGAAGACTGTGGAGGGAATGGGGGAGTGGAGTAGGAGATGAGGTCAGAGAGGTCAGGTGGGGGTGGATTGAGTGGGAATGCAATGGAGTCATTGGAGGGTTTTGAGGAAAAGATTGAGAAGATCTGATTAATTCTGGCTGTGGCAGAATAGTAGTTTATTTTTCCTACTTTATAGCCAAGGAAATTGGATTTAGATGGGTTAGGTAAACTGCCCAAGGTGACAGAGCTAGTAAGTGGCAGAAAATGACATTCTTTTAGGTCTAGCTAACATCAAATCCCATGCCCTTAAAAACTACACTGGATAACTATATTATCTATACGCCAAGGCATCCTTTCCTGCAAAGAGATGATTTTCACTGATTCCTCATAAGTCTTCCCTCTGCTATACCTGCTTCTCTTTTCCCTGTCCAACCATGCTGGGAGGTGGTAATTTTTGTTCAATCTCATAAAAAGCTTTAATCTCTTGCTATCAGGGTATCCTCTTGCCTGGTTGTTTATTTGCAGATTCATCTCATACTAAGAGAGAATTCCTTGAGATTCTATCTGTCTTTTGTTACGCTACTAAGGGAATGGTGAGTGTGTGGCGATACTGCTTCATGTCTGTGCCCACTAGAAGAATGATTCCAGGTATTGGACACCCTGATACCCTCTTCAGTGGCCTGGAGAGTTGATGGCCAAGGGATCATAGCCACTCAGTGGGAAATCAGCTGTATTTCATTCCTTTTCCCGAACTAGCACTTCTGTCTCAGTAGGGGCCCTGTTAATGAATCAATTAAGGAGGGTATTATTATTGGAAGTTGTTTTCAGACCAATTAAGACCTTTCGACATGTCAGTTGTGATAATAAAAGTGAGTTAAGTCTCCATTTTTCTTTATTAGGGTGTTTATTAGAAGATTGAAATGTTCATTAGGTGGAATAAAGCTATACATTCATCTTCTGCTCATCAGAAGCATAATGGAAACTCTATTGTCACTCAGGGCTAATGTGGTGGCCTTTTCTTACAGAGAGCTGAGTTCTAACCTTGCTTTGGCTGCAGGTAAAAATAAATTTGTGAGAGTCACAGTTCTGGCTAGGGAATTTTCTTTTGCCTGACATGAGCCTGGAAATGTCTGCTTGCTTAGGAGTAAGATAGTGGGTCAATGTACGGAATATTGATGAGCCATGCATGAGAACTGGGGAGGGTGGAAGCTTGTGCCAGACCGTGTGATGAGCCCAGGGACTAAAATTACAGATTTTGAAACTTTATAATTTTTGGCCATAAACATATTCAAATATATACAAAAATATAAGAAGTAAATTATTAACATCCATATAGCCTTCTCCCAGCCTTAACAAATTTTAACATTTCCCCCAAATTTACTTCCATTTTTTTGGTTGATAAAACATTGTAGATTTAGTTGAAGCTTCTTATGTAGCCCTCCTTGACTTCATACCCACTACCCACCCTGCATTCTCAAGAGTTAATGATCCTCCTGAATTTTATATTTATCGTCCCCTACAGGTTTTTATGCCATTACTCTACATATTCTCTGTGTGTATTTGTAAGAATATAAAGTAGTCTTTTGCTTGCTTCCAAACTTTGTATAAATTTTTATCATATGGTATATATCTTTTTGCATCTTGCTTTTATTCATGCAATATTTTGTTTTGGAGATTTATCCATGTTGACACATGAAGGTTTATTTACTTTCCTTGTTGTATAGTATTTCATTGTCTTCATATTTACCTCAAGGAATTTGTCCATTCTCCTGTTGGTGAACATGTTTACAATTTTTTCTGATTACAGATAATAACTGCAGTGAACATCCCTGTACATGTTTCCTTATGTACACTTGCAAGAGCTTCTCTACACTAGGGTTTCTCACACTAAAAAAGATAGAAATGCATTTTGCACTGCAACTTTTGCATGTGCACACACACACATATCCCACAAATGAAAGTTTACTGAAACGATACTTCTATATCCATGAAGAACTCTGATATCTGTTATATTCCGTCTATTCTGACTTATCCTATTCTATTTATTTCTTTTAATATTGCATTTCTTTTCAATTAAAAAATGCTGGTTGTGATTCACTAAATCAATTCACGATTCTATGGGTCACCGCATGCAGTTTTAAATGCACTATTCTGTGGTATATTACCAAAAAGTGAGAATTTTGGTCGTCTTCGTTTTACTATTCATAAATTGTTTTCCTAAGTGGCATGCTCTTTATTTTTAATTTTTGGGTGTTTTGCTTTAGGTATAAAGCTTTAGGTGTCTGCTTTAAGTGATAATAATCATATTTAAAACAAATTCCAATCTGATATTCTCTGATGTTTTATTGAAATTTTAATCTGTATACACACCATGAGATATTTGGACTTATTTTGATATTTTTGTTTTGTGTTTTTATCATCCTTGTCCCTTGCTTCTTTTATCTTTTTTCCTTCTTGCCTTCTGTTGATTGATAAATTTTCTATATTCCTACCATCAACTTCTTAGATTTTCCCTGCTGGTTTGGAAGATAAAGATTGTAGCACTATTCTTTTATTGATAGCTTCCCCTACCCTTTAAAAAATTCACACTCCATTATAAATATTTGTAAGTTCAAATTGTTAAGTAGTTTTATCCTTCTTCTGAATGTGGACCTAGTGCCCTTTATCCACTGAGCATAACTCTTGCATAGCTTCTTGTTATTGTCTAAAGTTTAGCTTTATTCATTCTTTAAACATACAAAAGTTGTCAACTTTTATGTCAATAGCTAATTAAATTTATTGATTTCAATACTTTTCTGTTCTCAAATCTTATTTCTGGCATTCCATGTTTACTCTCTGAATTCACTTTTCTTCTTGTTGAAGTACATCCTTTTGCATATCTTTTACTTTGTCTTTTTGCAATGGAAAATTACCTTTATTTTGTCAGTATTGAACAGTATTTTAACAGGCTCTATAATTCTAGGTTGACATTTATTTTTCCTTAGCATTTAAAAGACATAACTCCATTGTCATCTGTCTTCTATGCTGGTGGTGGGAAATCTACAGTCATTTGAAATGCCAGTTTTTAATTTTTAAGGCAATCTGGCTTTTCTTTCTGGAAGCTTTTAAGCTTTTTTCTCCCTTTTCTGTCCCTTTTCTTCTTGATGGTCTGCAGGTTCACCAGGAGTGTCAGATGTGGATTTGAATTTCTTTTTCCTGCTTAGTAGTCAGAGAATAGTCTTGATTTGATGACTCTTGCATTATTAAATTTTGGAAAATTCTTAGTTTTCTATTCTCTTCTGGAACATCTCCCGTTTTATTAGAAATCTTTCATTCTATTCTCTGTTTCTTAACTGCCTTTTAATGTGTATTTTCTCTGTGATATATTCTGAGTGAATTTCTTAATACAAGTTTTCATATATGAATCATCCTTTTGAATGTCCATGTTAGTGTTTATACCATTATGTGAAATTTAAATTTAATGATCTCTCTCATTTATAAGGTTTTAAATTGGGACCTCTTCATTTCCACTCAGTTTCTGTAGTTTCATAATTTCTTGCCCTTTTAAAATAGAAACTGTGCCTTATTAGTCTCTTGGAGTTTTCTAAACATAATTCTTTCAAAGTCTTTGTCAGACTGTTTTATAAAATTAATTTAATCTGGGATGGATTTATGTTCCAATGGGTGACTCTGTTAACTGTTTTTCTTTTTCTTTTTATTATTATTATTATACTTCAAGTTTTAGGGTACATGTGCACAATGTGCAGGTTAGTTACATATGTATACATGTGACATGCTGGTGCGCTGCACCCGCTAACTCGTCATCTAGCATTAGGTATATCTCCCAATGCCATCCCTCCCCCCTTCCCCCACCCCACAACAGTCCCCAGAGTGTGATGTTCCCCTTCCTGTGTCCATGTGTTCTCATTGTTCAATTCCCACCTATGAGTGAGAATATGCGGTGTTTGGTTTTTGGTTCTTGCAATAGTTTACTGAGAATGATGATTTCCAACTTCATCCATGTCCCCGCAAAGGACATGAACTCATCATTTTTTATGGCTGCATAGTATTCCATGGTGTATATGTGCCACATTTTCTTAATCCAATCTATCATTGTTGGACATTTGGGTTGGTTCCAAGTCTTTGCTATTGTGACTAGTGCCACAATAAACATATGTGTGCATGTGTCTTTATAGCAGCATGATTTATGGTCCTTTGGGTATATACCCAGTAATGGGATGGCTGGGTCAAATGGTATTTCTAGTTCTAGATCCCTGAGGTATCGCCACACTGACTTCCACAATGGTTGAACTAGTTTACAGTCCCACCAACAGTGTAAAAGTGTTCCTATTTCTCCACATCTTCTCCAGTACCTGTTGTTTCCTGACTTTTTAAAGATTGCCATTCTAACTGGTGTGAGATGATATCTCATTGTGGTTTTGATTTGCATTTCTCTGATGGCCAGTGATGGTGAGCATTTTTTCATGTGTTTTTTGGCTGCATAAATGTCTTCTTTTGAGAAGTGTCTGTTCATGTCCTTCGCCCACTTTTTGATGGGGTTATTTGTTTTTTCCTTGTAAATTTGTTTGAGTTCATTGTAGATTCTGGATATTAGTCCTTTGTCAGATGAGCAGGTTGTGAAAATTTTCTCCCATTTTGTGGGTTGCCTGTTCACTCTGATGTTAGTTTCTTTTGCTGTGCAGAAGCTCTTTAGTTTAATGAGATCCCATTCATCAATTTTGGCTTTTGTTGCCATTGCTTTTGGTGTTTTAGACATGAAGTCCTTGCCCATGCCTATGTCCTGAATGGTAATGCCTAGGTTTTCTTCTAGGGTTTTTATGGTTTTAGGTCTAACGTTTAAGTCTTTAATCCATCTTGAATTGATTTTTGTATAAGGTGTAAAGAAGGGATGCAGTTTCAGCTTTCTACATATGGCTAGCCAGTTTTCCCAGCACCATTTTTAAATAGGGAATTCTTTCCCCATTGCTTGTTTTTCTCAGGTTTGTCAAAGATCAGATAGTTGTAGATATGCGGCGTTATTTCTGAGGGCTCTGTTCTGTTCCATTGATCTATATCTCTGTTTTGGTACCAGTACCATGCTGTTTTGGTTACTGTAGCCTTGTAGTATAGTTTGGAGTCAGGTAGCGTGATGCCTCCAGTTTTGTTCTTTTGGCTTAGGATTGACTTGGCAATGTGGGCTCTTTTTTGGTTCCATATGAACTTTAAAGTAGTTTTTTCCAATTCTGTGAAGAAAGTCATTGGTAGCTTGATGGGGATGGCATTGAATCTATAAATTACCTTGGGCTGTATGGCCATTTTCACGATATTGATTCTTCCTACCCATGAGCATGGAATGTTCTTTCATTTGTTTGTATCCTCTTTTATTTCATTGAGCAGTGGTTTGTAGTTCTCCTTGAAGAGGTCCTTAACATCCTTTGTAAGGTGGATTCCTAGGTATTTTATTCTCTTTGAAGCAATTGTGAATGGGAGTTCACTCATGATTTGGCTCTCTGTTTGTCTGTTATTGGTGTATAAGAATGCTTGTGATTTTTGTACATTGATTTTGTATCCTGAGACTTTGCTGAAGTTGCTTATCAGCTGAAGGAGATTTTGGGCTGAGACAATGGGGTTTTCTAGATATACAATCATGTCATTTGCAAACAGGGACAATTTGACTTCCTCTTTTCCTAATGGAATACCCTTTATTTCCTTCTCCTGCCTGATTGCCCTGGCCAGAACTTCCAACACTATGTTGAATTGGAGTGGTGAGAGAGGGCACCCCTGTCTTGTGCCAGTTTTCAAAGGGAGTGCTTCCAGTTTTTGCCCATTCAGTATGATATTGCCTGTGGGTTTGTCATAGATAGCTCTTATTATTTTGAGATACGTTCCATCAATACCTAATTTATTGAGAGTTTTTAGCATGAAAGTTTGTTGAATTTTGTCAAAGACCTTTTCTGCATCTATTGAGATAATCATGTGGTTTTTGTCTTTGGTTCTATTTATATGCTGAATTACATTTATTGATTTGTGTATATTGAACCAGCCTTGCATCCCAGGGATGAAGCCCACTTGATCATGGTGGATAAGCTTTTTGATGTGCTGCTGGATTCGTTTTGCCAGTATTTTATTGAGGATTTTTGCATCAGTGTTCATCAAGGATATTGGTCTAAAATTCTCTTTTTTGGTTGTGTCTCTGCCAGGCTTTGGTATCAGGATGATGCTGGCCTCATAAAATGAGTTAGGGAGGATTCCCTCTTTTCCTATTGATTGGAATAGTTTCAGAAGGCATGGTACCAGTTCCTCCTTGTACCTCTGGTAGAATTCGGCTGTGAATCCATCTGGTCCTGGACTCTTTTTTGTTGGTAAGCTATTGATTATTCCCACAATTTCAGCTCCTGTTATTGGTCTATTCAGAGATTCAACTTCTTCCTGGTTTAGTCTTGGGAGAGTGTATGTGTCGAGGAATTTATCCATTTCTTCTCGATTTTCTAGTTTATTTGTGTAGAGATGTTTGTAGTATTCTCTGATGGTAGTTTGTATTTCTGTGGGATCGGTGGTGATATCCCCTTTATCATTTTTTATTGCGTCTATTTGATTCTTCTCTCTTTTTTTCTTTATTAGTCTTGTTAGCGGTCTATCAGTTTTGTTGATCCTTTCAAAAACCAGCTCCTGGATTCATTAATTTTTTGAAGGGTTTTTTGTGTCTCTATTTCCTTCAGTTCTGCTATGATTTTAGTTATTTCTTGCCTTCTGCTAGCTTTTGAATGTGTTTGCCCTTGCTTTTCTAGTTCCTTTAATTGTGATGTTAGGGTGTCAATTTTAGATCTTTCCCGCTTTCTCTTGTGGGCATTTAGTGCTATAAATTTCCCTCTACACACTGCTTTGAATGTGTCCCAGAGATTCTGGTATGTTGTGTCTTTGTTCTCGTTGGTTTCAAAGAATGTCTTTATTTCTGCCTTCATTTTGTTATGTACCCAGTAGTCATTCAGGAGCAGGTTGTTCAGTTTCCATGTAGTTGTGTGGTTTTGAGTGAGTTTCTTAATACTGAGTTCTAGTTTGATTGCACTGTGGTCTGAGAGATAGTTTGTTATAATTTCTGTTGTTTTACATTTGCTGAGGAGAGCTTTACTTCCAACTGTGTGGTCAGTTTTGGAATAGGTGTGGTGTGGTGGTGAAAAAAATGTATATTCTGTTGATTTGGGGTGGAGAGTTCTGTAGATGTCTATTAGGTCCGCTTGGTGCAGAGCGGAGTTCAGTTCCTGGGTATCGTTGTTAACTTTCTGTCTCGTGGATCTGTCTAATGTTGACGGTGGGGTGTTAAAGTCTCCCATTATTAATGTGTGGTAGTCTAAATCTCTTGGTAGGTCACTCAGGACTTGCTTTATGAATCTGGGTGCTCCTGTATTGGGTGCATATATATTTAGGATAGTTAGCTCTTCTTGTTGAATTGATCCCTTTAGCATTATGTAATGGCCTTCTTTGTCTCTTTTGATCTTTGTTGGTTTAAAGTCTGTTTTATCAGAGACTAGGATTGCAACCCCTGCCTTTTTTTGTTTTCCATTTGCTTGGTAGATCTTCGTCCATCCTTTTATTTTGAGCCTATGTGTGTCTCTGCATGTGAGATGGGTTTCCTGAATACAACACACTGATGGGTCTTGACTCTTTATCCAATTTGCCAGTCTGTGTCTTTTAATTGGAGCGTTTAGTCCATTTACATTTAAAGTTAATATTGTTATGTGTGAATTTGAACCTGTCATGATGATGTTAGCTGGTTATTTTGCTCGTTAGTTGATGCAGTTTCTTCCTAGTCTCAATGGTCTTTACATTTTGGCATGATTTGGCATCGTCTGGTACCGGTTGCTCCTTTCCATGTTTAGTGCTCCCTTCAGGAGCTCTTTTAGGGCAGGCCTGGTGGTGACAAAATCTCAGCATTTGCTTGTCTGTAAAGTATTTTATTTCTCCTTCATTTATGAAGCTTAGTTTAGTTGGATATGAAATTCTGGGTTGAAAATTCTTTTCTTTAAGAATGTTGAATATTGGCCCCCGCTGTCTTCTGGCTTGTAGAGTTTCTGCTGAGAGATCCGCTGTTAGTCTGATGGGCTTCCCTTTGTGGGTAACCCGACCTTTCTCTCTGGCTGCCCTTAACATTTTTTCCTTCATTTCAACTTTGGTGAATCTGACAATTATGTGTCTTGGAGTTGCACTTCTCAAGGAGTATCTTTGTGGCATTCTCTGTATTTCCTGAATCTGAATGTTGGCCTGCCTTGCTAGATTGGGGAAGTTCTCTTGGATAATATCCTGCCGAGTGTTTTCCAACTTGGTTCCATTCTCCCCATCACTTTCAGGTACACCAATCAGACGTAGATTTGGTCTTTTCACATAGTCCCATATTTCTTGGAGGCTTTGTTTGTTTCTTTTTATTCTTTTTTCTCTAAACTTCCCTTCTCGCTTCATTTCATTCACTTCATCTTCCATCGCTGATACCCTTTCTTCCAGTTGATCGCATTGGCTCCTGAGGCTTCTGCATTCTTCACGTAGTTCTTGAGCCTTGGCTTTCAGCTCCATCAGCTCCTTTAAGCACTTCTCTGTATTGATTATTCTAGTTATACATTCATCTATATTTTTTTCAAAGTTTTTAACTTCTTTGCCTTTGGTTTGAATTTCCTCCTGTAGCTTGTAGTTTGATCGTCTGAAGCCTTCTTCTCTCAACTCTTCAAAGTCATTCTCCGTCCAGCTTTGTTCCATTGCTGGTGAGGAGCTGCGTTCCTTTGGAGGAGGAGAGGTGCTCTGCTTTTTAGAGTTTCCAGTTTTTCTGCTCTGTTTTTTCCCCGTCTTTGTGGTTGTATCTACTTTTGGTCTTTGATGATGGTGATGTACAGATGGGTTTTTGGTGTGGATGTCCTTTCTGTTTGTTAGTTTTCCTTCTAACAGACAGGACCCTCAGCTGCAGGTCTGTTGGAGTTTGCTAGAGGTTCACTCCAGACCCTGTTTCCCTGGGTATCAGCAGAACAGTGGTTTTTCGTGAACTGCAAGTGCTGCTCTCTGCTCGTTCCTCTGGAAGTTTTGTCTCAGAGGAGTACCCGGCCGTGTGAGTTGTCAGTCTGCCCCTACTGGGGGGTGCCTCCCAGTTAGGCTGCTCAGGGGTCAGGGGTCAGGGACCCACTTGAGGAGGCAGTCTGTCCGTTCTCAGATCTCCAGCTGCGTGCTGGGAGAACCACTGCTTTCTTCAAAGCTGTCAGATGGAGACATTTAAGTCTGCAGAGGTTACTGCTGTCTTTTGTTTGTCTTTGCCCTGCCCCCAGAGGTGGAGCCTACAGAGGGAGGCAGGATTCCTTGAACTGTGGTGGGCTCCACCCAGTTGGAGCTTCCCTGCTGCTTTGTTTACCTAAGCAAGCCTGGGCAATGCTGGGCACCCCCCCCCCAGCCTCACTACCACCTTGCAGTTTGATCTCAGACTGCTGTGCTAGCAATCAGTGAGACTCCGTGGGCGTAGGACCCTCCGAGCCAGGTGCAGGATATAATCTCCTGGTGTGCTGTTTTTTAAGCCTGTCGGAAAAGCGCAGTATTCGGGTGGGAGTGACCCGATTTTCCAGATGCCGTCTGTCACCCCTTTCTTTGACTAGGAAAGGGAACTCCCTGACCCCTTGCAGTTCCCGAGTGAGGCAATGCCTCACCCTGCTTCGGCTCGCGCACGGTGCGCTGCACCCACTGACCTGCTCCCACTGTCTGGCAATCCCTGGTGAGATGAACCCGGTACCTCAGATGGAAATGCAGAAATCACCCATCTTCTGCGTCGCTCATGCTGGGAGCTGTAGACCGGAGCTGTTCCTGTTCGGCCATCTGGGCTCCTCCTCCTAACTGTTTTTCTTAATATTAAATTTCTTCTTGTGTTTTGAAATTTTAGTGTACTGGCTAAATATTGGTGATTTCATTTCTCTCTCTCTCTCTCTCTCTCTCTCTCTCTCTCTCTCTGTGTCTCCCTTTTCCCTTTACACATCTTCCGTAGCCAGTGGTTTTGTCATTTACCCCACCTTGTCCCTGGCACCCTTGGTTGAAACCATTTATGACTCTTGTTCTGAAGGGACATTAGTGATAGCACAGATCCAGTCACCAAGCCATGAACCACTGAGTTCATTTTTTGATGGAGAGAATGTGCCTGGGCCTTCTAGCTATTCTAGGCCTACAGTTTGTTAAAAGCTTGGCAATGGGTAGCTAGGGGACAGGGAAATCTCCCTGCTAAGCTCCTGGCCTAAAGCAATAAACATTCATTTATTACTTTGTCTAGGTGGCCAACTTTCTGGCTACAATTCTTTGTATCTAGATTCAGAATCCAGCAGGCTGTGGCTTTAGCCCCACTCATTATTTTCTATTTCTATTATATTTCTGGCCCATAGAGCCCTTTATCTTATTGAGCCAACTTCTGCCTTTTTGTTTTTACTTTCTATTTTTTATATTTTATCTCTCATTGCTAAATGCTTGGAGCAGAGAGTGCTACAAAGTGGACATTCCTTGTACATGCTTAATGGTCTCTATTCCCCCTTCTTCAAGGTCAGTTTTACAGAACAGTTTCTAATATCCTCTTCTTTTTCTCCTATCACATTTAAGAACCAGACCTATTTTCAAATTAGTTCTGTACACATTAATCTCGTGCTCATTTCTTTATGCAGATATCTGGTGTGGGCTATATGCCACTTCTGAATGGTCTGGCCTGAGACTTTCAGGGTTCTATTGACTCATGTAGGTTGGTTTAGACATGTGAGCTCTGGAGTTCAACCTCCATCTGAATCCCCAGAATAACTGTTAACCGATGTATGATCTTGGGTAAGTTACATGAATCCCATGATTTAGTTTCCTCATGTGTAAAATAGAGATACTAATTGAACTGACCTCAAGAGTTTATTAAAAGGATTAAATGAGATAATGCCTATAAAGTGTTTAGTTGTTTCTTGACGTGATAAGCACTCAATAAATGATGAATGCAATAATTATTCTTACATTTACAGATAAATCTGGACATAGTTATCAGGTTAGGAAGGCTGCTGGGGAATTATTCTGAATAAAAGACAGGGGACAATAATGGGCCATTTTGAGGGCACCAATAGAGCGAGAAAAATGCAGGAAAGAGACCAGAAAGTAAAAAAGGGTGTCCTTTGATGAATTTGTATCCGAAATCTGTTATGGCTGTTAATAACTCTCCTAAAGTGAATGGCTCTTTCACATCCCAAATATAACAGCTAATAGGAAGAAGATGAGTTTCTAATTTTATTGAACCAAAACCTGAAGCTTAAATCCTATGGCAGCTAGGGTACACTAAAAAGAGCCCTGTTCTTGGTAAAGGCAGATCTGGGTTTGGTCTTGGCTCTGTCTCCCTGGATTAGTTGTGCCATTTCTTTAAGCTTTGGTTTCCTCATCTGTAATATGCAAATGGTAATTCTGCTTCTTAGGGTTGTACTGGGGATGAAGTGAGATAGTGTAAATACATTGATGCATCACAGGTACTCAGTGATTTTTTTAAAAAGAGAAAGGCAAAGGGATTTTATGACAAATGCTAAAACACTATCTCTCTGGATCTCAACCTCAGTCCACATTTGTGTAATTCTTCCTGGCAGGCTGGCTGCCCTTCACTCTTCCCTGCCTTCATGGTTTCTGCAGGCAGGAAGCAGTAAAGGAACAGACTTTGTGAATTAATAAGGATGTCCTGTGGCAAAGGTGGTGAAGCCCCATTGCACACCTGTGTAGTAGGTACTGCTCTGAGGAGCAATGGCTTTTTGAAGTGCATAAGGTTTTTGATTTTAGAGATGGAATGATCCATTCTTAAGACTTAAGAGTTTGAGTGCTAGAGGCTGGGGCATGAGGCTAACCCTACTTTCTCCCTGTTCGTTATTTTCCCTCTACCAATGTCAAACTCTCTTTGGGGCTTTTCAGTACTGTTCCTTTTGGGATTATTTCTCACCCCTTCCCATAGACTCTGCTCAGTTTTCTCTTTCAAGGCTTCTCTTTCATTTACTTTGCATGAAGGAGTTAACACAGTGGGTAGGGAAAAGGGATAGACTGGGTTGTTTCTCAGAAGCAGCCATAAAGGGGACTCTTTCAAGGCCATTGAGTAGGGAGACTGCTAAGTTTTCATACATTTTTTTCCCCTTTCCACTTCATTCCTGATTCAAGTGTGTACTCAATGCAGTATACCAGTCTGGTAACTTTAAATCAGTTATTTCCAATGGGGGTTTTGTGATTCTAATTCAACTCTAATCCTAGCTCTAAATTTCTCAGAATTTTCAACATAAATTCTTGCTAACTGTGAAAAGAATATTCTATGTGGCATTTTTAGGGTGGATGCTAGGCAAAGTTCATCATAGAGAATCAACATTGTTCAAACTTTGGGCACCATTTTAAAAGAGGGTTATTGAAGAATGCTGTTGCAGAAACCAAGACATTCACACCTATTCATTCAAGAGAGCAACGTCAAAGTAAGTGGTTTCCCCAATTGGCTGCACATCAGAATATTTTGGGAACTTGTTTTAGCTTCAGATTCCTGGTCCCCACTCCAGATTTACTGTATCAGAATTTCTGGGGATGGGACCTGATAATTTGGATTTCCAACATGGGGGCATTGAGCAGGGAACAGGTGATTCCCATTCAGTCTGCAGTTGGGAAATACTAGACTAAATGACTAAATGACCCTCACTAAATGACCCTTAATTCTGTGAGATTAAGTTGAGAATCTCACAGAATCTTAAATTTCTATTAACATTTTGAAACCTGGTAGTCTTTGCCCTCTTTCATTTTTTCCCAAGGGAAGACTGAGTTGGCTCATGTAATAGCTTGACTTCTCTCTGAAAGGCAAAGATCTTAAGTAAACACCACCTTTAAGCCAAAACCAAAAACAAGCCAAAACCAATGCATCCAAAGTTAGGCAAATCATGAGTAGAACTGGACTCTCACCCCAGTAAAGTGGGGGAGAAGATGATTGTTTGTTGAGGGCAGAGAAATATATGATGAATTTATTTCACATATTCGAACAGTTGTTAACCTGGCAGAATATTAGAACTGCTCTCCAGAGCAATTAAGTCAGCATCTCTGGGGGCAGGGCCGAGGTGTTGGCATTTTCTTAAAGAGCATCCCCATGTGACTCTTATATGTAACTGGGCTGAGAACCACCACCGCATTAGCGGCAAAGACGTGCTCCCAGGGGAAATGATAGATGGGAAGGTTGTTAGAGCAACACAAGTGAATCTCCCTGGCTGAGAATAGCAGCTCCTTTCTCATTTAAACAATCAAGCTTGGTGGCTTATTCTCTGGAATCTCTGAGGAGGCTGAGCAGGGACGCAGAGGGAGAAGGAATAAGATAACAGGATTTGCACTTTCATTTGGAAGAAAGCTAGAAATGCCGGGTGGGCTCCTTCTAAGTTCCTAAAATGTGTTCCTGTCCTCATTCCCATGCTCACCCTCCAAACTACTAGAGTTGATGACTATTCATTTTAATCCTAACCTCAAAGAATCCAAAATAGGACAACAATGTTTATCATGACAATACTGTGGAGCTTTTATAATGAGGCTGACCTGTGCAGAGGCGGACTGCAGGGAATCTTATTCTTACCTTTCAGGAAAGAAATAGAGAAGTTAAACAAAGCGTGGGAGAATAGGTGAAGAATGGGGCTGGGCTTCCTCGATCTTCCCCTGATCCTCAAACTCCCAAAGTATTTCTGGATTACACCAGTGAATCCAACATTTTAGAGCGTGAAGACCCCAATTTGACATCACAACTTTTGTGCCTCTCACACTGTAGTCATTTTATAATGACAAAATCTGTAAATACACCAAACTGTTATATGCATTTAAAGTATGTTATATGCTTGTGCAAAACAGATTTTTTTTTTTTTATTCAGAGACCTCTTACAATAATCCCAGGTGTTTTTGGCCCTCCTTCCATTCCTGCTTCCCTCTCTCTGCCTATCCCTCCCTTGCTCCTCTCCGTCCCTCCGAGATACCTTCTTTTTTTTTTCTAACTTAAAAAGAAATCTTCATAGTCAGGAGTTGTGCTGAGGTAAGGAATGCTCTCAAGCTTAATGAGTCCCAGATTCAGAAGATGCCACATTATCCATATTGAGGAAAAACTGTATTCTAATCTTATCTTGGTGTCAAATGATCTCTCAGCTTTTGACTAGGAATTTAGCTTTGGGAACAGTAATTTCTGTTAAGTGTCCTCTTCCATGGGAACTGAAGTCAGGAATCACACCACAAGTCTTTAGCAAGAATATATGTGCTGAGTTTTCTGCCCTTGCTTCTATACATTTCTCCACTGATGACAGCTCTACTCACCCATTTTAGCTGCTAACCCTATTTCTTCAGGAAGAAGCAGAAAGGACTTTCTACCTCCACCTCCCTTTCTTGGCTCAGCACAAGTGTCAGCTTACAGGATGAATAACTTCCAATGAGAGCAGCAGCACTGAGGAGAAGATCCTCGGGAGGAGTCCATAGCACCCTCATTTCCATTAACTCCATCTAAGCTGCAGCAAAGCAAAGCAGTGTGCTTGTTCTGAGAATGCAACTTCAGCCTTGTCGTCTAAGTTGAAACAAGTTAGTCAGCCTCCATGCCCCTACCATATGGACATTCTGGAGTTTCTCTTTCCCTTCTCCCTCCACCTTCTCTCTCATGAACTCCACTGTACAAAGTCTGTGGCATACAGTTTTGTTCTTATTAAATGCTGCCTGCTGTTGTATTATGTGTTCTGCATATTGAGGGCAGAGGGTACATCCTCACAACTTTTTTATGTTGCCCAGTGCCCAGTGCAGGAGGTAAGCAGTGCATGCTTACTGATGGAATGGGCTCCCCACCACTGCTCTGCCTTCTTCATTTCTCCTCTCCACCATTTGTTTCAGGTCTACAACAGCAGTCTGCTGGGAAAATGCTCATTTCTAGCAATGCTATTCCAACCCAAGTCAGAGAGGAATGCTTTGACTTGGACATAAAGACCTAGCTAAGGGGAAAACTTGACCAAGGAAACATTAACAACCAGTAGACTCACTGCCCCAAAACATGGTTTTCTGATCACAGGAGGGCTCCCGTGGGGGGCCCTGGATCTGCAGAAATTATGTGTTCCTTTTTGAAGGCACTGTGGGAAGGAAAGTGAGTTGAGGAAGTACTATGGGTTTGGGGAAGGCTGGCTCTTTAAAGACCATGAAAGGCCTATCAGAAATGCCCAGAAGACTGAAGGCTGAACCAAAGCATCCCCTCCAAACTGGAGTTCCCTGAATGTGTCTCAGAAAGAAAGGCTGTGCTAGCAGGATTGGAGAAGGAGCAAAGATGCTAATGAAGCATGAACTGTCTGCTTTCAGCAGAGCCTTCCGGGCACCATGCCATCATCTCGCTTTCTTTTCTAGCCATTTATTTATTTATATTCTTAATTAATGGAAATTTCAACTCCCATTAGATCAGGAGGAGTCCGTAATAAACAGCTAGAGCATTAGGCAGGCAGGGCCACTGGGGAAGGGCGCAGGCTCCTCATTCTACTCCTGGATTCCAGTCACATGGCTTGGGCATAGGGAGAGGAAATCCAAATGCTGGTTCTGTGTAAGAGAGCTGGGACACTTCGATGGTGGACCACCAACCTCTATGGTATCTGAGTTTCCTTTTCTTTAGGTAACATCGAGAGATTCCTTATGCTGGAATTAGGCAGCCCAGGTTTTAATCCTATCTGGCTGTGCAACCCTGGGCAAGTTGACCTACTTTTCTGTGTCTTATTCTCCTCTATTAAAGAAGGTAAAGTACCTATCTCAGGGGTGGTTGTGGGTCTTATAAGAGATAATGTTTTTGAAGCACTTGTCACAGCACCTGGTCCACAGTGGTGCTCACTGGATGTTAGCTACTCTTACCATCATCAGGAACCCACGTGCACATATCAACACTGCTCTCCCTCAGGTGTCTCAAGCAGACCAGAGAAAGCTTCTAGGGAGCAGGGCTGGTGAGCATCCTCCTTCAGGAATATCCCAGGCACTCCACTTCTCTGGGATCTGGCACCTGATTTGTAGTTTGTTTTTGGGGTCATATGGGGTTTTTAAATCCATAGTCTTGAATCTCCAAGCCTACTGGAATCACTTATGAAACCTGAAAACCTCTGCTTGGTCATAATCTAGGAACTGGACGTTAACATAGAATTTAGGCACAGCCAAAAAGCCATTGATGAGCCAAGACATGGTAGAGTGATAAGAGCTGTAAGAAGTAAGCAATATCACATAGCTAGAGAAAAGCTCCCCAGCTCAGATCTAAAGGAAGGCTTTAGGGGGCTCCTAGACCATGAGGCCAAGCCCCATGGAGATGGGGCCAGGAGAGAGTGTGATTGGAGCTTCATGCTGAGGTTGCAACTTCTGGGTTTGGCTACACCACACTCCACAACTTACTGGCTATAGGATCTAGGAACAAATCTCATAACCTTTCTATACCTAAGTTTCCTGACATGAAAAATCAGAATGATAATAACAGTGTTCTCCCCACAGAGTTGAAGAGAGGATGATGTGAGAAAATTTTTGAAGCGATTAATAGAATGTCTGCAAGTTCTCAGGAACGGTTAGCTGTTATGATTAGATCTGCTTTATTCATTCTTGTATATTGAATGCCTGCCACAGTGCCTGCTTATAATAAGGGCTCAAGAAATATTTGTTAAAAGATCAAATGGAGAATGTGAGACATGTGACAAGCCACTAACGTTTTGGGGCTTGGTATCCCTGATGGAGTGGGATTCTACTGGTTGGCATTGCATGCCACTTCCAGATCAAAATATTAGGATTCTGTGCCAGGTTCACTCATGCTTTCTGGGCCTGTTCCCCTGGGCCTGAGGGTGGTATGCTGTTTCACCTGAAAGAAGAAACTTCCCTCCCTCTTTCTTGAGAACTTGACACCATGTATTGACAAAGAACTAAGGTCTTGGTTAGTATTCAAGAGAAAAATTTAAAATGTTGTGTTTGAATCTTTTTGGGTAAGAAGGATCCACTGGTTATCTTGGATATGCTATTAGACTTCATTTCTAAAGAGAAGGGGTATCTTGAAAGGTGAGCAAGGCAGTAGTTTGCATTAAGAAATATTAACTAGAGCACAATTGGGAGAGTATTGTTATCCCACCTGGTGAATCCATGCTTGCCCTCACCTTGAGTACCTCATTCACATTGAGGCTCCCAGGATTCAAATGCCAGCCAACCTCAGGTAAGACACAGTAGAAACAGGAAAGGTCCTTGGAAGGGCAAAGCAGATGGATATGGGGGAAGAGGTGACTTCTGCATCAAGAAAGATGAAGTATTTCATTCTGAAAAAAGCAGAGGAGAGGGGTGAGCACTCTCTGAGGTGCTGAGTATAATGAATGGGGAGCAGCAAGCCAATTGCAGGCTCCCACTCGCCCTTGCCTCTAATGGAGAGAGAGGAGAGAGAGGCAGCACTCGACAAAATTAAAAGGGAACAAATTTAGAACTGATGAAAGAAAATGCTTTCCACACAATGTGTAATTAACCTATGAAGGAACCTAACCTGCTCGCTATTAACTGAGGCAAGTGGTTAGCTGGGCTTTCAGATGGTTGCAGGAAAAACAGCCGCTATGGTTGTTACCCTGGTTAAGGCTGCAGTTCCTGGGTAATCCATCCTCTGCTGTAAGACACAAAATGATGGCAAAATTGAGAAAAGGCACATCTCCTGGGATGCAAAAAAAAAAAAAAAAAAAAAAAAAAAAAAAAAAGTGGAGATGAGATTGGGTATTTAGACAGAGAGGATATCAGCACTGCAAAAGGCCCATAGAAATGACCCAGGGAAACTCTGAGATTTGTCTGAGGTCACACAGCCACTTAGTGAATGAGCCCAGAATCTTAGATTCCTGACTCTTCAGCCATTTCCATTTCCATTACGTGTGGCCCCCAAAAAGGTTTTGAAGGGGTACAGTTAGTGCTGACTCATGTTTCTCCCTTGCTTTTCATTCTCTTCTGTACTTGCTGCAGAGTTAGAGGCAGTTGCCTCCTATTGAAGGGTATGGTTGGCATCTGGTCCCAGGAAAACGTCAGGACTGGTTGGTCTGGGGAGCTGTCGGGTGTGTTAGTTCTGGGAAGAAATTCTATCCCACTTTACATCTGTGCGATCTCATCTACCACAAAGAACACACCAACAGTACAGAATAGAATAGAATAAAAGAAACTTGTTTTGTGGGGTGAAGTTAGGATTACTGGATTCAAATGTCATCTCACCACTTCTTAGGTGTATGACCTTGGGTACCTTGATCTCTCTGAATCTCTGTCTCATTATCTTACTACTACCTTCTTTATAGACATGTGACAGCTAAATGAGAATACAGAAAAGAATTTAGAATGCAGTGGTACACAGCAAACATTCAAAAACTGGCAGCTAAAATTATTATTAGGACTGGAATTAGCATGAACTGGACCTATTAGGACAAACTCTTGCTTTAATGTTTTTAGATCTATCTATCTATCTATCTATCTATCTATCTATCTATCTATCTATCTATCTTCCTATTATCTACCTATCCATCTATCTATCATCTTATTCTTTTATCCTCTCATTCACTCAACAAATACTTTTTGAACACCTTGTATGCACTATGTTAGGTCCAGGACATACAATGATGAATAAAATATTTTCCTGCCCTCCTACAGTTAACAATTAAGTGAAGACAATCATGCAAAAAGAAAAAAAATTCCCTGCAAAGCAATGTGACACACAGACTGAATTGGAGGTAGGCATCTAAAAGGTATTGTGGACTCACAGAAAAAGCTCTGGTTCATCAAACAAATATTTATTAAGCACTAGCTAAGGGCAAAGCACTGTGATAGGCATTTGTCAAGTTACTTGTCAAGTAAATCCAACCTTTAGAAACAGTGAGATCTTGGAAAGACATTTTATACTTATTGGGAATCCCAGAAAACATTCCAAGAATCTGAGCTTGCACTGACAATGTAATCAAACATAGCTCCAAGTGAGCACTATTTATTACCAGAGAACATTTTGAATCACTCAAAAGTGGTTCAGAATGGCTTTTGTTGTCTTGGTGAAAGATGCTGGTCAAGAAGCCTCAGAAAATAATCAAGAAAGACCCTGGAAGACATCCAGGGCTCTTCTAAGAATTCTGTAGGCTCCGGGCTCTAGGCTCTCTTACTTTGGGGCCTTATCCTAGATCGTCACAAACATACCAAGCATATGGTGTGATATAAATGCTTCTACTTTCCCCAGTAAATTTATCTCTTTTTGTTGCTGTAAAATTTGAAATTATTTTCTAATTTTGATGTTAAAATTATTTATAATGGGTGATTTTTGACAAGTACATTTAAACTTAGGAATTCTCATGGGATCAGAAAATCTTAAAATTTTTTTGGGGGGTGAATACTAAATTGAACAATTAATGAAATTGATGTAATGTTACATTTGTGGATGTTCAATTAAACACCTACTTTTAATTTTACACTTTCATTTCATATTTGGAGCCAATTTATTTTGTTTTGCTTTGTTTTTCAGGCCCAAGACATTTCCATAGGCCTTTGAAAAGCTTTCAAGCTGGAGGTCTCCTGCCTTTCGACAGAGGAGCCCTGGTGGCAGCAAGCCTTTCCACCTAGGCCAACACCCATCCCTTGCCTCAACCACAGGACCACTGAGGCTGACCTGGTGAGGTGGACCCCTTGAGAAGACTGCTGTTGGTGAGGTCCACATTAGGGTAGATTTAGGTACATGCTCCCTCTTCTACTTTTTTTCATTCTCTCTGTTACCTTCTCTCCTGCCTATGACTTTGTCCATCAATGGCAGCCAAGAGAAGCCAGTGGCTCCCCTAGACTCAGTCCACTCAGATGGCACCACTGAAGACATTTCTGATCTCAGTGAAAACATCATGGAAGGAGGGCTGGCCACAAACCAATCCTTGTGGAAATAAAGGTGATTATGTAGACACTTTGATTAAAACTGGGAATACAAAATGCTTGCCACGTATTTCTTTACAAGACCAGCATCCTAATGTTTTTTCAGAGTAGCCAATGTGGAATGAGCTGCTGAACTTTTGTCCTTGGTAAAGCTGTACTGAGTGGATAGACTGCTGGAATTTTCATGTTAGATGGCATCAGAGGTGTGTTCTGCTCCACTGCTATTGCCTCTGCACAGAATGCATTTCTGCTGTCTGCCTGGTGGCTGCATCCCTCCCATCTCAGCTGCAAATCACCTTCTGTGATTCCTTGACCTCTCTGAGACTGAATGCTCTTTCTTTTGTGCTCCCAGTGACCTTAATAGTGTTCACATATCCATTTAAGCATTGTACACCTCCTGTTGTAGTTGTTTGTTTTATTGGCGCATCTGATACCCACTGTGAGCTCTTTGTGGGCGAAGGCCCTCCTTGCCTTCGTCTCTATGTCTCTAGCTCTGAGCACAGCACTTGGCACATGGTAGGGCCTAAAGCAATGAAGTAACTGGTTGGAAACCAAGGACCCTTCCTTAAGTACTGATTTTGGGTCCTTTTCAACATTGTCTAGCCAAGCCAGGAAAGACTGCATGCCCAGTTAATGTCCAAGAAGTCATAATGAACAGTCACCCACCCTAGGGCATCCATCTTCCTTCAAATGTCCCCAAATCATGAGTCATCAGCTTCAAGTTCTACCACTGTCATAGATGTTTTAAAAACCAAGATAAAGAAGCAAGAGTGCAAGTATGAATAAATACCTCCAGTAGTAAAAGTGAAACAAATCAGTATCACTTCTCAGTGTCCAGAGATGCTTAATAGGCGAAGATCACTGCCAGATAATAAAAAATGTGTTTAGCAGGCAGGGAGGGCAAATGTAAGCTTTAGGAGTGAATATCCCAACTGCTCTTTTCATCTCAGAATGATGTAAATGTTCCTAGCATTAGATGATGAATATAAGTCTGTATTCACAGGATTTGATTCTGAAAGTGGTAGTTTTGCTCCCTGGGACAAGACAGTGTGAGCTGCTCAGGGTGACTGGGGACTTTCAACTGTGGGTGGAGATGCCTGTTCAGGCACTTTCATTGGCTTCCCTCGGCTCCTATGAGGCATCATCTCATGTACGATCGCCTGATTACATTAGGATAGAGCTCCTGCTGACAGCCTTGCCTACCTCTCCACTTTCCTTTTCAAACTCCTTTCCAGGCATTTCCCTCTCAGATCTTCTGGTCAGGTTTTCCTAGGCTACTTGGGCCTTCCCTGGCTGCACCTTGTGTGTTCCTGCTCACATCCTTCTGCACGTGTCTCTCTACCCGCCTGGTATGTTCCTCTCCCCAGCTTTGTACACATGATTTGTTCTTCAGGGCCAAGCTCAAAGGTCACTTGAACCCTCAGCTTCCTGGAGGAACTAATTTATTCTTAATCTTTGATCCTACGTGGCCTTATGTGTCCCTTAATTATGGCACTTACCACATTCTGTCATAGTTTCTACAATGATAATAATTAATCCATCAGTGAAACTCATCAGCTCTATCCTTAAAACATATCCCAAATTCAACCACTTCCCACCACTTCTGCCTTTACTACTCCAGTGCAAACCGCTGTCATTTCTCATCATGATTACTGAGATCACCTCTGAGCCAGTTTCGTTGCCTCCATGCTTGCCTTCCACAGAGGGGCTAGCGTGGCCCTTATAAAGCATGAATTAAATTGAGTCACTCCTCTGCTCAGAACCTTCAGTGCCTCCCATGTGTGTTAGCCCAGGCTCTCCAGAGAAACAGAAACAGAACAGTACACACACACACACACACACACACACACACACACATCTCTCTATATCTCTATCTATATCATCTATATCTATATCTATCTATAGGTATATAAAATAAGACATTGGCTTATACAGTTATGGGGGCTGATGAGTCCAAAATCCTCAGCATGGGCCGGCAGCCTGAAGACCCAGGGGAGCTGATGGTGCAGGGGAAGTCTGAAAGCAGTCTGCTGGACCATTTCCTCTTGATCCATGAGGCCGGTCCTTTTGTTCTATTCCAGCCTTCAATTGATTGGATGAGGCCCACCAACATTAAGGAGGGCAATCTGCTTACTCAAAGTTCACTGATTTAAATGTTAATCTCAACCCAAAACATCTTCCACACTGACATATAAAATTAACCATTCCACCTCTGTCAGCCTGGAACCCATACACATCTCCTTAAGTCATGCTTAATCTCCGAATAAAGTCAATAATGAAGTCATATTTCTACTGAACATTAAATAGCTATCCTGCCTACAATTAAAAAAAAAAAAACCATACTAACCTTTTTCTCAGAAAAGGATTCAAAGTCCTTGGATGCATCCGTAGGGCATCTCCAGTACTGAAGTACGAAATGGTGAGGCAACTTGCCCAAGTCACCCTGTAAGTGCAAGAGTCAAGACTATCTGGCTCCACAGCCCACCCTTTAGTGGTGTTTGTTCCCTGACCCAGTTGTGATCTCTGTAAGGATGGCAACTGTGACTTGTCTATCTTTGTTTCCCCAGTTCCTTGCATAAGGTTGGCATTAACTAAATGTTTATGAATAGAATGCATTCCAGCTTGTTCATCTTCCAGGTGCTACTATGGTGACTTCCTGAGGCTCAGAGGTCAGAACTCCTAGTGGGTGACATTGTACTTAGCCTCTCAGTGCAGAGCATGAGGGAAAGAATTCAGACTTTGCCATGAAACAAACTCAGGCTCTTTATTTACTGCATGCTGTGTGACCTTGGGCCTCAATTTTTCCATCTGCAAAATGAAGATAAGAGTAATGTCTGCTTCCAAGTATTATCTTTAAGATTAACTAAAATAATGTATGTAAATCATTTAGTTCTGAGATTTGAACACTCTAATTGCTCAAAAAAATGCTAGCTGTTAGTATTTGCTGACCTTGTTCTGAACTCTGCAGCACATCACTTGTTATTTGCGCTTGGTCTATCACTTCTCAAATTCACAGTGTGTCATTTACCTCATGATGAGCCTCTGGAACATGGGGGTGGGGAGAGACAATGCCTTGCATTTCTGTGTTGCTGCACAGGGCTGAGACCAGAGTCTTATGCATCGTGGTTGTTCAGTACTTAAGTGAATCAATTTATTCCTGCAGCTCCCACAAGAGAAGTTTGTGTCACCAGATCTCCACGATGATTCCATGAAAGTCTGAGGTAGGTTTCAGATGATAGACATGGGAATTTTTGTCTACACCAACATTCAGGGAATCTTGGATTGTAGGTCAGTGGTTTGGGTGGACCAAAACCAGAATAAAAATGTATACCTTAGCACCTGAACCAAAGATCACGTTTCTTCAATCTCCTATCCCTCATTTCTTTTTTCCCATAAGTTTCATAGTAGTGCAGATGTCAAACAAAAATGCTGAAAAATTCTGCTTTGACCTGGATTCCCGAACACTTGGAGTATAAGTCAAAGCACCCAGAATTCCAAAGGCATTATACCATTATGCAAGTGGAGTGATCTGGCTAGGGCATAGGGAGTAATGGGAGAGAAATATTAGAGAAGATAGGGAAAAAGGCCACTTGAGCCAAGATCTGAATGACATGAGAAATCAAGCTGTACAAGTCTAGGGGGAGAAGGAGCAACCCAGGCAGAAGGAAGAACAGATGCAAAGGCCCTGAGGCATTGAATATTAAGTGTGTAAGAGGAACAGCAAAGAGGCCAGGGTGATAGGAGTCTAGTGAGGAAAGGGAGGGTGGCTGGAGGTGAGGGAGGTGAAGAATTAGGAAGCTAGATCATCTAGAGCTAGAGCTTCACAGGGTAGGGGAAGGGCATGGATCATACTGTGAGTGACTTGGGAAGCTTCTGGAGAGTTCTGAGCAGAGGAAAAACATGGCATGATTTATATGCTTTACTTTTCTAACAGATTTCTTGGGCTGCTTTGTGGAATGTAGCTTGTAGGGGGAGAAGAGTGAAAGTAGGAAGCCCAGTTAGGAAGCTACTACATAATTTGGGTGAGTGACTGTAGTGGCTTGGTGGAGGTCGAGGTGATGAGAAGTGGTTTATTTTGAAATATATTTGAAGGTAGATGTCACAGGATTTTTGAATGGATTTGAAGTGTTTGAAGTAGTATAAAGATACAGGATAAATAGAGAAGGCTTTTTCTTTTATCCGGAGCAACAAATTGAATGATTCAACTCAATGAAATGAGGGGGACTTGGAGAGGAAAAAGCTTTGGGCAGCTGTGGAAATCATTCAATGCTGGATGTGTTAAATTTAGACATCCCAGTGGAGATATTGAATAGGAAGTTTGATAGAGAAGCCTGAAGACTGAGGGGGAGGGCAGAGCTAATGATACACATATTTTGGAATCATCAGCAAACAGTGGTATTTAAAGCCATAGAAGTGGATGGGGTTATTTAGGGAGTGGGAGAGAGAGAGGAAAGGAGAGACTTTTCAAAACCTCCATCCTGGGGCACACCAACGTTTAGAGATTTGGAAGAGGAGAGCTGTCAGAGGACACTGAGAAGTGGCAGTGACGTTGGAAGAAAATAAGAATGCTGTGTTTCTGGAGTCAAGTTAAAACTCCATTTTAAAGATGGAGTGGTCACCTGTATCAGATGTCCCCAGGAGGCCAAGGAAGGTGAGCACTAAGAATTTACTATTGGGATGAATGTAAGAATCCTCACAGAAGCATTGTTTATTTTTAGAAAAATATTGGAAGCATCCCAAAATGTCTATCAACAAGAGAATGGGTAAATTATACTGTGTTTGTACAATGGAATTCTATTCAGCTGAGAAAATGAATGAGCTGGAGTAACATGGGTGTATCCCATATGCATTATAGTAAGTGAAAAGTTGAAGAATATATGCAGTTGAATACCATTTATAAAGTCTTAAAGCATATGAAACAAACCTATATTGTTTAGAGGAATCTACATAGTAAAAATATAAGGGAATACATGGGAATGAAAGTATGAAATTCAGGATTCTAGTTACTTCAAGAATGGGGGAGGAGAGGCAATCTGAGAACAATACACAGAAACATTCAATTGTGTTGGTAATATTTTTGCTTTTTAAGCTTGGTGGTAGGTGCCAAGATAATACTGAATCATTTATACTTTTTAATACTCTAAATATTGCCTGAGAAATTCTAAATATAAAAGAAAGACAATAATTTAATCACTTAATTTGTTGATGTGAAAGTCATCTGTGATTTAGACAAAAGCAATTTCAGTGAAATATTTACTGGGCACGTAGACTGATTGACGTGGGTTCAAGAAAGAAAGGGATGGAGAAAGTGAAAATGATAAAGAAAACTCTTTAGAGAAGTTCTGGTGTAAGTGGGGAGGAAAATGGAGTGATAGCTGGAGGGGTACATGAGGTAAGGGGAGGTTTTATTGAGAGTGACTCCAAATGTAAAGTTTGCCAAGGCCAAGTAATGTATGAAATTAAAATATAGTTTTTGTTTAATTATTTATCCTTAGCAGATAATCTAAATACCCTGGTTTTCCTTTGGTGTTTTGACATTTGGCTTTTGCTTGTATTCATTAGCATCTTACCCAGGGGAGGAAGAACTCAAATCAGTCTCTTTGGATATTGGCGAAAATAATTTAGTAAAGGCTTCAGTTGGGAAAAAGTTGGAAACCACTTATTTAAATGACATTTGAGACTATTTGTGGATTAATAATGATAGAACATTGAACAAAAACGTTATACAAAATGTGTAAATTATTTCAGATGCTTTAGAGTACATGGTTTCTGGAATTAGGGAGGTTGTTCAAAATGATATGTAAAAGTCATTGATATCAATAACTTTCAAGAAAATTTCTCAAAGAAGTTAGATTTGAGGAGGCTTTTCATGTGATTGTTATTTTGCATATAAGATCTATTACCATTAAGGAATGGGTATTGGGTTTTTGTTTTTGTTTTTTTCCTAGTAACTGTTGCGGATTTATAAAAATCTTTTCACCTTATCTCCTGGAGCCCATTTAGACCAAGGATATATCTCCCCATCAGCAAGATAAGAGTTATAACAAAATACATACGTATTCTAAATACAACTTGCAATCTATTGTGTGCCATGCACTGTTCTAGACATTAGGGAAGATTTTATGCAACTTTTACAACCTCCGTGCAAAGTAGGTTTTATTATCCTGACTTTACAGGTGAGGAAACTGAAGCAGAAAGGAGTTCCACAGGTGGTAAGTTCTAGAACTGGGACTGGAATGCAGGATGTAGAATTCTAAAGCCAGGGCTTTCTCTACTTTTCTGTGAAACCTCTAAGAGTGGCTGTAATTAGGTCCTTGACACAGAGTCACCTTAAACCCCATCCATGGGGCTGCAGTTTCTGACAAAAAGGCCAATCTTCTCCTTGGTTCATGATGTTTTGTGTTGCTACTGCACAGGGGACAATGTGGATAGGAGCGGCCATCATGAGAAATATAGTAGTACACCAGTTAGAAGTTTTGAAGTCTGCAATTAATTGGGAATAAAACTGTGACTGCACGTTTTGAGGACTTTTACTTTGTAGAACATCCTGTGTTTCTAAAACATCCACAGTGACTGTTGTTGTTCTATATTATTTAAATGAGTAAGTGTCCTAGTTTCAGGAGAAAGGAATTATTTTTTTCATCAAATTTACTGCACATCTGTTTAAAGAATGTGGCAACAGTGTGCATAAATCTCCAATCAAAATATTACAGAACAAGTCAATTTTATGATATTAAAAATGTATGGCCAGACACAATGTGCTGAAAATATAAAATTACCACATGGTGACTTTTTTGATCTTCTTATATTGGACTGTTTAGCCCCAGATTAAGTCTTGGGCAAAAATATACCAGACAAAAAAGGAGTTAAACTTGGCTCTGAACAATTAAACTGGTGTTATAAAAGTACGTCTATATAATATGCCAACATTGCAAATATATTTTTATAGCAATAGAATTTTTGTAGTATCTTAAATAGATTTTGAAACATTCAAATTATATATGCCATTATAAATAATGATATTTTATGGTTATTGGATAACATCCTAATATAGAAAAATTTAAAAACTCCTTTAGTAGAAAATCTTCAGATGTTTTATGAGCAACCAGGGAACTATTTGGAGAATTTCTAGTGTAATTGGTACTTTGTGTTTTGGGGTAAGATCAGCACATCAATGAAAGTACAGCTGGACTTTTATATAAGCAGGATGATACCTTCAGTTTTCAGAATGGAGACATCATCATTATCTTCTTTCATGGAATATCACCACCACCATCACCACTGTGGTGACACTGGAATGTATGACTACTTTCCAGTAACATGTAACTATTAGGCATTATCCATACATCATTTACTTCTCTATGAAAGCCCTATGAGATGATCCATATCAGCCCCATCTTATAGATTGAGAACCTGAGGTTTGGAAGGTTAATTAATTTTCTCTAGGTGACACAGCCAAGATCTCTGCCCTTGAGGAGCTTGCACATATGTAATGCTTGGCAATTCACAGCACTATCCCAGCTGTTTCATCTTGGACAGCTCTCACAACAGCCCTGGTATAGAGGAGCCCTATGAGATATGCCACTCAGAAGAGCAGTGGCTTCTCAAGGTCACCAGTGTTGGGACCAGGCTTTGATTTACTGACTTGTGTTCACTACCAAACTGCACAGAAAGCTTCACTGTGAAACAAAAGCCCTTTGTTGATTGGGCCTGCAATGGAACTCCAGGGGGGGAATGTGGATGACAGAGATAAGGAAAGGGGGAGTAGAAAGGAATTCAGAGAAAAACACTTTATTTTTCTCGGAGATTTTCTCTGCCAGTCAGTCTCCATGGCTTTACCTCTGATTCTTAGGAAGAGAGGCTTCAGGCAGAAACTCAAAATGTGGATTTCACACAAACCCTCTGTGAGATTTTAGGAATACCCAGAAGCTCTCTTTTAGGAATATAAATTTGGATCATGGTCCCAGAGGGTGTGTGGGTGAAGGGAAATCTTCCCTCTTGAGTAGTGTGGCTTCAGCTGAGTGGTACTGGCAGAAGGAGAGGCAGGGTGGGGCTATGCACAGGAATTGGTTCTATCATTGTGAGGAAATGCAAGCACATGGTGGTGCACTGTGGGTGGGATTGGAGCAGCCAAGGAGAGAAAGCACTGGCTGCAACATGGGTGTGGAAGGTCCTGAGTTTTCCCAGAAGTCACTGAAAAGACCTTAGGGAGGCATGGCACTAAGCTAGAGAAATGAGTATTACAACTATAATTCAAGGCCAAACCTCTGATGCATTTCACAAGACAGGCCAATAGTTACATGTTCCCAGAAACCTTCATTGGAGGGTAGAGATTGGGATGGGTGTGGGAGGTGAAGGAAATCAAGGAAGAGTAATATATGTGTTATTGGAACTTGGCTGGGAAGTGAGGTCAGGGTGATTAGGGGATACTAAACATGGGCAGGAGGAGAGTGAGGTAAGAACAGAGAGGTTAGTTGTAGGTTGTTCTGGAATAAAGTAATACAAATTTGCATCATGATTCCAGAGGGTATGTGGGTGAAGGGGGAAGGGGAGTCTTCCCTTTTGAGTGGCATATCTTCAGCTCAGAGTGTCACGGGCAGAGAGAGACGTGGGATCCGGCTATGCATAGGAAATGGCTCTATCATCAGAAGGAGATACAAGCACATGATCTCAGATAGATGCAGTTGTTTTGATAAGCAGTGGGCATCACTTGAAGATTTGAGATCAGGTTAGTAGGGTGATCATAGCTCAGCTTAAAAGATGAATTAGGAAGTGATATACTATAATTTTTAGAGTGGGAAGAGTCTTGGAATATGAAGAAACTGGTCAGGAGTTTTTTTGACAATACATGGGTATCTCATTTAGCCCAGGACAGAGATTTCTGAGAATGGAAGTGCTAAGTGAATTGGTTCCATAAAGACTCAATAAAGCATATCAACAAAAACATGACTCAGTAATACATTACAGTGCATAAGATGCATATGGGCTTAGGGGATGGAGGGAGGAAAGGTTAGAGAGGTCAATGGACTGTAAATCCCAGTGAGCAAGGAGAACTGGTTTTATAGGTGTAATTGAGTGAGGATACTGGAATGATGGAATTTTTTGTGATTAGATAGTTCACTCTTTGGGGGTGAAACAATTTCTGGTGAACACAAGGTCTCTGGGTGGAGAAGTTCTTTGCAGTTGAGAAAGTCAAAGAGTGTTTGGAACCCTCAGGATTGTGGCAGAACTTGGTGAGGATCCCAAAGATATCAGCAAATGAGAAATGATGTCCATGAGGGCAGCAGGTGACAAAGCTGAGGAGGACTGTGCATGCTGCAGGGAAAGGGACTTGGGGTTGTTTTTTAAGAGGGTGAAATAATGGTCTGGGCGCTGGAGGTAAGAAGATTTGGGGCCTGACTTTCAATTCTGCATGCCTTTCAGTTTCGAATGATGTGAGTAACAGGACCACTCATTTGAGATGGTTGCAAGAGAATTAGGTTTTTGGGACAACCACATTAAGATCAGGGAGTAAGAAGACCCTCAGTGAAGACATTCAGGGTATAAGGGAATTTGTTAATCAAGGAATTGAGACTCTAGAGAGCATAGGGCAAGGGCTTCGGAGAAGTGTGATGCTAGCACTTGTATCAGGGAGGAAGAAACACAAAGCTATTTAGGAATCAGGAAAAAGAAAAGGATGATCATTAGTAGGACCTCAGTTGGAGAAGAGAGAGTCATGTGGCTGTTTGCCAAGGTAAGAGGTCCCAACAGTCTTCTAGTCTGAGCGGTGAGGTGCTGCTTGGCCCCACAGGATGAAAGTGAGGCTGGGTCTCTGGGTAGTGATAGCACGAAGGAGCTCTTCTATGTGCAGGTGTGATCTCTGTGCAGAGACAAGGCTGTATGGGTGTCACATGCTCTGAGCTTTTGAGGCTACACACCAGAGATGTGGGGCTGGGTTCTGACAGTAAAGTTTTGCTAAAAAACAACCCGTGTCACCTTTATGCATAAAACCCTTCACACGGCACCACATCATCTTCATCCTAAAGTGAAATTGCTTTAACACAGTTTACAGGACCATCAAACATCTGGCTCCAGCCTCCCTCTCCAGACTTCTGCCCCTTCCTTAACAAATCATGTTCGAATTATCCTGAGATGCTTATAATTTCCCAAACATTCTTTGCAGCTTCTGACTAGAATTCTTTGTTTCCTATACACCTTCCCCGCTCCCTCTACACAGCAATGGTCCTACAGCCTTCACTTTGAAGATTTAGCTTAAAGAATCTTCTTCACCAGCAGGCTTCTCTTGACCACCTTATGTTTGACTACATGCCTCATCTCTCATAAAACCTCCATCCTTATCAACAACCTCTTCTATCAATACCCTCTTATTATCTTTGTCAAACTTAACTCTCTGTATTAAACGTGCCACATAATGTGATCTCCTTTACACAGAAAATCTCCACCAATAGCACTTGAGTCTGAGAAACTTTTGAGCAAGACTCATGTCTTATTCACCATCATGTTCTCAGTATCTTGCATGATACCAGGCACATAGAAAACTCTCAGTAAGTATTCAGAGAATGATAGATATAACAGAAGCTGAATTAGGTCAGTGTTATGGGGGAATGAAATGAAGAATGGATTCTAGGGGCACTGTGGTAGAGAACTGATAAGAGTTAACAAATTTATTAATGTGTAAGTATGCACATTTGTGAGTTTAGTGGAGAAACGAAGGAATCAAAACAAGCGACCTATTACTCATGAGTAACATTTACTTATCTTTACTCAATAGCCCTAGAAAACCTGAGTGTTATCCTCAGGATAGGAAGCAGCTGGCAAGGTTTTAATGGAAGAAAAATCACTGGAGATTTATCCTCTTTCCTGTAGGCATTTAGTAGAAGAGAATTATTGTTATTATTATTGGTATTCTCCTTAATACATGAATGCCATAGGTTTGTTTAGGCTTAATTTCTTTAACATAAAGTGGAAGAATCTCTATCACCTCCTGTCAACCTCCCAACACTTTTTTTGAAGCGAGTAAAGTATACATTATTCCCATTTTGCAGATGTGAATGAGTCAGGTTGTGGTGCTTACAATCTCAATAGGGGCGAAATAAGCATCAGAGTGGTTCTTCTAGCTTCCATCTGCAGCAGTTTGCACAGAACTGCTCTGCTACCTCTGAGGGTGGGGAACACAATCTAAACAAGAGATTGTAGTTGGCTTCCACTTCATTGTAGTTTTTAACAACATACTGGGGTTGGAAGTTAGACCTATTTTCTGTGGTTCTCAGGTATCTGCAGCCCTTTTCATAGAGAGAAGTTGCTCTGGCAATTGGCTACTATGGTGGTATGTGGCTATTTGTAACTTCAAGGTTACAATTTGGCCAACAGCTTCACAATTTCATCCTTGAGTTCTTTCAGACCCTTGGGTGGCTCCATGTACTCCTGGTGATTTATTTATTTCTAAATTTGCCAATTTGGTCTAAAGCATCTATTGTTTTACTGCATTTTGTGTCCCCCTAATTTCTATGTTCCAAATGACAGTTAGGAGCTAAGAAATTCTTCAGCGTATTTCAGATTACATACTTTCTAAGTAAGGTTGGGGTTTATGTAAGACCAAGTCTGAATTAACATTGGCCAAAGATGCAAAATATTCATCTGTTGTGGTTTATATCCAGATGGGAAGTGGGGTGAAATATTCCTCTACTCTATCGAGGGTTGTGGTTGGGATTGAGGGTTGATTAGAAATAACAGCAATCTTTTGGTCATGAGTGATACTTGCTCCTCTTTATTCATCAGCCTTGGAAAATCTGTTATCCCCATCTTTCTACTGAAACTATTATGAAAAAGTCAACAAAGAATTTCCTGAATATCAAACCCAAATGGCTGGCATCTCTTTTGTTCTTCTGGAATTTTCTGTGACACCTGTCACATTTTCAGGCCAAAATCCTAGGATTATTTCTCTTTGATTTTTCTTTCTCTTTTATTTCCCTAATGATGATGATCACATGGTTGTTCTTTTGTTAACTTCAATGGTGAGTTGTAGTGATTGATTTTTTTAATGTTAAATCAATGTCACATTCCAAGGATAAATTCTACTAGGTCATGATGTATTATGTTTTCTATAGTTTCTTGATATCTTAAGATATTGTTCAGGAATGTAGCATCTATGTAAATGAGGGATATTGGTTTGGAGTTTTGTTTTCTGACAATGCCTTTGTTTTGGTATAAGGAAAATATTGGTCTTACAGGCTGACTTGAGAAGTATTTTCTCCTCTGTAATTTTTTGGAGGAATTTGTATAGAATTGGTATTATTTCCTCTAATGTTTGTTAGAATTTACCAGTGGAACTATCTCGACCTGGAGTTTGTTTTGTGGGAAGGTTTTTAAGTATAAGCTTAATTTCTTTAATAGAAATAAATCTATTCAGGTTACATATTATTGAGTGAGAATTATAGTTTGTGTCTTTCAAGAGATTTGTTCGCTTTTTCTAAGTTTTCTAATTTATAAGCACAAAGCTGTTCATAGTATTCCCCTTATTATACTTTTAATATCTGTACAATCTGTAATGATGTCAACTCTTATACCCACTACTGGTAATTAGTGTTTTCTTGCTGTTGTTTTTCTTGATCAATGTTGCTAGAGGTTTATCAATTTTATTGATCTTTTCAAAGAAGCAGCTTTTGGTTTCATTGCTTTTACCTACTGTTTTCTTGTTTTCTATTTCATTGATTTCCATTTTGATCTTTATTATTTCCTTTCTTCTGCTTACTTTGGGCTTAATTTTCTCTTATTAGCAGCATCCCACAAATTCAATATGTGTATTTTCATTTTCATTCAGTTCAAAATAGTGTCCTAATTTTCCTTTTGATTTCTCATTTGACCATGAGATATTTAGAACTGTGTTATTTAGTATCTGAATGTTTGGGGGTATTTTCCATATATCTTTCTGTTATTGACTTATAATTTAATTCCATTATGGTCAGAGAACATATTTTGTATAACTTGAATCTTTTAACATTTAATAAGACTTTTGTTTATAGCCCCCAATGATTTTGTAAATTCAATGGGATTCAACTCTGGGGGATCACATTTGTGATGGTCAATCAGCAATACCCTTGACAGCAATTTACAGCTTTTCAGTGGGCAACATCCAAATGGGCTGCTTCTCATAAAACTCCCTTGCTTCCTCTTTTTGTCTTTCCAACCCCTTATGTCCCTCGATGCACACAGCAAGCATGAAGTTCACTTACCCTATTTGATAGAATGAGAGGGAGGAATGTGGAATTAGGCTAATAAAGCCAGGAGAGAGGGAAGGAGGGCAAATATAGCAGTAATCCAAGGAAGGCTGAGCTGGGACTATAAAGAGATATTTTATTTTTTGGCTCATAAACTGACTCTAAAGGCAATTCCAAAAATGTTTTGAGCAATGAAAGCATTACTGTATGAAAAGTGTAGCCTTGGAGATTTCTTTGAATGACAACACTCATTTGGATGTATGAGTTCCTGAGTGCTTTAGAAAAAATTAATCATTATTTTTAGTTAGATATGTAACTATTTTTGTGAACATTTCCAACTCAGTGCAGTGCAAGCATAAAACAGTTTTTCTTTCTCTGATCACTGCCTTCAACCATATTTTGTCAGATCTAGCTTTACTGTCTTATAATAGTATCATGAACGTTTTATCAGAGCTTTCTGGTCACCTGCAGTTATTAAGTCCAGTAACAGCCTTATCTAATGTTCTAGCCCACTTCTGGGATTCACTGTGGCTACTGATCTGCAGTGAAGAAAAAGCAGTGTCTCTCTCCTTTCCTCTTCTCTTCTGTATTTTTTATTTATCCTTCAGCACGTTGGGAAGAGGGACAGAGATTAACAAAGGGACAAGTATCTCAAATTCAGCTGTTGCCAAATAAGGTGCTGTGTGTGTATGGAAGACAGGGTCCCAGTAAATCCTTTACAGGAATTGGGAGTACCTGTATAAAGGGCAGACTGGCCTCCCAGGTGGACATTTGCTTATGCAGTGGTCTTGATGAACTGCACTTGGGGGAGAATTAACCTGGATGATTCACAAGGTTTTCCTTTTGTCTACCAGAATCACTCACATTTTTGATATGAAAAACAGTGAATGTTTAGTCAACTGATCTACTACCCCCTCTCTGCCTTGCTGTCTTCCTTCCATTCATTTTTCATTTGCTCAAATAGTCATCACATCCATCACCCAATCAAATACTCAATAGGGGAAGAGAGGCCATTGTCCATTTTTGCTGCCCTTATGTTTGGCTTCGAGGATGACAAGGACCTAAGTTGGTGGGAAGGATAAAAAAATCATTGTATTCCGTCTAATTCCTGTTGTGGTAACAAAACCTCCTAAATCTCAGGGGTTTTAAAAAACAAAGAAAAAATTCTTAAGTTACTTCTCTATCACTAGTTGGTAGGGAGGCTCTACTCATTATTGCTCACATAGAAGCCACCATTTGAGGCCGGGCGTGGTGGCTCACGCCTGTAATCCCAGCACTTTGGGAGGCCAAGGCGGGCGGATCATGAGGTCAAGAGATCGAGACCATCCTGGCTAACACGGTGAAACCCCGTCTCTACTAAACATACAAAAAAATTAGCCGGACATGATGGTGGGTGCCTGTAGTCCCAGCTACTTGGGAGGCTGAGGCAGGAGAATGGCATGAACCCAGGAGGCGGAGCTTGGAGTGAGCTGAGATTGCGCCACTGCACTCCAGCCTGGGAGACAGAGTGAGACTCCATCTCAAAAAAAAAAAAAAAAAAAAAAAAAAAGAAGCCACCATTTGAATGGTGACTGACGGCATTGGCTTGGTGACTGTCAATTTGCCACTCTGGCCTAGAAGTGACACACGGCCTACCACTAGTCACATGGTCCTAATGTGACAGAAGGGTTGAGACATCCTACCAACAGAAGGGTTGAGACATCCTACCAACTCTACTATGTGCCCAAAAGAGATTCCTCAGTCTTCTGCTTATATAGATGGTTGAGAGGTAGGGGTGGCAGGCAAGCAGTTGAGACAATGGTTGAGAGGCAGAATCTTATTCCACATATTGTTACACATGCATTCATGCCACACACATTCACACCTCAGCAAGGCAAAGTTCAAGACTAGTGCAGGGATGGAAAACCTTGGGTTTGTATATTCATAATCCAACTCAACACCAATGATTACATCAAGTAAGTTCATTAAAGAACTATTTGTTATGCAGACTGTGTTTATAGATCCAAAAATATAGTCATATGGCCTGAAAAATTCAAATGTACTTCTGTGAGCAATGGAATGAAATAAAGAACCCAAACTGTTTCACGCAATCCTTGGGTTTACAGTGTCTCAGACTCCAGCCAATAAGAGGAGATATAGTTGAAAAGATCACTAGATAGGGTCATTCTCATTTAGACTCTGTTGATATTTTAAATTGCTACTTCCATGGGAGATACCAAATCCATAAGAGAGACAGAAGCTGGTCAGGACTCTGGGTTCTATTAATAGAATTTTTATATAAGCGAAAAATGACAGATACCAGGATTCCATACCACAGTTCAACAATCCTATAAATATCTCTTTCTTCTTCTGGAAAGTGTGTCTGACCAAAACATATGAAGCAATGTGGCAGGCTAGTAAAAGAGAATAGAGGTTTAAATGTCAGCTGAAACAATGTTCATTTCCTTAAAAAAAAAATCATTTGCACAGCTCTTCAAGCCACCAAATGGAACCTCTTGCAGTTTGAAGTTCATCCAGAAAACCCTTTTGCAAAATATTTGCTGAAACACTGTAATGTAGGAATCGTAAGGGATTAAGGCCTGTTGGGTTTCTCCTCCCCCACACCTATCTTCCCTAAGCTGACTTCTGCAGCCCAGAATCTTAAATCCCTGTGTCTCAGACCCAGATTCCAAAATCAACATATTGCTTCCCACTGCCACTAAAAACTAAAATATTACTGAAATGTCTCACTTCTAACTAAAATCTGCCTAACTGAGCAGACCAATGGTCTTTTATACAATCCTACCAGCCTCCAAACACCTCCAGTAGATCCCCTTTTAAAAAAATTGTACATTGATAATTTACATTTGCATGAATTTATGGGGTACAAAGTGATGTAATGATTTGTGAATACAATGTGGAATAATTAAGTCAAACTAGTTGACATATCCATCACTCAGATACTTAACATTTTATGTGATGTGAATGTTTGAAATTAACTCTCTTAGAAATTTTGAAATGTTTAATATTCCATTATTAACTATATTCACCGTGCTGTGCAATAGAACTAAAAAAAAAAAAAAATTCCTCCTGTCTGAGATTTTGTATCCTTTGACCACCATTTCCTTATGCTCCCACCCTCCAGCCTCTGTAACCACCATTCTACTTTCTCATTGTATGTGCTCAGTTGTTTTAGATCTGCATAAGTACATGCAGTATTCGTCTTTCTGTGCCTGGCTTATTTTACATACAGCATAATGTTCTCCAACTCCACCCATGTTGTGGCAAATGAAAGAATTTCCTTTTTTTAGGCTGAGTAGTATTCCATGATGTATATATATACTACCACATTTTCTTTATGCATTCATCTGTTGATGGACACTTAGGCTCATTCCATAACTTGGCTATTGTAAACAGTGCTGCAATGAATGTGGAAATGCAAACATTTCTTCGACAAACCGATTTCAAGTCTTTTGGGTAAATACCCAGATGTGAGATAGCTAGATCATGTGGTAATTCTATTAGTTTTTTGAGAATGCTTCATACGTTTTTTCATAATGGCTCTACTAATTTACATTTCCACCAGGTGTATAAGTGTTCCCTTTTCTCCACATCCTTGCTAACACTTGTTATCTCCACCTGGTTGTGGGAGGGACCAGGTGGAGCTAATTGAATCATAGGGGCAGTTTCTCCCATCCTGTTCTCCAAACAGTGAGTTAGCTTTCACAGATCTGATGGTTTTATAAGGGGCTTCCCCCTTCGCTGCGCACTCATTCTTCCGCTTCCTGCCACCACGAGAAGAAGGACGTGTTTGCTTCCCCTTCCACCACAATTTTAAGTTTCCTGAGGCCTTCCCCAGCCCTGCGGAACTGTAAGCCAATTAAACTTCTTTTCTTTATAAATTACCCAGTCTCGGTTATTTCTTCATAGCAGTGTCAGAATGGACTAATACAAGGTCCTTGCCCATTTTTAAGTTGGGTTTAAAAATTCTTTGTTTTTGCTATTGAATTATTTGAGCTCCTTTTCTTATTTTGGATATTAGCTCTTTTCTAGTTGTATGGCTTGCAAATATTTTCTCCCAATCTGTTAGGGGTCCTCTGTACCCTGTTATTTCCTTTGCTGTGCAGAGGCTTTTTCATTTGATGTAATCCCACTTGTCTATTTGTGCTTTTGAATGCGTCTCCTTTTGGACTTGTATGAAATTTTTTTTAGATATATAATCTAGGAACAGACTTGCTAGGTTGTAAAGTGTGTGCATTTAGTATGTGTAAGTAGTGCAAGGCTGTTTCCCCTGATAATGGCATTAGACTGTATTACAATCAGCAATGCATGGGAATTCCAATATAACTAATTCCTTCCCCCAACACTTGGCATTATCCAGTTTTCTAATTCTTGCCAGTCTAATTGGTGTAGAGTGAAATCTTAATGTTGTTTTCATTTCCATTTTTTTCTGACTATTGATGAGTTTGAGTGTCTCTTGATATGCTTCTCAGGTTTTGGATTTCCTCTTCTAGGAATTGTCTGTTTATATTAGTTGCCCATTTTTCTAATAGAGATGCTCTCCTCTTGATGTTAATTTGCACTTCTTCCATATTCTAGATATTAATTCCTTGTAGTTTTAAACATTGAAAATATCTGTCTTCTAACTGACTTTGTGGTGTTTAATGTGCAGAAATATTAAATTTTGCTGCCATAAACTTCATTGAGTTATTGTTTTAGGATTAACACTTAAAATTTTTACTTAGGAAGTTCTACATTCCTATATTACAAAGATATTCTGCTATATTTCTTCTATGTGGTGTTAATTAGGGATTCAGTTATTTTTCTCTACTGAGTCAGTTTCTGCCAAAATGGCAAATTCTTTCCTTGTTGATTTACAGTACTACTTTCTTATACATTCTCCTATAATGTCATAGATCTCTGACAGTTTCTTCGGTCTATATACCTGTTTTTATATTAATACCACAGGGAATTTTAAAAATCTATCATCTTTTAACAATATTTTGCAGAGCAAGTCTGTTCCATTTAGTCTTTTGTTTTAATCATGACTTTATCTGTTGGTAATTTTTTTCATATACATGTTAGAGTATGCCTATCACGTTTCACAGAAATTTGACTTAAGATTTTAATTCAGTTGCCTTAATTTATGTATTAATTTATAGATAATCAACATCTTTAGACTATTAAATTCCTCTATCCAAAGGCGTGGGCCTTCTCTATTTATGACATCTGTATTATTCTCTTCTATGTTCTTTATTAGAGTTTTACATTTTCTTTACAGAGGTCTTGTGTACTTTTGGTGAGGTTAACTTCTAGACACTTTGTAGTATCTAGTTTGTTGATACTGTGACTGGTATTTTTCTTTTTTCAAAATAACATTTTCTTGTTGAGTTTTGTTAGCACAGAGAAATTATTTTTAAGATTGATCTTGTATCTGGCAATTGTGTTGGTTCTTCTAGACAGATGATCATATCTACCTAGAAGACAATTTAATCACTGGTTTTCCAATCCTTATCTTTCTTTTCTTTTACTTCACTTGTAACATTGATCTCTTGTACTAAGTTAAAAGTAATAGTGAAGATGGAATGCATTATCCTTCATAGGTGTGAAAGCTTATCAGCTGTTCCTTCTGTGCCAATTGTTATTATTATATATTATGTAATTTATTTACATGCATTTTAACAATTTATATATAATTACTATATAATTTTTCTTTATCCTGAATGTAGTAAATTATGTCATTAGATTTTTGGTACATTTCTTGATAACACCCCTTGAGCTTGTTACACATACCCACCCACACGTTATTGTCAATTCTATTTTCTACCATTTTGTTTAGTATATTTTCATCTAAATTAATAAGTGAAATGGCTCTAAAAATTTCCCCTCTTATATTGTGTTTATCTGGTTTTAGAATCAAGATTATGTTTTTATCATAAAATAATCTTGGCAGCTTTCACCTCTTTTTCTATTTTTAGAAACAATGTTTAAAATTGGAATTCATCATTCCTTGAAAATTTTATAGAACTCTCCCATAAACTATCTGGCTAGTTTTGGGGCAGGAAAGTCATTGAATTTCCTTTCTAGCTCTTTTAAATATTTGTTGGTTTCTTTAAAGTCCC